>NC_000001.11:118947774-119250804 GCF_000001405.40 Homo sapiens | reverse complement strand
CCCCGTCACACTGTATATATTATACTGCAACTTCTTTTTTTTTTCTCATTCACATATTACAGATTCCATTCCATTTCAATATATATGTGTCTACCTTATTCTTGTTGATGGCTACATAGCAGTCATAGTAGAAATATGTAAAATGTATTAATCACCCCTCTATTAATTTGCTATTATAAATAATGTTGCCATGAACATTGTAATACAAGTATTCTGGCCCATTTGTACAAGGATTTCTATAGTATAAATTCTTAGAAGCAAATTGCTGAGTCAACAGGTATGTATGCACATTAAAATTTTTGATAGGTCCTGCCAAATTCCCTTCTTTGTTCCAGTTTATACTTTCACTAACAGTGTTTGTGAGACTCTTTCCTCCACACCCTAATCATCACTGGATGTTATTGCTTATTTCACAAACCAGAGTCTGATTTGATTTACAGTCCAGGCTTGGTAGCTACAGGCCTGGCACTAATCTTTTGGTTCTGAATGCTACCCCGGCAGGCTAGAAACCCTGGTGTAGGCTTCTTTTTCGTTTGTTTGTTTGTTGAGATGGAGTTTCACTCTAGTTGCCCAGGCTGGAGTGCAATGGCGTGATCTCAGCTTACCGCAACCTCTGTTTCCCGGGTTCAAGTGATTCTCCTGCCTCAGCCTCCCGAGTAGCTGGGACTACAGGTGCCCACCACCACACACAGCTAATTGTTTGTTTTTACTAAAGATGGGGTTTCACTGTGTTAGCCAGGATGGTCTCGATCTCCTGACCCATGATCCACCCGCCTCGGCTTCTTGACTTCTTCTTCTGCTACTACTACTCTTGCATACACTGGGGATTATAAAAAATTTGATACCAACAATTTCATACATTTTTCAGTTTACATAGTGTCTTCCCTATGTGAGGATTCCATTTGATCCTCACAAAGTTTCTGTTAGGTGTGTAGGGAGGAAATTTTTATCTTGGTGACTCAGACCAGCTTTCTTAAGTTCACATGGTTAATAAAGGAAAGAACTAGGACTTGAATACAAGTTGGCTAAGTTCAAAATCCAGGTTCTATTTGCCATTTCCCCTTCTTCCTCTTTGGAACAGATAACCATCAAAAAGTTTGTGTTTCTATCAATTGCTTTCTATTCATTTGAGATGTCCACGATCTCTAGAGAAGCTCAAGTTTGTTGATTGGTTGGATGGATATGGAGCTGCTGTAATTTGTGACTTAGACGTATCAATGTTGCTTATAAAAATGCTTTTACAATTTCAATATTCTGGCATATAACCCAAGATGACCCAGGGCAACATCTCCAGGAAAAGATGCCTGGCAGGGTGCCAAGAGGCCTCATGATGACCTTATCTAGTAAGTCTCAGTGCGGCAATTGGAACCAGACCTGTCAGACCCCAAAGCCTAAGCCTTTTGCATTTACTCTATGCACTTCCTCGTATAGACCAAGATGCTCAGGGCAGAAGATCAATGCATTCTTTCCTTACAGGCAAATTACACGAGAAGCCAAATTCTCAGAAGGTTGCATGCTGAGCATGGAATCAGAACAAGGAGAGTTCAGGGTGTCAAGAAGTGAATTTCAGCTCAAGTAGCTGAAGGCATGCTTACCCATTAGGGAGTCACACATTCAAAATCCAACAGATTCAGAAGAGTGTAACATAGATGAGTGAAGCGTGTCAGGGAGCAGGCGATGATAGGGAATAGTGGGGACTATGCCAACTGGAGAGTGCATGCCCTTCTAAAGGAGGCAGCCATGGCGTCATAGCTACAGCCCATTGTGGCCAGCCTGGTTAATCTAGGTTTTCCCAATTTTTCATGAAAGGCTCGATATATGGATTTTTCTATGTGAAATTAGTTAACAACTTATTCAACTTTAAAAAACAGTATGACTCAATGCAGTGTGGACCAGACTTGATCTACCAGCTGCTGAACCGTGAAGTTTTACTACGGGTAAACTTTCACCAAGAAAACTTCAATTCTCCAAGCCATTTAAAAATGGCATCTTCACCTCTAAACAAATCAAGATCAGCATTCTTCAGATCTTCCTTTTTCCCCTTTGGGGCCAACCTCTGTTTATGGTCATTCTCCAGATAGAATAGAACATATTTCTTTCTATTTCCTCATACTAAAATACACTTACATTTCAGTCATATCTTCTTGGAGGATTCCCATCTCAACTTTTGATTGGATTCACACTTACGTAGCATGACTTATTCCTTTGCATTTTTATTGCTACCATTATTATTTTTGGAGTTGTCATTCTTATGCTAGATGACTTTGCTGCATTGAGTGTGAATTTTACTAATTGACCTCTCAGAGACACACCAATTTCCAAGTCCTAAGAGGTCTTTCACTGCTGTTATATTGTGGGGACAACAAGATTATTTTGCCTTTTCAGACATTAAGAAATTGTTTTTAAGTAAATACATAACTTTATTGCCTTACAGATTATTATTTACTGAATGATTTATTCTCCTCAGAGAATTTGGCGAAGGAAGTGAACAGCTTATAGGAGAAGAAGGAGAGAATAGGGAAAGCTCTTCTAGATACCAAAACAAGCAAGAAGAGTTGGGCTGGATTTTAATTCAAAATAAAGTCTGAACTTTTCTTCCCCATCTCAGTGATGCTGAATTGACCCTCCTCCTCTCCAAATGGAGAGATGGCAGCTCCTGCCTTGTGGCACACGGTAGCCTTCAGGAACCTGAAACCATCACTGAAAAGTGCAGGAGGAGGGAAGGCACCCAGAGAATGGAAGGTAGCTCTGCCCTTCCTCAGGCACATCACATCATGCCAATCCATATACGACACTGTAACGCATCGGGTACATTTCCAGAAGAAATGAACTTATGAATTTCACAGCATTTGGGCACGGGGACTTCACCAACATCTTCAGTCATATTCATAATCAACTAAAAATACTATCTTCAGTTAACAAGTGTTGGTAACATTATAAAAGTATTATTTCTGAGACTAGTTCAATTTTTAAAATTCTTTTCTTTCTTTTTTATGTGTTCATTTTTCGTTATTTTTATTCTTTTAAAAAAATTTTTGATTCTCTTTTCCTTTTTTTAAATCTTTGATTTATTTTCTGTCTTCAAAATCTGTTCCCATGTAATTCAAAATTTACTAATCGGACTACCATCTTGCCTTTAGTGTTGAGAGATGACACACAATGACACATTACAAAATAGATGACATTCATCTAGAATCTAAATAGCTAAGAATCTAAAGCAACCAGATCTTTATCTCTCCCCCACAT
The DNA here is from genome assembly GCF_000001405.40 of Homo sapiens. NCBI lineage: Eukaryota > Metazoa > Chordata > Mammalia > Primates > Hominidae > Homo > Homo sapiens. Next base: position 119,247,558 of record NC_000001.11, on the reverse strand, counting down.
GGTCTTGTACAATGACACTGATGCCCACTCAAATGAGCCTGATACCTTCTAAGATTCTAAAATTTACCTGAATCATGATAAAGATTATTTTTGCTCTGTAAAGTGTGTCCATTGTTTTCACTGTATACCAATTCTTTGAAACTTAGAAATCCAAAATAAAAGACTTCCCAGTGCATCCTTAGCCAGAAAATTCCCCACATTTGCTTCTTGACAAGTCTACCAGATTATCCACAAATTTTGGGGGTTTCTACTCCTTAAACCCAGGTGGTGAAGAACATGGTTAAACAGACATGGGCTCAAATCTTGTCCACTTATACCTATAATCTTGGGCAAGTTGGTCAACTTTCTGAGTTCAATTTCTTTAAGTGAAAATTGAGAATAACAATATCTACCTCATAAAGTATTGGTGTGGGGATTAAATGAGGTAATGTGTAATAACTATATATATATATATATATATAAATAAAATAATCCTTTAATAAATGTTGCTGCCAACATCTTTTTCAACTCAATCACCTGTTAGAGGGCAAATCAATGACAATGAGGCATATCAAAATGCATTCTGCCCTGAAGGAACCCTCTCCTTTGCTGGAGAGAAGCTGCAAACACCCATGCAACATTGAGACCAATCTAAGACCCTTTGCAGGAAAGAGCTTAAGTGACCAGCATATGATGTCAGCATTGCAGGCACTGAGAGATATTCTTACTCGTCCATTTTCACCTGGTCTCTATTGCAGAGCTGCAGAACTGGGACAGAGGAGACCAAGCTCCCGATCTTCCTACCCAGTGTGCTTTACAACCTGCAAGCTGCAGGCTGAGCCTCACAGCCAGCCGGGGATAGTGGATACAATTATCTCCCAGCCCTTTGAAGCTCCAGTCAGGAATATCTGTCGTCACTATCACATGTGATTAGGACAGCAACGTCCTCTTGCAGAAGACATAACTCTTTGTACATCACCCTCCTTCCACCCCTGTTAGAGATCAGGAAGTGTGGAGAGAGGGTGGCTGGCCTCTCTCCTTTTGGTCCAATTTCACATATTGGATTCCCTGCATTAATAAATTGGTTACATTTGCCTAGCATTTGGCAGGCAAGGTTTCTAATAACATTCTGGTCCCTTCAGAGAACATGAATCGCTGGCATGCAGGGGGTTCTGTTTACCTCCTCCCCCACTCTCTGCTGCTAAAGGTCCTATACATTAGTAGGGGTCAGGCGCTTGCCTGGGCCAGGGCAGTCTAGGACAAGGGCCATGGCTTCAAGGCACTGTCACAGAGCTCAAAGATTTTCCCTCAGAGGGAAAACAGATAACTTTAAGCCCAGGCAACGTGCAGCTTTCTTCAGCTGTCAATCCTACCTGGTTTGCATACAGATTGAGAAAATGTGTGATATTTTACCACAATAATCAGTCTGGAGAATTCAAGGGGGTTGGTGGTGGGTGGAGAGTGAATGGGAGAGAAAAAAAATGTGTGATGCAGATGTCTGAGAGTCCCATGCTTCCTGACAACACTCCCTTTGTGAAGCCAACAGTCTTTGGGGATGGAGAGCCTGAAGGGAGACTGTGTAGAATGCATCTACATTGCTCTGACACAGCCTTTCCTATTGCCATGGTGCTCAAAAGTTCCCTGAGCAAGGAGAAGCTCTTGGGCTGAGAAGAGACCCAGAGTCAGGGTCCAGCCACACCTTCAGCCTTGGCGAGCCAAGCAGAGGGAGCAAAGCAAGGGGCAAAAATGAGCTAAAAGAACACTAGCCGACCTGGGACAAACCTAGGGAATCAAAAAGGAGAAAGAGATGGAGAGGGAAAGGAAAAAGAAACAAGAAGAATTGAGAAGAGAGGGAGAGGGAAGGAATTCGATTGAATTCAATAGATATTTTATGTTAGCCTGTACTGGGGAGAAAAGAGTGGGATGTTTGTTTGTTTTTTCCGAGACAGAGTCTTGCTGTGTGGCCCAGGCTGGAGTGCAGTGGCACAATCTTGGCTCACTGCAACCTCCACCTCCCAGGTTCAAGTGAGACTCATGTCTCAGCCTCCTGAATAGCTGAGATTACAGGTGTGCACCAACACGCCTGGCTAATTTTTGTATTTTTAGTAGAGATGGGGTTTCGCCATGTTGTCAAGGCTGGTCTCAAACTCCTGGGCTCAAGCTATCCTCCTGCCTCAGATTCCCAAAGTGCTGGGATTATAGGCATGAGCCATGATGTCCTGTCAAAAAGAGTGTTTTTTTACAGAGCAAATGTATATGGAATCCAGTTCCTGCCCTATAGGAGCTTGCAGATATCAGGCCAGGTGCTGTGGCTCAAGCCTGTAATCCCAGCACCTTGGGAGGCTGAGGCAGGAGGATCACTTTAGCCCAGGAGTTTGAGACTAGCCTTGGTAACATAGGGGAGGCCCCACCTCTCCAAAAAAATTTTTTTTAATTAGCCAGGTGTGGTGGTGTGTGCCTGTAGCTCCAACTACTCAGGAGGCTGTGGTGGGAGGATTGCTTCAGCCTGGGAGGTTGAGGCTGCAGTAAGCCGTGATTGCTCCACTGCACTCCAGGCTGGGCAACAGAATGAGACCTTGTTTCAAAACAAAACAAAATCAGCCACACAACTCAGTCCTGCAACAGTCCATGACAGGGTGTAATTCCAGACATCAACGCCACGAGGTATGGTAAGGAGAGAGATGATGGTGGGGAGACTTTGTGGAGGTGGTGAGTCTTGAGACTGTCCTAGCAGGGTGGGTGCAATTGAGCTGGCAGAGGTACATTTCTGAATAAAATTGATAGTACAGAGAGGGAAGAGGAGGGGAGTGAGTAGGGGCACAGGGAGTAAGCAGTGGAAAGACAAACGGAAAGGAAGAGAGAATGGAAAATGAAGAGGGGCCCAGACTGCCACTCACAATTGCCATAAGCCACCTACCCTTACCTTTAGACCTTTTCATCCAAAGGAATTGGAATTAGAAGCTTCCTATGGGATCCTGGAAACCCCGGGAAATCCACCAACCCAGAAGCCCAGCTCCAGGCCCAGAGGGAAAAGAAGGAAAGAGGGCTGGTGCACACTGAACTTAAGTAGGAAACCTTCCCCTTTCCTGCTGACTTCAGCCAGCCTCACCACAGAGGTCCCCAGTCAGCAGATCTGGAGCCACCGACACATCTCAAAGCCTCCCGTGGGAGAGTCCCAAGGTGGCCATGGGACAGTCCATGATCTGTCTCTCTGCTATTATCCTTTTCTCTGTGGTTTCCAGTATTTCCCAGGGAGATAGGATTTTTTTTCCCATCTATTTTTTCCAGCTTTTTATTTTGAAAAATTCCACATCTTAACAAAAGTTGAAAATATACCATACTGAGCACAAGGTACACTTGAAATGTTTCACCAGTTATTATCATTTGATTCCATATGCGGTAGTATGCTGATAAACTGGATCTAGGATAGGAGAAACCCTCATTTGTAGTAATTGCCAATTTCTGTGGTGTAAGAATTCCCACCATGGATGATTTTTTTTTTTTTTTGAGATGGAGTCTTGCTCTGTCGCCCAGGCTGGTGTGCAGTGGCACGCTCTCAGCTCACTGCAAGCTCTGCCTCCTGGGCTCACACCATTCTCCCGCCTCACCTCCCAAGTAGCTGGGACTACAGGCGCCCACCACCATGCCCAGCTAATATTTTGTAGTTTTAGTAGAGACCAGGTTTCACTGTGCTAGCCAGGATGGTCTGGATCTTCTGACCTCGTGATCCACCCGCCTTGGCCTCCCAAAGTGCTGGGATTACAGGTGTGAGCCACCACGCCTGGCCCATGGATTATTTTGAGCAAATAATGACTTAACAAATGGCTTGCAAAATTCCTAAATATTTATCTGCTCTCGAGAGCTGGTAAGAGTTGGCTGCCGTTTATCACATTTTTTTCTGAACTGTTTAAAATTGCAGATATCGGAGCACTGAATCAAATACTTCAGATACATTTCCCAAGAATATAATGTTCTCTGACATAATCACATTATCACACTTAGGAAAAAAATTAGCAACACATGTCCTAATATTAGCTAATATACATTTCCCACTAAAATTTTCCAAACTGTCCCCAAAATGTCTTTTAATAGCATTTTTTTAAAAAATGAAAATCTAGCCAAGATTATATATTGCATTTGGTGTTTTGGTTAGTTTCTTTTATTATTATTTTAATCTTTTTATTTATTTATTTATTTTGAGACAGGGTCTCACTCTGTCACCCAAGCTGGAGTGCAGTGGTGAGATCTTAGCTCACTGCAACCCCTGCCTTCTGGGTTCAAGTGATTCTCATGCCTCAGCCACCTGAGTAACTGGAATTACAGGAGACCACCACCACACCTGGCTAATTTTTGTATTTTTAGTAGAGACGGGGTTTCACCATGTTGCCCAGGCTGGTCTTGTACTCCTGGCCTCTAGTGATCTGCCCGTCTCGGCCTCCGAAAGTGCTGGGATTACAGCTGTAAGCCATCGAGCCCAGTGGTTAGTTTCTTTTTAAAAATTTTTAATTTTTATTAGTGAATAATTGTACATTTATGGAGTAAAGAGATGTTTTGATATATATATACATTATGACATTATTACATCAAGCCAATTAACATATCTATCACCTCATATATTTATTTTTTTTTTGTTAGTGAGTACATTTAAAATCTATTCCTTTAGCAATTTTGAAATATATAACGCATTATTACTATGGTCACCTTACTGTGCAATAGATCTTGAAAACTTATTCTTCCTAATTGGAATTTTATACCCTTTGGTCAACTTATCCCTATTGCTTACCCTCCCTGCCCCCAGACTCTGGTAACCACCATTCTACGCTCTACTTTTCTTTAGTTTCTTTTAATCGGAAATGATCCCTCTATCTTCTTTTTTTTTTTTTTTTTTTTGAGACAGAGTCTCGTTCTTGTCTCCCAGTTTGGAGTGCAGTGGCGTGATCTTGGCTCACTGCAACCTCTGCTTCCCGGGTTCAAGTGATTCTCCTGCCTCAGCCTCCTGAGTAGCTGGCATTACAGGTGCCCGCCACCGTGCTCGGCTAATTTTTGTACTTTTAGTAGAGACGGGGTTTCGCCATGTTGGGCAGGCTGGTCTGGAACTCCTGACCTCAGGTGATCCACCTGCCTCAGCCTCCCAAAGTGCTGGAATTACAGGTGTGAGCCACCATGCTGGCCTATCTTCTTTTTCAGTTGTAGTTTTGTTTTTGTTTTTTAATGACATTGACCTTTTTGAAGACTCCAGGCCAATTGTCTATAGAATGTGCCACATTCTGGATTTACATGTTTGTTCTTCACAGTTAGATACAAGTTAAATATTTTTTGGTAAAAATATCCCATCAATGTATGTCATATCATGAATGCCTCTTATCAGAAGTCACACAGAATATCAGATTGTTCCAATATTGGTGATGCTAAGCTTGATCATTTAAAGTAGTAGCCACCAGGCTGGGCACGGTGGCTCATGCCTGTAATCCCAGCACTTTGGGAGGCCGAGGCGGGCAGGTCACCCGAGGTTGGGAGTTCGAGACCAGCCTGACCAACATAGAGAAACCCTGTCTCTACTAAAAATACAAAATTAGCCAGACGTGGCGGCGCATGCCTGTAATTCCAGCTACTCGGGAGGCTGAGGCAGGAGAATCACTTGAACCCGGGAGGCAGAGGTTGTGGTGAGCCGAGATTGTGTCATTGCACCCCAGCCTGGGCAACAAGAGTAAAACTCCCATCTCAAAAATAAAATAAAATAAAGTAGTAGGCACCAAATCTGTCATTTAAAAGGTATCTTTCCTCCTTTGTAATTAACAAATAATTTGTGGGATAATATACTGATGCTCTGTAAATATCCTAAAATGCCAAAACCTTTTACTCAGTGGTTGGTATCTGTTGATGATCCTTGCCTGAATCAATTGTTACATTAGAGGCCAAAATATTGTGATTTTCTAATTTTATCACTCTTCTACATTTATTAGATGGCTTTCTTTTTTTTTAGTATGCTCTTTTAGTATCATAATGGACTCAAGGACTTAAAAAAATTCAATGGATTATAATCCATTACTGTTGTTTCCTTCTTGATATTGAAATTACCCCAAATTTGGCCATTGGGAACCTCTTCAAACAGGATCCTGTGTCCTTTTGACATGACCCCATTGATCTTTAGGCCCTTCCTTTCTTTCTGGCACACCAGGACTCCCCAGGCTCATTTGTGTTTGCCCTGTAACAGAGCCAGAAGCACATATTTCTTCAGAGAGCCCTGATTTCTTTAGTGGGAAATGTTGCTTAGAAATCAAGATCTGGGTGCTAGCTGTGCTCACTGCTGCAGGAATATTATTGCTTTTCGATTTTTTTCAGTTGACGTGGTTGGGGGGAAATGTGTATATATGTATATACAATACATATTATATATAATATGTATTGTATGTCATATGTACATGTATGTATATAAATTAAATTATATATAGTGAATTCCCTAACCCCTATTATTTCAGAATATAACCTTATTTGGAGATAGGGTATTTACAGAGGTAATCAAGTAAAATGTGGTCATTAAGGTGGGTCCTAATCTAATAATTCTGGTGAAAGGGGAGATTCAGGTGCAGAGGTACATACAGAGGGAAGATGATCTGAAGACTCAGGGAAAAGATGGCCATCTGCCAGCCCAGGAGAGGGGCCTGGAACAGATCCTTCTCTCACAGCCCTCAGAAAGGACCGCCCTGCTGACACTCTGATTTTGGATAGAACCATGAGACAATACATTCCTGTTGTTTAAGCCACCAATTTTGTGGTAACTTGGTATGGCAACCCTAGCAAACTACTATGCTGCTATATACATTACCATAAGTTTATCAGCATCATCTTGAAACAGCACATATTTATTATCTTACATTTCTGTAGCAGTCTCACAAGGGTCACACCAGACTAAAATCTAAGTGTTGACAGGGCTGTAGTGCTTTCTGGAGTATCTAGGAGAGAATCTATTTACTTGCTCATTGAGGTTGTTGGAAGAATTTAGTTCCTTGTGGTTGTAGGACTAAGGTCCCCATTTTCTTGCTGTCCACTGAGGGCCTTTCCCAGCATCTAGAGGCCATCTGAGTGCCTTGGTACATGGCCCCTTTCCTTCATCTTCAAAACCAGCAAAGGCAGTTTGAGTCCTTCTGGTGCTTTGAATCTCTCCTGCTCCTGCCTCTTCTTCGCTGTTGCATCTTTCTTGCCTATGATTCTTCCCTCATCTTTCACTGTTAAGGGCCCATGTAAACTCACTGGGCCCACTGAGATAATCTGCAATAATTTTCCTATCTTAAGGTAACCTGAATTCCACCTGCTAAGTTGCTTTTGCCACGTAACATAACATAATCATAGGTTCCAGGTGTGGACACCTTGGAAAAAGGAGCATTATTCTGCCTACCATGTAGTGACACTGATATACTTACTTATTTGTTTTGTCCAACAGCATGCACAGAATAGTTTCAGAATGCCAGTAACATTATAATTATTTAAAAGTAACCAACTAAGTAAAGTTAAAATTTCTTTGGAATTACTTTTATCTCTAGAACATTTCCCACTGAGGTAGTGAACACAGAGTACTATATTCAGAATTTTACTTGAATTCTTTTCTCTGTGTGGTGAGGTTATCAATGTGATATACAGCTAGATTCATTTGTTTGCTTTTGTATTTGATTTAAGGTTTGTTTATTTTTCATCTTTTCATATTTAATTTTATTTTGTGAATAAGTAAGACATTTCTATAACTCAGAAGTCAAAACTATATGAAAAGGTATTCCTAGAGAAGTCTCATTTCCATCCCGACCCCAGCTCCTGGTTTCTAAGGACTGGTCTGCTTCTCTGATTGCTTGTTCTGATGGTCACTGCTGTTACAGAAGTCAAATTACTAACATATCAATAGAAATATGTGTTAGTACAAGTCTATCATCATTTTCATCAACTATAGTCATTTATTGCAGATTAAATACTGAGAACAAAAAAGAAGAGAGCAGTCCCTGCCCTAGGGTGTGACAGTCTTCTTGGAGAAATAGACCTGAAGTGCAACAGAGAACCACAGGCAAAGTAGGCTCCACGTATGATGAAAGGTTTACCCCCAATGTGTGGTGACCCTGGATGATTCCTCATGATTAGGCCTCCTAAGAAAAACTTCGTGGAGGATGTAAGACTTGATTCAGAGCATTTTAAGAAAGAAAAATGACATAAACAAAGGCAAAAAGGTGTATACCAGAGTGTTTGGGAAACAATTAGCCAACCAGTCTGGAGGATGGAGCAAGCACTGGAGTTGGACCACAGGGAACTGGCTCCAGGTTCAAATGCTGCCCATGTGACCGTGGGCAAGGATTTGCTCCACCGACACCCTTCTCAGTTTCCCTACCTACAAAATGGAGATAAGACTAAGTATTAAGCCATTCTCAGAACAGGTTGATTAAAAAGCAGAGTTTCTTTATAGAAATACTGGGGTAGGGTGGGGGAAGTTGGAGAATCAGGTTTGAAGCACATCACATAGAACCTTCATTATGAGGCTAAGAAGTTTGGATTCTGTCTTATAGGCAATAGAAGCCAAAGGGAGGATTTTTTTTAAACATATGTAATAAATGAATTTTTTTATTACTTATGAGTAAATAAAACATTTACTCATGAGTACATAAAGTATACTTTGACTTTGGTTAGTAATATTATAGGTATATATTTCTGTAACTTGTTCTTTTTTTACTAAGTTATATATTCCAATGATCTCTCCTTGCTAATACTTTTGTTCTTTAACCAATGCATTGTATTTCACAGGATACATCAGTCTAATCTATTTAGCAACTTTTTATCATTGGCTCTTGTTCACACAAAGGTACTTCCTTAGAAAGGGTATTTCTATATCAGTGGCTCCCAAATTCTAAACACGCATTAGAATCACTTGGAGGTCTTGTTATAACACAAATTCCTGGATCTCACCCCCAGAAATTCTGATTTAATAGGTAAGTGGTGGGGCCTGAGATCATGCATTTTAACAAGTTCTCAGATGATATTGATGCTGTTGGTCTATATCAAACTTTGAGAACCATCTTTCTATATGATGGACTCTTAGAATTATTGGGCCAAAGCTTATGTGAATTTGTCACTTTGATGAAACCTGCACATCACCTTCCACAAAGATTGTTATCAGTTTGCATTCCCACTGACAATTGTATGAGCATGCCATTTCCCTGCCAACCCTGGTTATGATAACTTTTACTTTTTTGCCAATGAAATTGTAAAAACTGGAAGCTCATTATTGTTTTATTTTTCACTACTCTGAGTGTATTTTTCTTATTTTTATAGTAGCTTTTTTATCTTTTTACAAGAATAATCCTTACTACAAAAAATTTTAAGGACTACAGATAAGCAAAAGATAAAATCATTCATAATTCTGCCACACGCAGATCACCACTTTTTTTTTTTTTTTTTTTTGAGGCAGAGTCTTGCTCTGTTGCCCAGGCTGGAGTGCTGTGGCATGATCTCAGCTCACTGCAACCTCTGCCTCCTGGGTTCAAGTGATTCTCCTGCCTCAGCCTCCCAAGTAGCTGGGTTTACTGCACACCACCATGCCCAGCTAATTTTGTATTTTTAATAGAGACGGGGTTTCGCCATGTTGGCCAGGCTGGCCTCGAACTCCTGACCTCAGGTGATCAGCCCGCCTCAGCCTCCCAAAGTGACGGGATTACAAGCGTGAGCCACTGCACCTGGCCCAGATCACCAATATTAACATTCTATGTATTTTGTAATCTGTTTTCTTTTCACTTAATAACATACTCTGAACATTTTTTCCATATCATGTCATTAACTGTTATTTTCCATTATCAGCCTAAATGGCTGCATGGTGTCAATGGAGGGTTTCTGAATGAGAGCTGACATTGCAAAATGATGTTTTGAGAAGATTATCTAGCAGCAGGATTTAGAATGGGAAAAGACAAGGAAAGTTTGGAGGCAAGAAATTAGGAGACTATTAAAATAATGTAGGAGAGTGGTGACAGTGGGACTGGATAGACAGGAGTGAACACAGGAAACATTAGAAAGAAAGAATCAACAGTCTTGTTAGCCTCTATGATGGAAGCGAGGAAAGATGCAAGGCTAATCCAGCAGGAGGTCCCCAGTTACTAGGATCATAAATTTAAGAGATGCCTTACAAGGAACAATCACTCTTCCAATCTCTGATCCATGAATTTATCTTGGTATAGGGGATGAAGGGATAAAGTTAACTTTATAGTGGAAGAATTTCATTTAGGAAAGCAGCAGACTTTAAATCACAGAGCCCAGGTTTGATGCCCCCCATTTTAGTGTAAGTATTAATTATTTGAGAGATCCTACGGTGAGGTGGAAAGACTTCAGTATTAGACAGCATTGTGCCTTACTGCTTTGCCACTTCTTGTGACCTTCAGCAAACCTCCTAACCACCTTGAACTTTTTTGTCTGTAGAGAGTAATAATGTTTACTTCATAGGGTGGTTGCAAGAATTAAGTGAGATTATATATATATATCTATCTCATATATACATATATCATATATATCATATATGTATGAGAAACTTGCGAATCATCCCGTAACTCAGCTCTCCCTAGAGAATCACTCATGGCCGACCTAGACATGTTTGCTTGTCAGTGAAATGAAGCTCATTGATGAAATAAAGTGAGTTCTGAAACAGGTCCTTCCATGGGTAGCTGTCTGCACTGGCATGCAGAGTGGGCTGTGGCTGACTTCCTGAGCTTAGGCTTTGAGGGGTGCTGTGGATGGCTGGAGAGATTCTCTGTGTGCTGGACAACTCCAGAGGTGCCTTGAGAACGTTGCAGAGATGTACACAGCAGAAGCAATGGAGACTTGAAATCAGTGTTGACAAGCTTGGTCCTTACCCTTTCTTATTTCCTTCATCTTCTACCAGCTCACAAGGAACTCAGGCTCAATGTTACCTCTAGTTTCAGTATAGATACTGAAAAAAATAAGTATGCAGGCAAACAATTCAATCCTTCTCAGTTAAGTCTTTTCTTCCTTAAAGTGGAGATATTACCATGGCAAATCTGAAGGGCAAATGAGATGTTGCATTTGAACGTGCCTAGCATAATATCCAAGAGGAGTGGACACATTGTTGAGTTTCCTTTGGGAACCTCTGTAAAGCTATCTCCCTATAGGGCAGCAGTAAGTCAACCATGCCAGAAAATGTTTCAGCTGCCTGGTAACCATCTAGTCTATGATTAACGGAGACATCAAAATAGCCATCATCTCCTACTCCTAACCAACAAGTCTCTGACACAGAAAGAAAGACAAAATATCCATTTTCCTAACTTAACTCCCATCCCTCAAGGTTGGAAAAAGGGAAAACTTAGATCCAGTCACCAATACCCAATTTGCCTTATATGACAATACATGACATGTCATGTATTTCTACAATACCTTATTTGCCTTAGATGACTTGTCATTTATTTCTACAATACCTTATTTGCCTTAGATGACATGTCATTTATTTCTACATGGCAGCCAACAAATGATTGCCAGGAACACTGGTGACTGTGGATCTGGGCAGAGGGGTCTGCCAGAGAAAGTAAACCATTTATTTACTCAGTATCTACTGAGCTGTTGTAAGTCCTTGTGTAACCTTATCTTCACAACAAGCCTATGAAATGGGTGGTATTATAATCATTTTGCAGATGAGGAAACCAAGACTCAGAAAGATTAAGTCGAGGTACAGCATACTAGGTGGCAGCTACCTCCCCCTTTTCCATCTTGCTTTTAATTTAGTTTTTCAACACATATTCCTATCATCTTGATTGCTTTATAGACCAACAATCCTTTAATCTACCCTAAAGAAGAAGCAGTATAGACCTGATTTCCATCTTTGAATCAGTCTGTCCAATTTCATCCAATTTCAAGCTAAGTGCAAGTTAAATTCAGTGTGTGTAGCATTAAATTCTACTGTCTACTAAAATATTAAACCTTGTTATTCTAGTAAGTACTGTCAAGCCCACATTGATGAGATAGTGAATAGTAAAGGTGGCATTATTGTAATTTTTAAGTTAAAGCCTGATTTGTTTGCTCATTTTTTAAAAAGCAAATTCTCATATAGTATGAACCAGTCCCTGAATTTTTTTAAACAATTATGTTTTTAAAAGTGAAATGAATGGAAATATGCTGTTTCCTGCTGTTTTCCCCACTCCTTTGCTCTCTTTCCCACCCCGTGTGCATATATTATACATTTCTTTCTTCCAGAGATGCTCACAGCTGTTTCTCTTCCTCTCTCTTGAGCTCTCTAGGCAGCTTTCATTCTTTCACTTAAGCATGCTTGGAGCCTCATGGAAACTCCCCCACAGTATGATTGCTTCCACACTTTCATATGCTTTAAGGAATATCAGCTGAGAACTGCTTATTGATCCCAAGTGGGGAATCCTCTCTTACAAAGCCGTTGGCCATTGATGAAGAAATGTTAAGGCATCCTTGTCCTTGTCCTTGTCCACTTCCAGTTCCTCATGCTGATGCCTCCCAAACTAGGCCCACCCTCAGCTCAGAGCCTCCTTTTCTAAATATTTCTGGTGGAGCTGCTTTTTCTATTTCTCAGACTCTGATCAATGGAACCACTTGGTCATTCTAGTTTTAAATTAGATTGCTATCCAGTTTAGGGATTTTATTTTGAAATCCAAATATGGAAAAGAGTTAGTTGCTCCCCAAGTGCTTAAAGTCTTAAGAGACAAGGTTTCCATCTGCTCAGGTAGCATCACCGGCTCATGTCTTCTTCCACCCACCAAGCAGCAGGAACACTGAGTGGCTGGGCCAGGGTATAGCAGGCAGACGTCGCAGATCATGCTATTCTTGTTTGGCAGAGCCAGCTTTACTGTAGCCTTGTCAGTGCTCAGTACTGCAGGAAGAAATGAAGGAAGGAGCCAGCATGTTTGGAGTGCTTGTTTTGCTCTAGGAAGTATCCACAACCTCTTGAGAAGATTCAATCCCACAATCCTAGAAAGTGAAGACTTTCCAAGGACCTCTCTCCTACCATCACTGTTTTACCAATGAGAAAATTGAGCCCCAAAAGTTGAATGGTTTGCCCAAGCCCACACAGCACATAAGTAAAAGTGACAGATGGCAGCCTAGCCCTCTGACTCCTAATTCAGTGCATTTTGCATTTCTCCACAGCTGGCAGGTGTTCCACATACTAAAAGCTCACATTGGAAATGAATTTGGTGCATTGGAAAGTGGCACTGTGATGCCTGCAATCGTTTAATTGTTACATATCAACATGACTAATATTCCAAAGGTGATGCTTCTTTTCTGCCCAGGCACTGACCTTGGAAGCTGCTGCCTGGGCGGCAGCCATGATATCCACACTCTCTGCATCCCCTTAGGTCTGGGTAACTGAGTCAGAAAAAAATATAGCACACTTTCTGAATGGTATGCCTTTTGTCACAAAAAATTAATTTTTATTAAGCAACTAAAACTAAAGACTTACACTCTAGCAGGATGACATTTAAAAGATAGTAAGTAAAATTTGGAGCAAGGGTTTTAAAAAAAATAGAGTTCAAAATAGAAATGAGTTAACCTCTTAGCCTTTCCCTCATTTCTGTATACTGCTTTAAAAAAGAATGCTTAGCTATTCTTTTCATCTACATTATTAGGTAATAAAGTATTCCTCTCCCTGACATTAAAAGTTTGCCTGTAGGATTTTTCATCTAAGGAAATATGTAATCTCTCACTAATTTTTGGCTAATCCCAAGAAGAATTCTTCTTTACTTCTCCATGTATGCCCTTTCTAATTTATGTTAAAAAATCCTTTTGATGTTATTATTAAAACCAAAATGAAAAATTCTAGCTTATAACAAAATTAATTCTTAAAATACATTGAGATGAAGCATTATGTGGTTTTTAGATACATTAGATGATGTCTTCACAGGTATTCAGACCATCTACAATCCTCTAAAATTCCCATGAATATTTTTCAAATACCTCTATTCCAGTATCTTGTCACCTTTCTTGGATGAGTGATTTCTAAAACATTGTTTATTCATCGTTGCAGAACAATGGCCCCAGAACCACAGTGGCAAGAATGACTTACAGACCAAACAATTACATTGAAATCACTAAGGTATAGCAGTTGACTCCTTAGGATGAAGACAGACACCTAGAGAAGTAAAAAAGATATACTCATCAGCCAATCATTCAGCAAGTATTTACTGTGAGGTGTTTCAGTCAAGGCTCTTTGATTGTAGGGCCAGCTAGTTTAAATAAAGATAGAGACTGTTGTAAAGGTATCAAGATCTCATGTGAATTGGAGCGGGGAACTGGAAGGCCACAGGGAGCTGAGACAAACCTTCACACATCACTCCATCTCGGAATACAGGATTCCCCATCTTTGATCCTGTTTGTGCAGCTCCATCCTCCTCTCAGGACATTGTGGTTTTCTCTTGACTTATGGATTCTGCTTCCCCATTCTCCAGCCTGAATCTGAATTTGGCTTGCCATACTGTGGGTTCAGGTCCTAATTCTGCTAGTCCTTTCAGCCTGATTACCACAGATGATTAGCTCCAATGCTGAGTGTCCCAAATTTCAGAAAGGGGAATGTGATTAGCCCAGGTTGGATCAGGAGCAGTCCAGTCTGCTGTGGCCATGGAGTCGTGTTTTATAAGCATGGCCATCTCAGGACGCCTTTCATCAAGGGCAAGAATTTGGGGCAGTTACCAGGGAAAAAAGATGTGGGCTGCTTACTGTGAGCACCAACTATGTGTTCTTTCTAGTGCAGTGTGGTGGAACAAAGCTCAGGTATTAGATAGAGTCCATGTAAACATGGCATTCAAATCTAAGTTTTACCACTTGCTAATTCTTCTGGACAAGTTAATTAACTTTCCATTTTAATTTCTTAATCTGTAGAATGGGAACAATAACAGCCTCAGAGTGTTATAGTGAAGATTAAATAAGATGATGTTTGCCAACTGTTTGGCACCGGAAAGTACTAAAAACAATGCTAGTTTTCTTTAGTTCTTGTATATGCTAGGCTATATGCTAAATTTAGAAGTAATACATCTAATAAGGGTTTTCATGACACGTGGAAAGCACGTATCACATTAACATTTGGACTGCTGAAAAACCAAGAATTCTCTATAACAAAGAGGAAGGATATTAAACAAATAGATACTACCCCAACATCTCTCTTTTTGGCACCAAATAACAATATGAGTGACTAACATTTGCTTAATGCTGTACAGCATAAAAGGTGTTTTCTTTCTTTTCTTTTCTTTTTTTTTTGAGGTGGAGCCTCACTCTGTTACCCAGGCTGGAGTGCAGTAGTGTGATCTTGGCTCACTGCAACCTCCACCTCCTGAGTTCAAGCCATTCTCCTGCGTCAGCCTCCCGAGTAGCTGGGATTACAGGCATGCACCATAACACCCAGCTGTTTTTTGTATTTTTACTAGAGCCAATGTTTCTCCATGTTGGCCAGGCTGGTCTCGAACTCCTGACCTCAAGTAATCCACCTGCCTCGGCCTCCCAAAGTTCTGGGATTACAGGTGTGAGCAACTGGGCCCGGCCATAGGTGATTTTCACTTTCTTTTTGTTCTCTTTTCATTCTCCCTACAACCCTGTGAGACTGATACACTTACTAGCCTCTTTTTACTGTTAAAAAATTGGTCAAGATCACATGGTTTGTAATTAACTGATGCGGGATTCAAATCTAGGCCCTCTGACTCTAAAATTCATTACGCTTTTCTGCACACCCACCAGAAAATAATTAAATTCTGTATTGGTTATTTCAGGAGCAGATTGCCTATTTTATTATGTGATTCTTCACCCCCTGCCCTTGCTGCATTGAGATAAAATCCAGACACTTTACCATGGCTGCTAAAAGCTCTTCAACAGTTTATTCCAACCTCCCATTTCAACCTTGTGTAGCCCATTGTCCAAACGCTTCATAGTGTAACATGCCTCTTTGGGATTTTTCAACTTTTCCTATCCTAAGAGTGTCCTTCTCCATCCTCTGGTTCAGTGAAGTCCTGTGAAGCTTTCGTCCCATTCAATCGTTGCCTCCTCTGGAAACACTTCCTCTTTGTCCTTCAAGGCAGCTTTATTCCTTCCCTCCTCTGGGCTTCCTTGGCAGTGTGTTCACACCACTTCAAATTAGAGCAAATATGCAGGCTGTGTCAGGAATGAAAGCCTTTTCGCCTTTGTCTCCTAGTGTCTACTACAGCACTAGATATGGTGCCTGTAGCAACAGAACAGGTTGCAGACCTGTGAGATAAAGGCCTGAGCCCCTGAAAAAACATTGGTCTGTGTCAGAGTGGCTTCAGAACTGGGTAGGGCTGGGCTCTGCACGTATCTGGGAAGGAGGTACTCTTACTTTAAAGGACATATGTTAAAGGGGCAGCACCTTCCATTAAAACAGAGGAGGGTTTAAAATGAGTACTTAGGAAATAATTTTTTTTTTAAATAAAAAGCCAGAGCTATCCCTGTCTCCATCAGACAGCCTAATTTGTATAACTGGGCTTCTGCCTCCATTTTTTATTAAATATTTCTCTTTTGAGCTGGCACTCTGCTCTGAGCCCCAGCTGACTTAGCCAGCCTGGCTGCTCCTGTCAGTCCCCCTCTCATGGCAAGGAACGAGGGCACTGTCAGTAAAAAGGCTTCAGCTTTCAGTGCTTTTATGGGACAAGCTTAAGTTTGCTGAAGATTCAGGTCAAGACCAAGGTTAACTCACTGCAGGGAAATGCTTACAATGGCATAGTAACTCAGAACAATAAACTTGTGCCAGGACTAAAAATGTGTTACTATCCTATACTGATTGCTGCCATGTTGATTCATTATGTCAGAGCTTCTTGGATAGCAGTGGCTTCAATCAAGTCTGAATTCACCGGCATCTTTGGGCCCCGGACATTGGGCAATACGGTAACTTTCCAGAAGATGAACTGAGCCAGAAATAATTCCACCCCCTACTATATACCTCCAGCTCCTACAACAGAATCTCTGCTTAGCTTGGTACCATTTCCTCTGAGACTCGACTTTCTAGAGCTTTCCTCATCGAAAGCAGGGCTCAAAAATAAATTTAAGGATGGGAGAACATACCAACTTTCATACAACACCAAGTTTAGAGTCTTTTAACTTGAGTTCCGGGAGCTGCCACTGGCTCATCAAAACAGGGTACCGGCCAGGTACAGTGGCTTACACCTGTAATCCTAGCACTTTGGGAGGCCGAGGCAGGCTGACTGCCTGAGCTCAGGAGTTCGAGACCAGCTTGGGTAACGCCGTGAAAAACCGTCTCTACTAAAATACCAAAGAAATTAGCCAGGCGTGGCGGCATGCGCCTGTAGTCCCAGCTACTCAGGGGGCTGAGGCGGGAGAATTGCTTGAACCCAGAATGCAGAGGTCGCAGTGAGCCGAGATCGCGCCACTGCACTCCAGCCTGGGCAACAGAGTGAGACTCTGTCTCTAAAAAAGAAAAAAAAAGGTACTCTGATATCATTCTCCAGCCCTTATTCCCCCGACATTGTCATTTCCAACTACGAAGGTTTTTATTTGGTGTGCCTATTTGCCAAAACTCATATAAATCAGAGTGTATACTTTGTAAGGCTTAGGTTTAATTTTTAAAAATTTAGAAGCTGCATGAGTGAGGTTTGAGATTAAGTGTGCAAAGATGTTTAGGAGCAGCTGCCCCACCCACCTTCAGATTGAGATGGATGGGGAGCAATAGTGGGTTTGAGCTGCCTATAATTGAAAAAGTGTGTGCCCCAAATCTCATACTTATTCTGCATTTCTACAAGAGCCATAACTCTAAGGCTTTCCATTAGAACCCCAATAAAGGGGATGTCTTCAACTTTAAGCATCCCAGATACTCTTGGTGTTTGTTATACTTATAGAACAAGGTTAGACATGTCAAGGATAAAAGGGGAGAGAAGGAGGGCCCATTCCCTGGACAAGCAGCATAAACTAGAAGAGTAGCATTTGTGAATGAATGAATAATAGGAGGGCAAATATGAACCACACAAATCCAATCGCTAACCCTGGGAGGCACACCCATATTGACCACAGCAGTTCTCCCAGAAGGTGTCCAGGGCACAGTCAGAGCTGCCAGGTGCCAAGTCTGAGGTCTCCATTCACACTGTCTTCTATGTAAGTGAATGTGGTTCCTAAAGTTGTGCAACATGGTGGTTGTGAGCAGCGGAAGCCACAGGGGACACCAAAATGTGGGTCCCTAGGGCAGAATCCCAGATCTTCAGGCCGGCCCTCTGTAAGCCCTAAAATTGTGTCAGTGGCACCTTCAGAAGAAGCTGAGGAATGGCATTCATATGAACATTCAACTGCTGAGCACCTGCTCGGTGAAAAGTGTACTGTATGGTGTGAGGAATCAAACGTGTATGAGAGATGTTTAGTGAGTATCTGAAGGTGCATATGAGGATGGGCTCCCATCTCTTATCTGGCTGTGACTTTGCTGCTTGACTATAATTTTAATGTGCCAACAGCTCATATACTGTACACTCCTAACACCAATCCCTGTCCTTTCCCACCTCACCCTCCCCTGTTTCCTTAACTCTTTCCTTTTAAATGACATGCTACAGACCACAAAATATAAACAACTGTAGATTAGACTTTGGAGTTAGAATCTCTCCACAAATTTGATTTTGTTCTTTGCTCCTTTAGAATATTTAAATTTTGACATTTAAAAGCTCTACTAGTGCTTTGTGTGTGCGCATGTATTCACACTCATTACCTATACACAAATAATTCACAGATGACATTTCTAGTTAAGTACGAGCCCAGGGCTATAAAAAACAACTTTCAAGGGAAACCAGCTTTCAAGGTGAATCATAAATTATAGTATTTAAAAGTTGGCAAAAATCTGAATATGATATTTTATTTTCATTGCAGGTCTATGGAATTTGAATAAGGGCCATTCATAGTTGCTGAGTAGAAGAGTGCTATTTTAGAAAAAGAAAGGAGCTGATTTTCTTTGTTTATTTTTCTGGAAGAGTAAGGCAGGACCTAAAGAGACGATATCAATTAGCACAATATTCTGGTGACTCATTGGAGCTTGTGGAGTTGGTAACACAAAGAACTAAGGGGCAAGTTCACAGACACCTGACTCAGTGTGAGGCTTTCAAAAGGGTAGTTCACAGTTATCAGCACACAAACATTACCTGAGGAATTGCTCAAAGTACAGTAGCCCCGGTGGCCCTGAGATCCTATATAAGAGGTCTGAGGGTGATGTAGGTGGTCAGGAAACCATACTGAGAAACCTATGTTTGCAGTGAAAACCTGCTGACCGATAGTGAACATACATGAAGCGGACATGGGGGCTCATTTGGCTATTCTCACAACTTATTGGTAGGTTTACATTTTTATAGAATAAAAAGTAAAACAAAACAAAAACCAAAACATCCTCTCACTATGCACCTAATTCCCCAAACACCTCCATGTCTCAGAAACATAAGCAAATAAGACAAAGGACCGGGGGCCTCAGCGAAGGGGATCTCCTCCAGCCTCCAATTCGTGGCTCTGCCTGGGGTTATGTGTGCATTGAAATTTTCCACACTTGTTGAAAAGCCACATAGGGGATGCTTACTCAGAAGTCTGACCACTTCCAATCAGACCAGGTGTCAGACTGACAGCATGTGAGAAGGGGTGCTTTTGTCCCTGAGCCTTCCAGAGGACAGAAGGAGGCCCACTCAAATCCACAGGTGTAGATGTGCTTTGCACGTTGCCAGGTTGCATTTTCTCCACTAGCTGTGGTGAGGAGCCACAGCTAGAAATTCTTTTCCTAGGGGCTAAGAACCCAAACATATGTGACTGATTAGAGCTGATGTCTCATTTCTAATTCTATTGATTCCTTGAAAAGAGCAAGTCTCAAAGACTGTGGCTATTCTTAGCAATTTTGCCTCCTCCCCCACCATGATCGCTGCCTCTGAGAGAGGAAGGAGGAGGCCCGCAGGGACTCACTCTTGTCAGCTGGGCAGCAGGGATTCCTGCCTTCCTGGTATCAGTGGGGCTCAGTCTCCAAAGCACATGCCTGCAGATCAACACACACTCACACACACCCACATGTGGGTCTCTCTCACCTCCCTTCTTTCCCATTTCTAAGCCACAGCTGTGGTAAGGCCACTCTTAATAACAACAGGGCTTCTCACTGGGTTTAAGAACTCTGTGACTTCCACAGTCAAAGTGTGTTCCTTCTCCTTAGTCTGTCGTCTTCCTGTGATTTGGTAGGAAAGCCTCTTCATGGCCTTTCTTTTAGTTACCACAGGAAATAAAGGAAAAGCTTAAGCCTCATTCATCCAGATCAAGACTTTGGTCCTAAGAGAGGCTTTTCCAATGCAGACATAGCAACATCCCAGGAGTCCTGATCCTTGTGCCCCTCAGAGCAGAACTGAGGAAAAAACACTGTTGCCCGGCCATACCCAGTCAGCCTTTAGGGGAAGGTGGGGCTCCACGCAATGCCCTGCGAGGTTTTCCCTGTGGTGGCCCCATTCAGTGTTTGTTAAGTTGAACTGAATTAATCACATGGAAGTCCCCTGAGTGTTCTCCAAGTGTATCCAGCCCTAGTCTGTGCAAAGCCCTGTGGTTTCCCAGACAGTGTCTCAGACCTCATGCCTCAGACCTGGTACAAATGACCTGATGTCTAGTTCTAGCACTGCTACCAGGTAGATGCATGATCTCAGACAATCTCCTGACTTCTCTGAATCTTATTTTCTGCATTAGTGAAAACAAAAGCCTTGAACTGGAATTACTAAATGTTTTCTATGACCGCCTCCAGCTCTACAGAGGTAAGGATAACGATCTGATGGAATACCGGTTTTCCCTTTAAGTGAAAATGTCCACTAAGTTGCCAAAGCCCATCATATATGTTTGCACTCTGTTCTCCATTCTTCTGGCTTGGAAAACAGAACAAGTTGAATGCAATCTCATAGTTCACATTCATACAACAAAAATCAAAGCTTCCCAAGCCAGCACTGGGGATAAAATGATGATAAATGGAAACTAACTTTATCATCCAAAAATGCCCCCTCAAACGCTGAAGAAATATTGATAATAATACTCCATCTGCTGAATAAATCAGAACAAGACTGGAGATTCTACTCAACATTGTTTGAGCATGGAGGACAGCCAGTAAAGTACTAGGGTTTCATGAAAACTGATCTCAGGAGAACTGACATAAATAAAGCATGTCAAAGTTTAAAAGAGGAGAATGAAAATAAAAGGAATAGCAGAAGTGTTTTCTGTTTGTTATTATCTTCATTGTAAGAACTCTTGTAGAAATAGCACAGGTCTAGAAATCAAGATGCTTGGCTTCTAGGTCAGTCTCTACCACTGATTCCCACCTAAACTCAGTAAAGTCACTTCACCTCTCTATACAGGCTACCTTATTTGGTGACTGTGAGGCTTAAACAAAAAACATAAAAAGACACTTAGGGAGAAGAAAAGGTGTCTAAAGCTTAAGATGCTATGTGAATAAACTGCATGGTTAATTATAGATAATAATAGTAAAATAATCCTTCCAAGTACTGTAGTAAAAGAGCCCAGGGAGGCAGCTGCAGTTTGAGGGCACCCCCTGCAGGTTGACCTAGAAGTTGGCATCAGAATAGAGACCCGGATTTCCAGCCTTTTGGACCTTCAAGGGAACTGCGCTCAGCCTGGGCTAAGCAATGAGACTTGCAGTGGAGATGGGTGGGGGGAAATTGAGAAAGCCCAGTTTAGTCTTTACTGCCAAGATTCCTGCAGCAATATTATTAAGGTCCACTAGGGTCTCCTCCCCACCCCACCACCAGTCTCAGATCTTTTGGATAAGGTCCAGATTCCTAAAAGAGAGGCTGTTAGTTCTCTTGGCCTTTCACTACCAATGTAAATACTCTGGGGAAGTGCCCAGGTTCTCCCAAAGTCATCTTAAAGTGCAGGGTAGCCCTAGGTGACTGACGGTCAGCTGGTATTTGGAGTTGGAGTCCTCAGGTTTGAAAAGTTCCACCAGGTTGCAGAACTCTTGGCTTATATATAGATTCTTGGTTCCTCTAGTGAGTATCTGTGAGTTCCCCATCCCCAAACAATGTAATAAATGGAGCCTACAGTCTAAATGACTAATCAGCCATATAAATGGGCCCAAATAACTTCTGAGGCTAAAGTAATAACAGCTGTAAATATTACAGTACATAGTTGGAAACTTAAACTGGGATAAGTCCAGTAATTTATAGGTATCTCTGCATGTTTACATAAATGTGGTGAACTGCCAGGATTGCTAGCATATACCATATGGAAAATAAAAATCATTCTTTGTAGGGGGAAGGGATGCTCTCTTAGATATTCTATCTGGGAAAGAACATGAAAATACATAGAACATGAAAATAGAAAGTAGGGCATGCAATCTGAGCTACATATAATAATCTTTGGGAGTTCAATACCACAAAAAAATTCTTTTTAAAAATTGTGATTTCTGGCTTTTTCCTCCTCTTTCCCAGATCCTTAGCTTCCAATGCTGATAAAATATCTGAATTGCTGCTGCAGAAGCATACCTCTATATTCTCAGGCTTCTGAAATTGTGAGTGTGGAAAAAGGAAGTGTCAAAAATTGTGTTTGACTTTCTAATATCCAAGGTAAAGAAATCCCCAAAGATAAAGAAAAGGGGATTAAGCTATTACTCTGCTTGTCAATCATGACATAGTCGATTTGCACAGGTTTTTAGAGAAAATTTTTGGAGAAGAACTTTGGATTATTTGAACAAATGAGGTATTTCAAAGAATCATAGAATTTTAGCAGTAGAGGGAAATCTAAGAATTATTTTATTTTACAGATGCAGAACTATTTTCCAAAGAGGTAAAGTGGCTTGTTTAAAATGTACTAGTATCAGAGCCATGTCTTTCATTTGAAAATGGGAGAGAAAAAATTAAGTGGAAGAGGAAGAGGCAAAGGAGGGAAGATACTGATTTAGTAGAAAAAGGTACACACAGAAACAGAGATAGATACATACAGAAGGAGAATAAAGAGAGAATAAAGAGACAGGAGAAAGAGAAGAAGGCAGTCTTGTAAGAGGGCAGAAGATAGAGTGGTTGATGCACAAATATGAGAAAATGCCATCGTATATATTAATAGTAGCCCATGCTTCCTTTTCTTGACATTCTCTACATAATGAACCTACTCTCCAACTTACTAAATGGGACATCTTATAAGAATCCAGATTTCTGGGCATTCCTGAGCATTGGGAAGCTTGCCACCAGCTTAAATAAATTGCTCCTAGTCTAATTTGGACAGTGCAACTTAATATAAATGGCTGGATGAGACCTGAGCAATATCTGCTCATTTTCTGTTCTTTGTTTTTGTTTTTTGTTTTTTCCCTCAAGCACACTTAAACCATTCCAGAGAGATAAAATTCTTTAGTGATTTTATTTCCAGAAGGAAGTTGAATGCCTTGAAGCATCTGGCCTGATGTCCTCATGTTGTCATAGCTCATAGCTCATCTTTCTTTGTGCCCTGGGCAGCTGATCTGAATATAGAGTATACACGAACTTTGGAGGAAGCTGGTAGGATGGAGTTGGGGCCTCACTGTTTTAATCGAGATGAATTCAAAACCTTTGCTTATCGAGTAGAAAACTTAAACCAGCAGTGAAGAAACAATTGACACTGACAGAAAAGGAAGTGGCAATCAAAAAGGTGCAGGGAGCATAATAAGATTATATTTAACATGGTTATACTCTCCTAGCAGATGACGATGGATTAAATTTACTTGTTGCCTCCATAAATAATTTTAGCATGTGGAATAAGATAGCCTCCTAGAATGTATGAGATAAGAAGTTCAGGAAAATATGTAATAGCTCAAGACAAAACCACGGTTTCCACCTGTATGTCATGGTGATGATGTTTCTCCCTCCTTGAGCTGGGGACTCCCTGTCCAAGCTTCTCCAGCCAATGTTGGGAGCTGCATCACTGGCCACTCCCTTGTGACTCTGCACCTATGTGGGCATCACTGCGCACTGCATTTGCCTCTTCTCTTCTGGGGCTCTACTTCATATGGGGGCTATCCACATGGGATACATCAAATGATGACTTGGATCCGGAGTTATTTTTCTCCAAATCGGTCTGCTTCAGGGAAGCACCGAATCTGGCATATGGCAAGTGCTTGAAAATGTTTTTTTGAAAAAAATAAATCCATTATTCCTGAACCCCCTTCCCCACATCCAGCACAGTGCTAAGCACATAGATAATATTTGAGCTTCTTGATGGAGTTTTGCTTTTGTTGCCCAGGCTAGAGTGCAATGGTACAACCTCAGCTCACTGCAACCTCCGCCTTCCGGGTTCAAGTGATTCTCCTGCCTCAGCCTCCGGAGTAGCTGGGATTACAGGTGAGCACCGCCATGCCCGGCTAAATTTTTGTATTCTTAGTAGAGATGGTGTTTCCCCATGTTGGCCAGGTTGGTCTCGAACTCCTGACCTCAGGTGATCTGCCCGCCTTGGTCTCCCAAAGTGCTAGGATTACAGGTGTGAGCCACTGCTCCTGGCCAATATTTGAGCTTGTTTCATTGCCTATGGTGCCTTAAGGGACATGGTGAGGGCCTAAGGCTCAAGCCTAAGGAGTTTACTTTGTCCCTTGCTAAGAGGATACCCAAGAGCCACTCAGAAGCCTCCCAGTGACAAGGCAGGAAGAAGACTATGGGGAAAGGAAGGTGAACAAAGGAAGAGGTGCCTGGAGCCAGTCCTGGTCATGAATGCCTCAGCAACCTTTCCATAGAATACTTCTCTGAGTACTCTCCTTCATCCAAGACAAAGAAAAGTGATTTCTGGGATCACCACTTCCATCTCACCCTCTAATAGATATCAAAGGACAAAGTGTTCAACATAGAACCCAAGGAAAGAGACACTAACAGATTGGGTGTCTTTATCCTCACTCAGGGAGTTTTTTCAAATCACACAAACAAGAACAGCACCCACTTTCCCCACCCTCAGCCCCACCCTGAATCTGCTGCTGCTTCTGCTGTACAGTCTTCTTCACGTAAAGATGAGATCAAGGAGCAAGGATGCAGAACACTCTTGGGACTTTCCCCGATATTCCAAGGCAAAAGAAGAACCTAGAGAGAATTAGTAACAACAAACAAATCTCTCTAGGGAAATGTATAGTACTTTTTTAAAAAAGATTCTCCAAAGAAGATACGTAAGTGGTCAAGAAGCACATGAAAAAATGCTCAACATCATTAGTCACAAAAGACATGCAAATCAAAACCACAGTGTGATACCGCTCACACAGGTACAATGGCTAAGATTTAAAAAGACAGAAAGTAAGAGGTATTGGTGAGGACATGGAGAAACTGAAACCCTTCTGCAACGCTACTTGGAGTATAAAATTATGCAGCTTTTTTTGGAAAACAGCTTGCCAGTTTTTCCAAAAGTTAAACAGAATTGTATGACCTAGTAATGCTATATATCCAAGAAAATTAAAAACATGTATTCACACAAAACCATATACAGAAATGTTCATAGAAACATTATTCATAATAACCGAAAGGTAGAGATAACCCAAATTTTTATCAACTGATGAGTAAATGAATAAAAAGTTCTACATCCATATTATGGAATATTATTCAGCCATAAAAGGAACGAAGTATTGATACATTCTACAACATGGATGCACCTTGAAAACATTATGATAAGTAAAACAAGCCAGATATGAAGTCCACTTATTATGTAATTCCATTTAAGTGAAAATCCCAGAATAGGAAAACACATAGAGACAGAAAGTGGATTATTAGAGGGTGTCAGGGGTTGGGTGGAGTGAGGAGGGAGGATGCAGACTGCCTGCTAATGTGTCAGGGTTTCTTTCAGGAGCAATGAATATATTCTAGAATTACACAGTGATAATAGCTGCACAACCTTTTGAATATATTAAAAGCCACCGAATTGCACACTTCCTAACAGTAAATTGTAGGCATGTGAATTATACATCAATTAAAAAATTATAAGAAGAAGACTTTAGACTTGTTCAAAGGACAATTAGGACCCTGCTGGAAACTCTAATC
The DNA here is from genome assembly GCF_000001405.40 of Homo sapiens. Classification (NCBI taxonomy): domain Eukaryota; kingdom Metazoa; phylum Chordata; class Mammalia; order Primates; family Hominidae; genus Homo; species Homo sapiens. The sequence continues at coordinate 119,221,606 of NC_000001.11, read as the reverse complement.
TCAACTTGAAAAGTTTTGCTAGACTACTTGCCTCTTCATCTCACCCCCCAACTCATACTCCAAAGCAGCCCCAAACCACAGTCCCTAGCTATTACTAAAGGAAAAAAATAGGAGAGACACCAATCAGCATTGGAGGTGACTTGAGAAGCATTTGATGTTTGCAGACATTCCCTGTAGGGTGTGGGGGAGGAGGGTGAACATAGGAACGTGAATTAATGGAAGATATTGCTCCATCTCATGAAGGGATCCAATGCTGACTATGAAAGGAAACCAAAGTGTCTCCAGAGAGGCCTCTTTTTAATACCTTCCCATGTGTTGACTATAAGGGAGCATGGCCAACATAATCCTCTTTAGACACAAAGGTATTTGACTTGAAGAGGAGAGGTCACCCTGAGCAATTCTGAGGCTTGCTTGCTTGCTTACTGAGCTCCTCCTTGGGTCCCAACATTTTTGCTGGCCTAACTTCTCCCCTGACTCAGAGGCTGTGGGTTTCTTCTCCTTGAATCCTCTCTCTCCCTGTGATGTGTGTGAGAGAGGAAGGAATGTCAAAGTGCAACATGAGTAGTTGCCTATTTAACTACTTTAAAATCAGCTCTAAAAAACCAAATTGATTCTAACCAACAGAGTGCAAGATTTTCAGTTTTGCCACACTGATGATGGGAATCAATTTGCTACAGCTACTATGAAAACCAGCATGGAGTTTCCTCAAAAAATTAAAAGCTGAACTAAATCACATACCATATTATTCAGCAATCCCACTTCTGGGTATTTATCCAAAATAATCAAAATTAGGATCCTGAAGATATATTAGCACTCTCCTGTTCATTGAGACACTATTCACAATAGCCAAGATGTGGAAATAGCCTTGATATCCATCAAACTATGAATGGATAAAGAAAATGTGATATATACATACAATAGAATACTATTCAGCCTTTAAAAAGAAGGAAATTCTGCAATATGAAACAAGATATCAACCTTGAGGATATTTCATTAAGTGAAATAAGCCAGTCATAGAAAGAAAAATACTGCATGATTCTACTTATATGAGGTATCTAAAATAGTCAAATTGATAGAAGCAAAGGATAGAATGGTGGTAGCCAGGAACTGGGAGAAGTGAGAAATGGGGAGTTATCAATAAACAGGCATAAAGTTTCAGTTAAGCAGGATGATAAGCTCTAGATATCTGCATTACAATATAGAACATACAGGCAACAATAAGGTCTTGTACACTTAAAAGTTTCCTGAGGGTAGATCTCATGTTGTGTTCTTACCACAATAAAATAAAATTGCCCCCATCCCCACTTCCACCCCCTGCCAAAAAACCTAAATTGATTATCTTCAGAAGATGCTAGGGAACCAACTAGTTTTTGGAAAATTGGTAAATAAAAGTTTAAAATTTTTAAGGTTTCCTTTTGTTTTTACTATGCAAAGTGTGCCACCGAAGAAACAAAAACCACATGGGTACTTAAATTTCAACAAATTCGAGTTCTCTTTCCCATCCTGCAAGATGATGGGTGAAAAAGTTGAGAAGCTGCATACCAAAGAGAAGAAGCCCGAAGCCAAAAAGGCTAATGCTGGTGGCAAAGTGGAAAGGGGTAACCTCAGGGCTAAAAAGCCCAAGAAGGGGAAGCCCCGTTGCAGCTGAAATCCTGCCCTTGTCAGAAGAATTGGCACATATTCCTGATCTGCTATGTATTCTAGAAAGGCCACGTACAAGAGGAAGTACTCAGCCACTAAATCCAAGGTTGAAAAGAAAAAGAAGCTTCTTGCAACTGTTACAAAACCAGTTAGTGGTGACAAGAATGGTGGTATCTGGGTGATTAAACTTCACAAAATGCCTAGATATTATCCTACTGAAGACGTGCCTCAAAAGCTGTTGAGCCATGGCAAAATACCCTTCAGTTGGCACGTGAGAAAACTGCGAGCCAGCATCACCCCCAGGACCATTCTGATCATCCTCATTGGACACCACAGGAGCAAGAGGGTGGTTTTCCTGAAGCAGCTGGCTAGCGGCTTGGTTGGTACTTGTGACTGGACCTCTGGTCCTCAATCGAGTTCCTCTACAAAGAACACACCAGAAATTTGTCATTGCACCTCAACCAGAATTGATATCAGCAATGTAAAAACCCCAAAACATCTTACTGATGCTTACTTCACAAAGAAGAAGCTGCAGAAGCCCAGACATCAGGAAGGTGAGATCCTTGACACAGAAAAAGAGAAATACGAGATTACAGAGCAGTGCAAGATTGATCAGAAAGCTGCGGACTCACAAATTTTGCAAAAATCAAAGCTATTAAACATCAATGACTACTAACATCACAAAAAGAGAGACATTGAGACATACGTAACCTCTAAGGAAGAGCACCTAATAGTGAGGTCCTATGCTTTAAAACAAGAAGAAAGAAGAAAGAAGAAGGAGGAGGAGGACCTGGATTGGTCACTTAGACACAATCAGAAACACAGAGTAAACTTTACTGTGGGGAAGCAACCCGCTAATTCTAAACTGTAGGAACCTCTTTAGATTAAGTGTTGCATTTCTTTCAATGAATTAATTGTAAGGAAAAATAAGGAGATGAAGGGGAAGCCTATGGATTAAAAGGCACTTAAAAGATATTTATAAAAAACAGGTAAAGCTAAACAGGTGTTTAGGAATATACACTTAGGTGATAAGACTATTTTTAAAAAGTGAGAAGTGGTTGCAATAAAAGTTAGGACAATGGTTACTTTTGCTGGAAGAGGGGAGATGTTTGAGAGATGGGCATGTAGAGGGCTTCTGAGGTGGCTGGAAAAGTTCTCTTATCATGGGTAGTGTTTACAAGAGTTATACCTTTAAAACCATTATTTTAACTTGCACATTCTCTTTTCATGGTTTTTTGGTACTTACAATATATTTAACAATAAAAAGTTTTTTAAATAAAAATTAAATAAAACAAGCTTTGATGGGAGAAATGGGAAAGAAAAAACAGAAAATGGAGAAAAATATTAGGAATGTAAGAGAGAAAAGGGTCACATTTGTGACCCCACATCTATTTTTCATAGCAAAAACAGAACCCATTTTTTTAATCACAAAGATGATTTTGGGTGTCACCTAGGACTTCCCTCTTCAAAATGCACAGTTAATTTTGGCCACCTATGACCCTGACAATGAAATCCAGGAGGAGGGGGAAGAGCTGGTGGAGAAGAGACTGGAATTGAGACTGGCTAGCTGATTGTGCATGTGCTGGCTGGAAGAATGGGAAACCAACATCTTAAGACCACCATTTGTGAGAGGCCAGAGTGGCAGCACAGCCCCCAAGAAAGAATGTGGAATAGTGTCTTCAGTGACCCCATCAGAGAGACACCAGCATCCCCAGGAGCAGCTGGAGAAGTCAGGACCCATGTAGGGAAATGTCAGCTGTGTCAGAACCATGGGAGCAGAGAAGGAAGGCCTCTGTAAGAGAAATCTTTCTCTGCCTGTCCACATGTCTGTCAGCATGACATTTTGGGTCAATAAATATTCATCAGGATGCACCATTCCAGCTGACCTATGTTACCCCCTCCACTGGAGGAGAAAATAAACAGGACTGTGGGTGCAGAAGACGTCTGCCCCCTTCAGAGGTGCCTTTGTCCTTTGTGTGTGAGCCAGGAGTTCAGATGCATGTTTACCTCCTTGAATCCTTTGGGACTTTTGCATCTAATATCTGGTAGAAAGTCAGCTCCTTCCCTGTGTGTTAAACAGCAACACAGTGCCATCAACATTGTCAACTGTCAGAGAATAACATTCAAATGGAGGTTAGCTAATCAGTGAGCAACTCTTTCTGTTACCTGCTAATGGGAGGGTTCCCCAGGTGGAGTTTGTTTCTTCCTTTTTTGTGCTCCCAACATCTGTTTTCATACATCTGTTTTGGCTTTTCCTCTCATTGCTATTGTTTCTGTATCTGTCTCCACAGTGAGACTGGGAACCTCTCACTAATTTCATCAATATTGATTGAGCAACTCTTATGTACAAAGCATTATGCTAGCTAAAGTGGCAAACAAAGGAGTAACTCCTAGAGCTAAGAGGCAGATATTAACCAACCACACAAATACATGCATAATTATACATTATGTGAGTGCTAAGAGAGTGAAGGGTGAGATGAATGATTACCCAGGGAAGTCTGTTGGATAGTTCCACATTAGGAAAGGCTTCAGTGAGAAAGAATGTGGAGGGATTGGCCAGGCTAGGGACAGGGGAGTGTGTTTCTGGGCAGGGAGTATGTCCAGAGCAGGGGGTAAGAGGAACCCTGGTGCAAGCCAGGGATGGAGAAGCAGGGCCATAATATGAAGAGCCTGGTAGACCATGATAAGGATCTTAGAGTTTTAACCTAAGTACCACAGGAAGGGGTACATGTTTAGAAATGGGGAGATCACTTATTACACTGGACAAGCAGAATGATGATGGAGGCAGAAACAAGAGTGAAGAAGACAGTGATGAAGAAGTCAGCAGATCTGAGAGGTATCTGGGTGACATATTTGGTAGTGTTCTCAGGTGGATGCAAGCAGTAAAGGGTCATTCCAAAACTTCTGGAATGAACATGAACATAGATAAAGGTGTCATTTATGAGCATAACTCAATATCAAAACAAGACAAGACTAGTACACGCACACACACACACACACACACACACACAGCATGACTAAACTCATTTACAATTATCGATACAAAACTCATTTACAATTATCAATACAAAAACTCTAAATAAAAAATTAGCAAAGGTAACCCAGTAGCATAATACTAGTAGCTAACACTTAATGAAGTATTACTATTTACCACAGGCCAAACACTGTTCTAGAATTTTATTACTTCATTAAATTAATATTTGCTTATAACATAATTACTTGCACTAACTCATTTATCTCCACAACCACCATATGAGAAAAGTACTATTATTATCCTCATTTCACTGATTGGTGAATTGTAGCTCAGAGAGGTGGGCTATTTTTCGTGAATCAGCATAGATGACATTCCCAGACATAATGGCTCCTTTCCATGTAGGATTCCATTTATATGAAGAGGCAATACTAATCCATGGTGTCAGGACAGTGGTTACCTCTGTGGAAGGTATTTACTTGGGAGGAACATGAAGGCCCTTCTTGGGTACTAGAACTGTTATTTGCTAGATCTGGGTGGTGGTTGTGATATATGCATATGGAGTTGTAAACTTAAGACTTGCACACTTTGCTATATGTATTTTTTAACTCAAAAGAAAAGGTATGTGGAGGACATATAGAAGACAAATATTCAATATCTTTATATATGATGAGCTGTAAAAACCAATGAAAAGTGAACATCAATCCATTAGTGGATGAAGGATATAAACGCAGAGCTCACAAATAAAGAAATATAAGTGGAAAATAAATTTGTATGAAATATATGTAAACAGTAAATAAAGAAATGCAAGTTAAATATTAATGAAATATTTTTTTCCTAGCAAATTGATCAAAATAAAAAAGGTCGATAATACTTAGTATCAGTGATAATATGGGGAAATAGATATGCAAATGCTGTGGAAGTAGAAATTGTTACAAATTTTCTGAGGCTAATTTGGCTGCATGTATCAAAGTCTTTTCAGTTGTTACACTTTGAAACAGCAGCGATTCTAGTTCTACAAATTCATCATAAAGAATTACTTGGCCAGGCTTGGTAGCTCACACCTGTAATCCCAGCACTTTGGGAGGCTGAGGCAGGTGGACTGCCTGAGCTCAGGAGTTTGAGACCAGCCTGAGCAATACAGTGAAACCCCATCTCTAGTAAAAAAAAAAATACAAAAATTAGCTGGGCATGGTGGTGGGCAACTGTAGTCCCAGCTACTCAGGAGGCTGAGGCAGAAGAATTGCTTGAACCCTGGAGGTGGAGGCTGCAGTGAGCCAAAATCATGCCACTGCACTCCAGTCTGGGCAACAGAGAGAGACTCCATCACAAAAAAAAAAAGAAAAGAAAAGAAAAAAAAAAGGACAAGCTCCATTCCTAGATGGCCGAATAGGAACAGCAACACACTCCATTCCAAGATGGCCAAATAGGAACAGCAACACACTCCATTCCAAGATGGCCAAATAGGAACAGCTCCTGTCTGCAGCTCCCAGCATGACTGATGCAGAAGATGGGTGATTTCTACATTTCCAACTGAGGTACCTGGTTCATCTCCTTGGGACTGGTTGGACAGTGGGTGCAGCCCATGGAGGGCGAGCTGAAGCAGGGCAGGGTGTCACCTCACCCAGGAAGCACAAGGGGTCAGGGGATTTCCCTTTCCTAGCCAAGGGAAGCCGTGTCAGACTGTACCTGGAAAAATGGGACACTTCTGCCCAAATACTGCGCTTTTCCCAAGGTCTTAGCAACCGACAGACAAGGTGATCCTCTCCTGTGCCTGGCTTGGTGGGTCCCACACCCACGGGGCCTTGCTCACTGCTAGCGCAGCAGTCTGAGATCAAACTGCAAGGTGGCAGCCTGGCTAGGGGAGGGGCATCCACCATTGCTGAGGCTTGAGTAGGTAACCAAAGTGACCGGGAAGCCTGAACTGGGCAGAACCCATTGCAGCTCAGCAAAGCCTACTGCCTCTACAGACCCCACCTCTGTGGGCAGGGCATAGCTGAACAAAAGGCAGCAGAAAACTTCTGCAGACTTAAACATCCCTGTCTGACAGCTCCAAAGAGAGCAGTGGTTCTCCCAGCATGGCATTTGAGCTCTGAGAATGGACAGACTGCCTCCTCAAGTGGGTCCCTGACCCTCGTGTAGCCTAACTGGGAGACACCTCCCAGTAGGGGCCGACAGACACCTCGTATAGGTGGGTGCCCCTCTGGGACGAAGCTTCCAGAGGAAGGATCAGGCAGCAATATTTGCTGTTCTGCAGCCTCCACTAGTGACACTCAGGCCAACAGTGTCTAGAGTAGACCTCCAGCAAACTCCAACAGACCTGCAGCTGAGGGACTTGACTGTTAGAATGAAAACTAACAAACAGAAAGGAATAGCATCAACATCAAAAAAAAGGACATCTACACCAAAACCCCATCTGTAGGTCACCAACATCAAAGACCAAAGGTAGATAAAACCATAAAGATGGAGAGAAACCAGAGCAGAAAAGCTGAAAATTCTAAAAACCAGAGCTCCTCTTCTCCTCCAAAGGATAGCAGCTCCTCGCCAGCAATGGAACAAAGCGGGATGGAGAATGACTTTGACAAGGTGACAGAAGTAGGCTTCAGAAAGTCAGTAATAATAAACTTCTCTGAGCTAAAGGAGCATGTTCAAACCCACTGCAAGGAAGCTAAAAACCTTGAAAAAAGGTTAGATCAATGGCTAACTAGAATAAACAGTGTAGAGAAGACCTTAAATGACCTGATGGAGCTGAAAACCATGGCATGAGAACTACGTGATGCCTGCACAAGCTTCAATAGCTGATTTGATCAAGTGGAAGAAAGTGTATCTGTGATTAAAGATCAAATTAATGAAATAAAGCATGAAGACAAGGTTAGAGAAAAAAAGAGTAAAAAAAAAAAAAGAATTACTCCAAGTATGTATTTGGTTATACAGATAATCATCATAACTCTGTCGTTAAAAGCAAAAATCTGGAAACTACCTGTGAATATGTGATTAGTGAAAAAATTATTTTATATTCATATAACAGCACAATATGCAGCCATTAAAAGTTATAATGTTGATCAATATTTATTGGCATGAAAATATGGCCATGATATATTATTTAAATTTTTAAAATTGAGGGCCAGGCACAATGGCTCACGCCTGTAATCCCAGCAGTTTGGAAGGCCGAGGCAGGCAGATCACCTGAGGCCAGGAGTTCAAGACCAGCCTGACCAACATGGTGAAACACTGTCTCTACAAAAAGTACAAAAATTAGCTGGGCATGGTGGCATGCATCTATAATCCCAGCTACTTGGGAGGCTGAGGCATGAGAATCGCTTGAACCCGGGAGGCAGAGGTTGCAGTGAGCCGAGATCTCACCAATGCACTCGAGCCTGGGTGACAGAGCAAAACTCCATCTTAAAAAAATTAATTAATTAATTAAATTAAAAAAATCACATGTAATTATTGTGTGTATAATAATATATAAATAAAATTGCATCTATCAACCCATCATCTAGATTTTAAGCCCTGCATGCATTAGGTATTTGTCATAATGCTGTCCCTCCCCTTTCCCCCCAAACCCCGACAGGCTCTGGTGTGTGATGTTCCCTTTCCTGTGTCAACATGCTCTCATTGCTCAACTCCCACTTATGAGTGAGAACATGAGGTGTTTGGTTTTCTGTTTCTGTGTTAGTTTGCTGAGGATGATGGTTTCCAGCTTCATCCATGTCCCTGCAAAGGACATGAACTCATTCTTTTTTATGGCTGCATAGTGTTCCATGGTGTATATGTGCCACATTTTCTTTATCCAGTTTATCATTGATGGGCATTTGGGTTGGTTCCAAGTCTTTGCTATTGTAAATAGTGCTGCAATAAACATACATGTGCACATGTCTTTATACTAGAATGATTTATAATCCTTTGGGCATATACCTAGTAATGGAATTGCTGAGTCAAATGGTACTTCTGGTTATAGATCCTTGAGGAATCACCACACTGTCTTCCACAATGGTTGAACTAATTTACACTCCCACCAACAGTGTAAAAGTGTTCCTATTTTTCCATATCCTTGCCAGCATCTGTTGTTTCCAGACTTTTTAATGTTCACCATTCTAACTGGCGTGAGATGGTATCTCATTATGGTTTTGATTTGCATTTCTCTAATAACCAGTGTTGACAAGCTTTTTTCCCCATGTTTGTTGGCCACATAAATGTCTTCTTTTGAGAAGTGCCTGTTCATATCCTTTGCCCACTTTTTCATGTTGTTTTTTTCTTGTAAATTTGTTTAAGTTCTTTGTATATTCTGGATATTAGCCCTTTGTCAGATGGATAGATTGCAAAAATTTCCTCCCATTCTGTAGGTTGCCTGTTCACTCTGATGATAGTTTCTTTTGCTGAGCAGAAGCTCTTTAGTTCAATTAGATCCCATTTGTCAATTTTCACTTTTATTGCAATTGTTTTTGGTGTTTTAGTCATGAAGTCTTTGTGTATCCCAATGTCCTGAATGGTATTGTCTAGGTTTTCTTCTAGAGTTTTTATGATTTTAGGTTTTACATTTAAGTCTTTAATCCATCTTGAGTTAATTTTTGTATATGGTGTAAGGAAGGGGTCCAGTTTCTGTTTTCTGCATATGGCTAGCCAATTTTCCCAGCACCATTTATTAAACAGGGCATCCTTTCCCCATTGCTTGTTTTTGTTGGGTTTGTAGAAGATCAGATGGTTGTAGCTGTGTGGTGTTATTTCTGAGGCCTCTGTTCTGTTCCATTGGTCTCTATATCTGTTTTGGTACCAGTATCATGCTGTTTTGGTTACTGTAGCGTCAGGTAGCATGATGCCTCCAGCTTTGTTCTTTTGGCTTAGGATTGTCTTGGCTATATGGGCTCTTTTTTGGTTCCATATGAAATTTAAAGTAGTTTTTTCTAGTTCTGTGAAGAAAGTCAATGGTAGCTTGATGGGGACAGCATTGAATCTATAAATTACTTTGGGCAGTATAGCCGTTTTCATGATATTGATTCTTCCTGTCCACAAGCATGGAATTTTTTTCCATCTGTTTGTGTCCTCTCTTATTTCCTTGAGCAACGGTTTGTAGTTCTCCTTGAAGAGGTCCTTCATATCCCTCATAAGTTGTATTCCTGGGTATTTTATTTTCTTTGCAGCAATTGTGAATGGGAGTTCACTCATGATTTGGCTCTCTGTTTGTTATTGGTGTATAGGAATGCTTGTGATTTTTGCACATTGATTTTGTATCTGAGACTTTGCTGAAGTTGCTTATCAGCTTAAGGAGTTTTTGGGCTGAGATGATGGGGTTTTGTAAATATACAATCATGTCATTGCAAACAGACAGTTTGACTTCCTTTTCTTCCTATTTGAATACGCTTTTTTGCCTTCTCTTCCCTGATCATGAATTTTTATAATACAAATTTTATAATCATATATGTAATATATATTCAAAATAAAAAAGATAGCACATTTATCTAGATTTTCTAGCAATTTTTATTTTTAAGCTTCGTCTACCTTGTTTTTCTTTAAATAGTAAAACAAGCTTTAAAAGGCAGTAATTACCATACACATAGTGCAAGGGTTCTTACTTGGGGCGTTGATTCTCACCTGGGTGGAGTAGTTTGAGAATGCCTAATATGTTCTAAACATCTTTTATGAGTTTGTAGAGTTTTCCACACTGTCACTCCCCAAAGTGGGGCCAGAACTCACTGTTTCAGGCTCCCTTGCTGCTGACCTCAGAGCATGAGTCTTTGCATCCGTGTGAGTCCCAGCTTGGAAGGTAATGCTACAACGAGGTAGACATGCATGGCGTCCATTCCAGGTAAACATGACCACAGGAGCTCAATGGCTGAGCTCCTGGCATCTAGTTCCAAGCATTATCAATGCAAGCTACAGTGTCTCTGCAAGAAGCAGAGTTGTTGCCAAGCATTGGCAGTGACGACGTTTTCAATGGAGCAGATCGTACAGTGTGATTTGATGTTGTTTCTGGCCTGATACTTCCTAAGTCTGCTTCTCTTGCCCTCCAGGAGATTCTGTGAGTTGCTTAATATTTTGATAATTTGTTTTCTTTGCCTAAACTAGAGTAGATTCTACTATTTGCAACGAAGAACTAAGCCCAATAGTATTACCTTCATCTCCATTTTACAGATGAAGAAAGTGAACCTTTTTTAAAAATGAAGAAAATTTCCTAAGATTACACAGCTAATAAGTAATGAGGCAAGACTTAAGTGCAAGACCTTTGAGTCAAAGTCTAGGTTCTTCCTACCATGCCATGCTGCTATCTGGAAGATATGTACATATATTTTTACAAAGATTATTAATAATTAGCCAAATGATATGAGTATGGGATATCCCAGAGGAATTTAAAACTAAGATATTCCAATACTCACCATGAAGCGAGGTCATCAATAAAAACAAATGTTACCACTTCACAAATAATTACTATGTGCCAACACTGCCCATCAGCTGTGGGAGGGATCCCAGAGATTAAACACTCTCATTTACAGATGAGGAGCCTGCAGCCCAGAAACATGATAGAATTTTCCTGTTTCAGTCAGTAGGGGAGAGTGAGGAGAGAAAAGCAATTTGTTGACTCCCTTTTCCTTTATATCAGTGGAGGGTGAAGCCACTTATTAACCCATTTAGAAATGCTTGTATCACACAAGTTCCATGCCTAAATGAAAATCTTATTTTAAATGTTAGAAGAAATAAATATTGAATCTATGAGGACTAACCATATTTAAAATATTGCTAACCAGTCCCAGAGATACCCTAGACTACACCATCATCAGCCCTTCAGGGTGTGTAACTGAGAAGCCTAAAATAGCTTTTGAGAGAAACCTCATGAAAACATCCCCTGGGGAGCTGAGATCATATTTCCACCCAGCTCTGAAACACAGAATTTATTTGACCAGATTCGATGCAAGAAAATTGTTCCTTCTGCAGAAATTGGGAAAAATGTTAAATCCCTTGTGAATCCATGGAAAAATGTAAGATTTAGTGTCTAAATGTTTTAAAATAAAAACATTTTATAATAGACATTACTATCTCCATGTTCATAGATAATATTTTTTGTTTTAATAAAATCCAAGATGTGTTTTACCCTAAGGGCCATTTCTATTGAATCTGGAGGGGGAGAAAAAAACCAACTTGAGTTATACAAGGAAAACTGAATCTTTAAATTTCTGATTCATTTCCCCTTAAATCATCCAAACATTGCTTTTTATGGGCTATGTAATAGCAAAACAGTCTCTGAGGGGGTGTTAAAGCATTTCAAGCCTTGCTTCCCTTAAAATAAAGTAACATAAAATAAGTTTTAAAAGGAGGAAGCAGGCTTCAAGTGAATCTAAATGGTTTACAAAAGGTCTCATCAGGCCAATATCTAAAATGTTTAAGTGAATTCTTAATTTTTAAAATTCTCCTTTTCCTGTTTAATAGTGGAATCTTGCATGAAGACTGTCTTGAATGCTTAAAATATGTCTTCCTATCGGAATAAGAATAAACTTGGTCTCTGAAAAGAGAGCACTCTGCTTTTCTCCATTAGAAATCACCTTGAGATATTTTAAAGTAAAGGAATTGTACCAATTTAAACCATATGCTTGTTTACATCTAATTTATCAGATAACTATTGGAAAATTTTACCTAACTAAGAGTCTTCTTTTTCGCAACCATTGGCTGATTCAAATAGCGGAGTGTGCAGTTCACTTAGGGCCAAATGCAGAATCACGTTAATAGAATTTGAACTTCTTCCATTTTTTAACTCTATTATTGAGATGAATGTTGAATGAAATCAGCTCACTTTTGCCTTAAGCTCTTTTTGATTTTAGTTCTCCCATGGGCCTACTTACATGAATAATAACTTAGGTTGTTTGGAAAGAAAGTCTAAGAAAGCTAATAGCCAGTCACGGTGGCTCATGCCTGTAATCCCAGCCGTTTGGGAGGCTGAGGTGGGCAGATCACCTGAGGTCAGGAGTTTGAGACCAGACTGACCAACATGGAGAAACCCCATCTCTACTAAAAAAGCAAAATTAGCCAAGCATGGTGGCACATGCCTGTAATCCCAGCTATTTGGGAGGCTGAGGCAGGAGAATCGCTCTCCAGCCACAGCAACAAGAGTGAAATTCTGTCTCCAAAAAAAAAAAAGGCTAATATTGAACGAAACATTTTCTCAAAAATAGTTTAAGACATTGCACTAGTTTGCAAAGCAGAAGAAATCTACCATACATTCTACATTTCCAAGTAATTGGTGAATTGTCCATTTGAATTTTCAGCTGGCTAAATTTTTGGCTGCCTTGAATTTGAAGAAAGACGGGCAGAGATAACAACATAGTATCTTAAGCAGAATTCTAAGGAAGCCATTCAGAAATTCATCCATTCATTCCATCATCATTTATTCAGTGACAACTATGGGCAGGCAAGATGTTTGGGACTGGAGATATAACAGTGAACCATGGAGCAGGTATTTTCAAAGAAATTGGATGACAAGAGATCTGTTTGGGAGGGCCACAGTTTGGTAAAACAAATACTAATTTTGGGACCCATTTGTAGCATGTTTTATATTTTTAGAGAAAGGAAACATCAAAGCACAAATGGTGACATCTCTTCATTTTTAGTCCTGTGATATTTGGCCAATGTTTTGCATACCCTGAAGAGCAATTCCTATCTGAGATCCAATAACTTCACTCACTAGAGCACATATGATACCCTGGAACATTCATCATTTACCTCTAGTATGCATCTCACCTCTATTTTACTTGCTCCCAGCTTTGGGTCTTTGCCTCCTACTTCACTATGAAAATTGAAGTGATTGAACTTGTATTATCCCAACCTTCTTTTTGCCACCTTCAAATTTATCTATGTCCTATACATTTAATGCAATTCCAATAAATAGTATTTCCAATATTCAAGAAGGAACTTGCAGTTCATGCAGAAAAATAACATGTGAGAAAACTCAGAAATCTTAAAAATAAAAAATGAGAGACAGTTAGCCTTACTAGACAATGCAATATATTTTGGAACTCCAATAAGTAAAAAAGTTTGACATTAGACAAAAAGTGGAAAATCCATGGAATAGAATAAAGAGTTCAGAAATAGATTCAAATTCTATGAAGGTTCGGTTTATGACAAAGGTGCCATTTCAGACTGGGTAAGGAAGGAAGGGAAGAATTCAAAATATGACGTTGGACAACTGGCTGACCACTGGAAAAAATATTAAAACTGTATTTATCTCATCAAAAATAAATTCCAGATGGATTAAAGATATAAATTTAAAAAATAAAAGATTTTGAAGAAGGCATGAGGAGTAACAGGGACCATATTTACCTTCCTGTCTGAAACAACTAAGAAAAAAGACAAAAATACAATGATTTTAAAACATTAGACAACAGGCAACAAATGACAATGATCCTTGAGAGACACGAAACAAACTATATGAACCCTATTATTGCCCCAGCTCACTGCCTGGAAAGAGTTTTGAGGCCACAGCATAGGGAAGGGGGAACCAGCTAGAGCCCAATGATCTCAAGAAATTGAGGAGATGGAGCTGGAGCTGGAGTCCAGGAGGGCCAAGGCAGCTGAAGCTCACAGGGCAGAGTACCAGAGAAAACTGCAGTCCAGAAAGAGAACCCTGGAGATCTTCAGAGGATCCCCTTGCAGTATTCAACTCAGTACTACTCAGCAAATGTGTGTGAGTAAACTAGCAGAGGACCTAGATGCTGGGAAACAACCATCTGAAAGGACTAAAGAGAACAGTGTCTCACAATGGACTGGAAATAGTTCCTGTTCCCATCAACCAGAGTGAAACACCTCAAAACTCACAAGGCGTCATGTAAAGTACTCATAAGAGTTTTGCCTCATTCATGGGGGGAAAATATCCCTACTAAATGCTTATCTGGTCTTGCCTAACAGCTTAAAAACAAGACTAAAATGAACCAGAAAAAAAATCAAGAATATTTACAAGATTACAAAAATAATAAACATCCAACAAGGTAAAATTTACAGGATCTGGTATCCACTAAAAAGTTACCAAGTATGCAATGAAGCAGGAAAATGGACCCATAATACCAGTGGTTAATTCTGATGAACCAAGTAGGAAAAGACTTAACTTGTTTCACTGTATTTCCTTCAGTCTCTTAAAATTACATAAATATATAAAAATGTACTATATATTTATATATAAGATATATGGGTTTTATGTATGCAAATGTGCATTTATATATACTATATATATATACACACACACACACACATCTACTTCCTCCTGTCTACCTACTCTGCAGACTATCTAGAAATATAGATGGAGAAAAAATACACAAGAGATGATAGCAGGCATAGAGAATATATTGAAAAGTTTGACAAGATGTTAACTGTGAGTCCCATAAGGAAAAGGGAAAGTAGAAAGAAATGGCTGAGATCTTCCTAGAACTCATAAAAACATCCACAGGTGTAAGAAGCAGCCCAGGACTGCTCTAGTGGGTTAAGGATATATATATATACACACACACACACACACACATATATATATAATTTGAAAGGATCAAAATGTCCATTAATGTGGACTGTAAAATTATAGTATAATTATATTATAGATGCTATGTAGCCATAAAGTATACTAAAGGAGCTATTTTTTATGTCAGGATATGGACCAACCTCCAAGTCTCCAAAATATACTGCTAGGAGAAAAAGCAAGGAGGAAAGCAACACATAGAGTATACCATCGTTTGTATGGAAATGGAGGTGGAGAAAGTCACATTCACACACAGATATAAATACCTATTTGGTTGTAAATGAACAAAATATTTCTGGTATGATACACATATAAATAAGTAATAATGGTTGCCTCTGCAGTGTTGGATAGGCTGGGTGACAGGAATAGAAGGAATAGTTTGTTCCTTGTATATATTTTTGCATCTGAAATTCTGCAGGAGGTGCGACTATCATCTACGTAGATCAACCAATAAGAAAATTTAAAAGCAAACCCCAGCACCATCAAAATGGCCTTCCGCTCTGGCCAGCCAAGTCCTTTTCCCTTTAACTACCTTCTCTGGCCTTTTACAGTCTGTCACTTCTTGGAAAAACTTGGAATTGAGAATTTAAAAGCATGAGGATATCTTTCCTCTATAAGCATCAAACCCAAGGCTGGAGCTCTGTATGGGTTTGCAACAGACTGCTTTTAAATCCGCAGGGTGGAGAATTTAGCTTATTTTTAAATTAGGTGGAATTCAGAAAAGAACTGCCAAAATGATTAAATGGACTGGAGAGACTGGTTTATAAAGAAAGATGAAAAGACCTAAATGTGTGTAATTTGGCGACATGACAGCAGGCCTGGACTGTGGTTAACACATACAAGTACTGAATTTGATGAGTTCAAACACCAGTAGAGGAGCAGAGTAGTTGAGGATATAAGTAGGAAGACAAAGGAGAAAATACGAAAAGAAAAATAAAGTGAACAGATACTCAAACAAAAGTCTTAGTTGGCCTGTCTGTCTCTATCTATAGAGAGGCATCTCCAGGGAAGCAACTGATGTCTTGTTTCTTGGATACTATCCTAGAACACCTTTACCTTCTCAGCAATTATAAGCTGAAACCAGCTGCCAGACCAGGGGGTTAGAGGTCACCAGAAAGGCTTTTATCTCAACTTAAGCTCCCCTTTCCCACTGTCTATCTCCCTGATCTGGCACTTTGCTGTATTCAAGTGGCTATTTTGCTTCCATGTGCATAACCAATAAGGGGCAGACAGCCTTTTAGGGAGGAGTCTGTGCAGAGTACATTGATCATTCAGTCATATTTCAAGTTTCACTGGGTGTCTATGGTAAGTCTGAGAAAGAAGATTGCAGTTCCCTGCTACTGACTGTCAAGGAGTTTGTGGTAGCTCCTGATAGTTCTATCAAGAAGGGACAAGTGAGATGGCCACGTGGACACAGACCAGCTTAACAGCAGCACTGTGAGCACTATGCTGCACATTGGATGGTCCTATGTCCCTAATCAGCCTCTCACTGAGCCCATCTCTGGAGAATATTAAAAAGTCACATTATTGCTATGCCATTGAAAATGAGTACCATGGGGGTGACTTTGCTTGCTTGTAATGTAACTGCCCAGTCTCTTCACCTGCTACATCTAGTCCATTCCTTTTATTTCATATTCACTAATTCTTAGTCCATATTTATTTGGGCTTGCAAATTAACTTGCCAGAGTATATGCTCAAGGGTGTGCAAATTGATGTGGGCGCATATATAAAAATCTACATTTGTATGTATATGTAATCATGCACAAGTCTGTGTGTGCATTTCTGGATTCACATCCATGTGTTGCTGTGTATATGAGAAAATGCACATATGGGTAAAATGAACCAAAAATTAATTTAAGAAACACTCTGGTAGGGATTCCAAAACTAATACATAACAGCATATTTAAAAAACCATTCTTGGTTTATGTTTATTTTAAATTTTCTCCATTTTTCAAATGAAGGAACTGAACTGTGGCTGTAACTTGATCCTGATATGCTTATTACTGGCAGCATTAGGTGAGGCCATTCCCCTGTGGGAATAGAGTAGGGTTGGAGGGAATAATCACTATAACTCTCAATTATCCTGGACAAGAGGCAGCTTCTGGGTCAGGAGATGAAAAGTTGGCAGCTATGCCTTAGACTGTGGGTAAGGAAAGAATTACTTCTCTCTGGGCCCCAGTTCTCTTGTGAAGAGGCTCTGAGGAATCCAGACATGCTAAAGGCCTTTCCCATGTGGTGGAGAGAAGCTGAACTCTGCCATATGGAACAAGGGGAGGAGGCAGGCTCATAGCTACGGTGCCATGATTAGGTTTGCCTACAGATTACAGAAACCCCAAAATAACAGTGACCTAAACAAAAAAGTCCAGGGATACTGTGGTAGCTTCACTAGGTAATCAGGAACTTCATCTCCTCTCGCTCTGCCATCCTTGGCAGCTATTTCCAGCTTTAAGACCATCTCATGTTCCAGGAAGGCTGCTGTAACCTCTGTCATCACGTCCTTTTTTGGGCAGCAGAAAAGACAAAAAGGAGGCATCTCCCAGTTTTTTCTGTTGTATTAGCCAGAACTTAGTCTTGTGACCATATCTAGCTGTAAGAGAGGCTGGGAAAGACATCCTTATAGGCTGGTTCATCACCATCTTGAATAAAATTGTTTTTCTGTAACTAAAGGAGAGGATAAATATTGGGGGGAAAGTATTTTCTGCAACAGTTGGGCAAAAATGTGGCCTAGAGAAAAGCCCATAAGGATATGTAGTTGCCAGCTGAAGGATAATTTTGGTATATGCTTCCTTTTGGTGATACCTGAGGCTGTACCAAAAAAGTGATATTAGCTGTTATAACCTATAACCAATAACCAATAACCAATAACACAGTTATTGGTTGTGCTATGGGGTATTAAAGAAAGTGTCCATGTCCACTCTTGGGCAAAGGAGACAGCAGCACTCAGAGGCAAGTATGGTGTGTCTGCAGTGACCTCAGGGAGCAGTGGCCCACAGAGAGAACCACAGAGAGCTCTCTGGAGCAACAGAACCACTTCATGCTCATAGGCAATGTGTCTGAGTCATCACAACTGGTGAGGGGGACACAAGCAAGAAACATCCTAGAGACTCCCTGGGAAATACCAGCAGTAAGAATACCTCAAAAGTGGGACTGGGGTCTTGCTGTCCCACAAGTGAGGGTTACAAGGTCAGTAAGCTGTGCTGAACCATTTATATGACCTCATTTATAACCATAGACAGGTGAGGCCAGGGGATTATTTGAGTGACACGAAATAAAGAATATATTTCAGAAGTATTTGTTTTGTAAAGAAAGAGTTGGTTAAGAAAATGTGGATGCATGCATTTTAGACGAGGCTCCACCTTTTTAAAGTGAACACCAGTGAGTGAGCGTGGTGATTTTCAATGCATATTTCATGGAACTCTCTAGTTTCATGAAGTGAATCAGAGTGCCTCCAAGACCAGAGAGAGACCAATGGGCTAGACTTTGGTCCCCAACCCATACTGATTACATCATATTCATATTTTTAGATTTCAACATAACTTCTCATTTGAAAAATTATTTCTACTGGCCCCACCATTAGAAAGTAATGGTGTAGGTATTAAACTTAGTAATGGTAATCACCTAACAATGTTGATCTCACTGCCTTAAACTAAGAAATACTGTAGAAATGCTATTTAATGAGAGGAAATAGATATGTTAAATCTGCTCCTCTAAAAATTCCAGTCTATCAAGGATATAGAGAAAATGAAACATTTATACATTGTTGGTAGGCATGTAAATTTAGTTCAATCCCTATGGAAAAACAGTACGGAGATTTCTCAAAGAGCTAAAAACAGAACTACCATTCAATTCAGCAATCCAACTACTGTGTAACTATCCAAAGGAAAAGAAATTGTTTTATCAAAAAGTTACCTGCATTCATATGTTTATCACAGCACTACTCACAATAGTAAATTCATGGAATCAACCTAAGTATACATCAATGGTTTACTGGATAAAGAAAATGGGGTACATATATACCATGGAATACTACGTAGCCATTAAGAAAGAATAAAATCGTGTCTTTTGCAACAAAAAGGATGGAGCTGGAGACAATTATTCTTAGTGAAATAACCCAGAAATAGAAAATCAAATGTTCTCACTTATAAATGGTAGCTAAATGAAGGGAACACATGGACATAAAGATGGAAATAAGTCTAACTGGATGCTCCAAAAGTGGGTATGGTGGGAGGGGACTGAGGGTTGAAAAATTGCCTATTGGGTACAATATTCACTATTTGGGTAATGGGTTCAATAGAAATCCAAACCTCACCATTGTGCATCCATCTAACAAACCTGCACATGTATTCCCTGAATCAAAAATATGATAAATAACAAACAACAACAACAATTCCAGCCTATACCTACATGAACTGAGATATGCAATATTGGTTACCATGATTAACTCACTAACGAAGGTTCTAGACATCAATCAAAACATTTAGGAAAAGAAGGGATTCTACATGAAGACAGGCTTTGAAATTTCTTTTCATTATTTTTTAAAATTTTTGTATTATAAGTTCTGGGATGTATGTGCAGAACGTGCAGGTTTGTTACGTAGGCATACATGTGCCATGGTGGTTTGCTGCACTCATCAACCTGTCATCTATATTAGGTATTTCTCCTAATGCTATACCTCCCCAGTCCCCACCCCCCATCAGGTCCCAGGGTGTGATGTTCCCCTCCCTGTGTCCACGTGTTTTCATTGTTCAGCTCCCACTTATGTGTGAGAAGATGCGGTGTTTGGTTTTCTGTTCTTGTGCTAGTTTGCTGAGAATGATGGTTTCCAGCTTCATCCATGTCCCTGCAAAGGACATGAACTCATTCTTTTTTATGGCTGCATAGTGTTCCATGGTGTATATGTGTCACATTTTCTTTATCCAGTCTATCATCGATGGGCATTTGGGTTGGTTCCAAGTCTTTGCTATTGTGAACAGTGCCACAATAAACATACGTGTGCATGTGTCTTTATAGTAGAATCATTTATAATCCTTTGGGTATATACACAATAATAGGATTGCTGGGTCAAATGGTATATCTGGTTCTAGATCCTTGAGGAATCGCCATACTGTCTTCCACAATGGTTGAACTAATGTACACTCCCACCAACAGTGTAAAAGTGTTCCTATTTCTCCACATCCTCTCCATCATTTGTTGTTTCCTGACTTTTTAATTATCGCCATTCTAACTGGCATGAGATGGTATCTCATTGTGGTTTTGATTTACATCTCTCTAATGGCCAGTGAGGATGAGCTTTTTTTCATATGTTTGTTGGCTGTATAAATGTCTTCTTTTGAGAAGTGTCTGTTCATATCCTTCGCCCACTTTTTGATGGGGTTGTTTTTTTCTTGTAAATTTGTTTAAGTTCTTTGTAAATTCTGGATATTAGCCCTTTGTCAGATGGATAGATTGCAAAAATTTTCTCCCATTCGGTAGGTTGCCTGTTCACTCTGATGATAGTTTCTTTTGCTGAGCAGAAGCTCTTTTGTTTAATTAGATCCCATTGGTCAATTTTCGCTTTTGTTGCAATAACTTTTGGTGTTTTAGTCATGAAGTCTTTGCCCATGCCTATGTCCTGAATGGTGTTGCCTAGGTTTTCTTCTAGGGTTTTTATGGGTTTAGGTCTTACGTTTAAGTCTTTAATCCATCTTGCGTTAATTTTTGTATAAGGTGTGGAGGCCTAGTCTCCTCCACACCTTATACACCTTATTCTTCTGCATGTACACCTCCACACCTTATTCTTCTGCATGTGAATATCCAATTTCCCTAGCATTGTTTATTGAAGATTAGCTGGCTATAGTGCATGAATGTTTTCTGGAATCTCTATTCTGTTCCCCTGGTTTATATGTCCATTTTTATGCCAGTACCATGTTGTTTTGGTTACTATAGCTTTGTGGTGCGTGTGTGTGTGTGTGTGTATATATATATATTTTATATGTGTGTGTGTATATATATATTTTATGTGTGTGTGTATATATATATACATTTTATATGTGTGTGTATATATGTATATATGTATACATATACATGTATGTATATATGTATATATGTATACATATACATGTATGTATATATATACATACACACATATAAAATATATATACACTATGTATACATATATACACACGCACATATATAAAATACATTTATAACACACACACACACACACACACACACACACACACACACACATATATATATAAAATGAGATGGGGTCTTGCTATGTTGCCCAGGCTGGCCTTAAACTCCTGGGCTCAAGTGATCCCCCAGCCTTGGCCTCCTAAAGTGCTGGAATTACAGGCGAGAGCCACCTTGCCTGGCCTAGCTTTGTAGTATATTTTGAAGTCAGTTAGCATGGTGCCTCTAGCTTTGTTGTTTTTGCTCAGGATTGCTTTGGTTATTCAGGGTCTTTTGTAGTTTCAAAAGAATTCTAGGATTTTTTTTTTTTCCTATTTCTGTAAAGAATGTCACTGGCACTTGTACAGGGATTACAATAAATCTGTAGATAACTTTGGGTAGTATGGCCATTTTAACAATATTAATTATTTCAATCCATGAACACAAGATATCTTTCCAATTATTTGTGTGTTCTTCAATTCTTTCACCAGTATCTCAAGGATTTTTCATTGCCTTAGTTAAGTTCATTCCTAGGTATCTTCCTTTTTTTATATTATTGTAAATGAAACTGTTTTCTGGATTTCTTTTTCAGATACTTCACTATTACTATATAGAAATGCAGTTGATTATTTTTACCTTGCAAGTTTACTGAATTTATCAGTTCTAATAGGTTTTTTTTGGTAGCATCTTTAGGATTTTCTATATATAAGATCATGTCGTCTGCAAACAGGGAAATTTGACTTTCTCCTTTTTAATTTGGATGCCTTTTATTTCTTTCTCTTGTCTAATTGCTCTGGCTAGGACTATGTTGTCCTTCAACATTACGTTACATAGAAGTGGTAAAAAGTGGGCATCCCTGTCTTTTTCCTGATCTTAGAGGGAAAGCTTTCAGCTTTTCCCCATTCAGTATGACGTTAGCTGTGGATTTGTCATATATGGCCTTTTTTTGTGCTGAGGTATATTCCTTTTATATATAATTCATTGAGAGTTTTTATCATGAAGGAATGTTGAGTTTTGTCAAATGAATTTTCTGCATCTCTAGAAATAACTATACGGGTTTTGTCTTTCTTTCAGTTAATGTGGTATATCAAAGTTATTGATTTGTGGATGTTCAACCATCCTTGCATTCCTGGAATGAATTCCACTTGATCATAGTGAATGATTTTTTTTTTATTTTTATTTTTTGAGATGGAGTCTCACTCTGTCACCCAGGCTGGAGTGCAGTGGCACTATCTCGGCTCACTGTAAGCTCCGCCTCCTGGTTTCATGCCAGTGAATGATATTTTGAATAGGTTGCTAAGTTTGATTTGCTAGTATCATTTTGGGAATTTTGCATCTATGTTCATCAGAGATACAGGCCTGTAGTTTTCTTTTTTTGTTGTGACCTTGTCTGATTTTGGAATTAGAGTAAATTGTTGTGACCTTGTCTGATTTTGGAATTAGAGTAAATTGTTGTGACCTTGTCTGATTTTGGAATTAGAGTAATGCTGGCCTCATAAAATGAGTGTGGAAGTATTCCCTCCTTCTCCTCTTTAGCTGTCTGAAAAGGTCGAGGGTCAGTATTAGTTCTTTAAGTGTTTGGTAGAATTCAGCAGTGAAGTTTTCAGGTCTTGGTTTTTTCTTTGATGGAAAACGTTTTATTCCTGACTCAATTTACTCACTACTTATCGCTGTGTTCATATTTCTATTTTTTATTATTTAATCATGGTAGGTTGTATGCTTCCAGGAATTGATCCATTTCTTGTACATTATCAGATTTGTTGGTGTATGGTTGTTGTTCATAATACTGTCTTATAATCTTTTTAATTTCTGTGGTATGAATTGTAATGTATCCTTTTTCATTCTGATTTTATTTAATATTTTTTCTTAGTCTAGCTAAAAGTTTATCTATTTTATCTTTTCAAAAAACAAAACTTCATTTTATTGATCCTTTCATTTATTATTTTTTTAGTCTCTGATTTATTTCTGCTCTGAGCTTTAGTATTTCTTTCCTTCTACCAATCTTGGGTTTAGTTTGTTATTGTTTCTCTAGTTCCCTGAGGTGCATCACTAGGTTTTTTATTAGAAATCTTTCTTCTTTGATACGGGCATTTATTACTATAAACTTCCCTTTTAGAACTGCTTTTGCTGTGCTCCACAGGTTTTGGTATGATGTATTTCCATTCTCATTCATCTCAAGAAATTTTTTAAATTTCCCTTTTTATTTCTTTATTAACCCAATGGTTATTTAGGGGCATGTTGTTTAATTTCCATGTATTTATAACGTTTCTGAAGTTTTTCTTGTTGTTGACTTACAGCTTTTTATTAAAGCTACCGCTATTGCTGAAATTCCAGCAGGGAAAAAAATTATTATTGTAAATCCAAGCCTCTATCTTCTAGCACTTTGTTATCTTCTGAAACAATGGGATTTGGGGGTGGGGTCACACGAAGGTCCTTAGAAAGTTAACTATTTGCACTACAATAGAGCTGCTTGCAGTTGGGAGCTTTTAGTAGGCAATATATCATAATCAGCAGCAGAAGATGTAGATTCATGAAAGTAAATCAGTGAGATGTGACTCAGGCTGCTTCTGGAAAGACAGGAGTAATTTCCTTAAGACAGGGTCTGCTCTAACACTGTGAGAAGTGGAGCTTTTTGCAGAAAAGATGAGAATTCCTTCTGAATTAAAAAGCTGTGAGTGACCTTCCAAGGTCATCTAGTTTATTCCCTTCAGGCAGAAACCTGCAGTAATGCCATGATAAGGTGGCCTGTTTCACAGACCCTGAAAGAGAGCACATACATTCCAGAATCCCACACTCCAGCATGAAGAACCTTCACTCCCAAGAAATTCTTCTTGGGCGTAAATATAATTCCCTCTGCTATGGCTAGTTTGCTTTTGTTTTTGCTTTCTATTTTCTCTTTCTGAGAGACAAATAAGCTGGTCAAGTAAGACTAAGGAACCAAAGAAGCACAACTTCGCAACTTGCCCAGAGCTGGTGAATTCAAAACTAGAGAACTCATTATAGTATCCATTCTTATCCACAGATCTGAAGAACAGTAAATGCCTTTCTTGGCAGATAGAGAGCACTGACAGGAGGCAGCTGATCTACCTGTTTGCAGATAACTAAAAATCTTTAAAGCTCAAGGTACTACTCACCAGGGAATCAAGTGTTAGTGCCCCCGTAACCCCTCCACAATAAAAGGTTAAAAAAAATACAGGGAAGGAAAACAGCAATTTAAAAGTCTATAAAAGTGCCAGTTGCAAGGTCTGAGGCTAGTGCTTAAGGGTGAGCAGGAGGTCTCTTTCACCCAGGTAATGACTGTAAGCCCCATAAGGAGATGGTTAAATCAAAAACTGAGATGACTGCTCTTAAGAGGGGAAAAATATGTCAATCACACTTTGCCTTTGAAACAAGGAAATTCCTTGAAACTGAGAATGGAGAGTGGAAGGGAGGGAGAATGTCTCCTGATGTGGGTGGCCAGGAAATCAGGGGCCAGAAAAGCATGAGAGGAGAGAGGAAGAAAGAGCCTGAGAGGGAAAAAAACACAAGATTGAATTCTAATCAAAATGCTATGAGGCGTTCACACCAGGCCTTGAGAGAATATTAACAAGGTTACCCAAGGGGGGGCCTTTAGCCCCAGGAATTATTAGTGAATATGGAATTATATTTGCACAAACACTACCAGATGCAAGGGGCTAAATGTCCTGCAGATGTGGAAGGAGCCAGTGTACGTTCCAATAGGCGGCAGCTTTATTTGTTTTACCCTTCATCCAAAAGTCTGGGCAGCACGTTTCTGAGGGGTTGCATTTCTAGAATGACCACTACATCACTAGGCCCCTGTTTCCCAACTGCTGCTTGCACCAGCCCCAAAAGTATCTCTGCCTAGGACAATGTGGAGTGGCCCTGAGTTAGGTTTGACCAGCTTACCAGCTGACCTCTACCATTTTTTTGTGTGGGGGGAAGGGGATAATAGCAATCCTACGAGAGATTTTCTGAAAGATGAAAGAGTTCAGAGCCAGGTAAATCACAACAATTTCAAAGAGTAGTTTTGAACTCAAATTTTAACCAGTCAGTGTTGGGAAAAGAATGTACAGCAAAACAAAAAGGGCACAAAGGGTCTCCTTATATGAACCTTTAGAGCCCCACAACTCAATTTTATTTATATTCACCACTGCTGAAGGAGACATATCTCATCTCTGTGGTTGGATGAGATGCTGCCTTCAGGGGGTCTCCTGAATGCATAACCCCAAATCATGACCACCATCTTGCTCATGCTGAGCAAGGATTGCCCGTCTGGAGAGAAAGAACTGTTCAGCACACTGATATGACATGTAGAGGCAGTTGACCCTGAAGCTAATGCCATGAGCCTCTCCCAAGTTCCTTGTAGGGCCTTTATCAATATGTAGGCATGGCTGTATGTTTTCATAAAGTTTACGAAATTAAAGTATATAACACCAATTAGTTAATACTGTCCTGATTTCCCCTCTGTCACATTTCCCTTTGTGTAGGGTGGCATCAGAGTTGGGTTGAAGATATACTTAGCTTGAGTGGAATGAAATGTATTACATGGTTGGCATCACTTTTGTGTAGAGCTGACTGCTAACCACCTGGTTGTATTAATGGATTCCATAAACACTTCTATCATCAACTGCTCACCAGTGAGCTGGGTGACCAAGGGACATCATGTTGGGATGACAGGCATCCTATGATGCTGAGCCTATGTTGAATTCTGATGTTATGTGAATACATCCCACAATGCCCAGCCCTGAAATTAGGAGAATAGTGGAGGAGAAATAAGATTTGAAATGTACAGAGCCAGAAACTAGTCATAGAAGTGTTATCTAAATCTTACAACTCTTACAAGTAAAATCTTGATAAAAGTTTTCCCAAATTTGACAATTGTAAAATTTTACATGACGTTGCAAGCAACAAAATGTGGTATTGAAAAAAATTTCCCTAAACTATCAACAATAAAACACAAATTTTAATAATCATACTAAAGGAAAGTTGAACCATGTTTCTATTATCTCTATACAATATGGTATTACAAAATTGTCATATAAAGAAGCAATCAGAATCTGTACAACTACATTATATATATTAGAATTATATATATTCCACATAATAGAATATATTACATATTCATATATTATCTAATTATATATTACTAAATATAATAGAATTATATTCTTATATATTATATGTAATATATTATATATTTATTATTTATTTTATATTAAATTTTATATTTTATATATTTATTATGTATTACATGTAATATATTACATATTTAATTATATCTAATTATATATTATCATATATAATATAATTGTATTTTTATATATTATATATAATATATATAATTAGATATAAGTAATATATATAGTATACAATATATACAATAGAAATATTTCAGACAATTAATAAAAGCAGCATGTTGTTCTCCTGGATTTTGTGATTTTTGCAATATTTGTCAGCTTTCTTTTCGAATTAGTGATTTGTTATTTATTTATTTTATTTATTTATTATTATTTTTTTGAGATGGAGTTTCTTTCTTGTTGCCCAGGCTGGAGTGCAATGCCGCAATCTTAGCTCACTGTTCACCACAACCTCCGCCTCCCAGGTTCAAGTGATTTTCCTGCCTCAGCCTCCCAAGTAGCTGGGATTACAGTTGCTCACCACCACACCTGTCTAATTTTTTGTATTTTTATTAGAGACAGGGTTTCACTGTGTTGGCCAGGCTGGTCTTGAACTCCTGACCTCAGTCGATCCACCCACCTAAGCCTCCCAAAGTGCTGGGATTACAGGCGTGAGCCACCGAGCCCAGCTGATTTGTTATGATTTCTTACTGTAAAATATATTCACTTTACTATCTAATTTTATAGCCAGAGTTGTGTATTCTTTTTCTTAAAGAAAGCCTCCAATATTATATAAGATTCAAACCCTATATAACCTGGATTTGCCTTTGGTGCCATGTACCTTCTAAGCATTTTTCAGACTTAAAAATTTTACTCCTCAGCTTATAAGGTAGGCCTTGTTTATACTATTTTACAAATAAAGAAGCTGTGACTTTCAGTTATATAGCTTCTAAATGGATCTGAATGAAATATCTGTCTTATGCCAAAGGAAGTGAGCTAGCTCTAGCCCTAATTGTATTTCCCTGTCCCCATAGCTCTATGCTGATTCCAAACTTGAACTTTCTCTGCTTTATTCAGTCTGATTCAAATGGCTTCCACTAAGACCATTCTCTCTACTGTTCCACCCATCTGCCCCCTGAAATACCTCATTATGAACCGATCTGAAAGAACTCACTGTCAGAAAACTTTTCTTCATTTATTTTCCATTATTCTGAAATATGTCCTTGTGGACCCATCTGGCAATTTCTCTTTCTTGTGATATTTACCAAGTTTTATGTAGTGTTTACACTTAATAGAAAGAACCAGGAAAAACATTTCATCTTGCCCAAAAGATCTTTGAAATATTTTTTTAAATTGAAATTCAAAACACACTCCCTCCAGGAAGCCCACCAGATTAATTCCAGGCGGCAAGTCCCCATGCCATCCTCTTCCTTTGTAACTGATTACTAGCTATTCACAGCCACACTGTATGTATTTGCGTATACAGTATTCTCTTTCTTATTAGAAATCAAGATCAGCAATGCTTTAAAATCTTTACTACTTAAACTTAAATGTATGTTTGGATTCCAAAAACTTTGTGGGAACTCAGCAGGATTTTCAGACTACATAATGTAAGGAGGTGAGGTCTGATTTTTTCTTCAGCGCACCTCAGTATCTATCATGTTGCTTTCAAAATGAAAAATAAGCAAGTCCATTTAATGCAAAAACAGAAAACCTCAGTTCTGTGGTGGAACAAAAACTCATCAGTCTCCTGGCCTGGTTTCCCTGAATTCTAATGCATGGCTTTAGCTCTTTCAGTGTGTAACCTCCACAAACAACATGGCTTCTATTTCTCTATCTGTAAAATAAGAATTGTGTTATTTCTTTCCCATTTACTTTACAAAAGTCTCATGGGAACAAGAGTTAAATGATTAATGACTGAAAGCCTTTGCACAAACACAAAATACTGAATAAAAATAATCCCTCATTGCCACAGTGATAGGCACCAATGACCTGATGCTAAATCTTGACTGAGACTGAAGGTAATTCAGATCAACTCTGGGCCCTGTCTACGAATCCAGGCTGCTTTTCTCCTTATGAGGACAATCTGGGCTCATGTACCTTGACTTCCTTCACTGATAGGCCCCCTGCTCATGGCCGTCCCTGCTCAGATCCAACCCCAAGTAATATGAAATCTGGCTTACTGGTTGTAGGGAAGCAACATGTAGGAAATTGTAACATGTGCAATATAAATTTATTCTCTCTTTTTCAGCTTATACCACAATATTATTTAGAAAATTACTTGAGATCAAAGCTCAATATTTCATCTAGTTTAGGCCTTTCCAAAGAGAAGCCCCTGCATAACTCTGTAAAGGGTTTCCAAGTCAAACAAGTTTGCTGTCAGGACTGAAATAACTGGGGTGTTCTTGAGGAGCAAATACATCTCTATTGATGGAAATTTGTCAAGGTTATTTTAAAGGAAACAAGGGATTCGGGCATATTTTTAGTCAATTGTGCTTATTGAACATAATCTTTTTCTGGTCTTCAGGTATAAAACAGCCATGGGGACATCACCCTGGACTTGAATCTGATCCCTGAGTAAATTCAGAAAACTCAAGATGCATAATTACTCTACCAACCCTGATGCCTGTAGTACTATCTTGCCCTAAAACAATTTTCTTTTTATTCTCTCCTCTAAGATAATGAAAGACTAAATGGAGGAGTTCGTCAGAGAAAATAATCACTAAGCTTTGCTGTGTTTCATGGTAACAGAGGACAAAGCAATACAATGTGCTTGAGTTTTGGAATCAGACAGACCTGGGTTTGGAATCCCAATAGTACCAGTTACTAGTTGTAGAATCTTGAGCATGTTATTTAATTTCCCTGAATCCGTTTCCTCACCTATAAAAAAAGACTAAAATTTTAAAGGTAGAGAAATAAAAGCAATGGTTGCTACTGTTACATATTGAAAGAGCTAAAGCCATACATTAACATTTGGGGGTATCAGGCCAGGAGTTTGATGAGTTTATGTTCCATCACAGAAGCAATAGTGATGATTGAATTAGATACTGTATACAAAGTGTCTGGCAGATTGCCTAACTTATAGTACACAATCAATCCATAATAGTTATATTAATCATAATAATGAAAAAAATATATTCCTGGTCTACCAATAAGTCTATTATAGCCAAACAAAAAATAGTTTTTGAGGATATATATGCTGGGCACTATGGGAAAGGGAAGTACAATGACTTAGAGAAAATGAAACCTGCTTTCAAAGATCAGACTGTCAGAGGCATCTGAACATGAGCAACTCTATCTTGAATAGGGGCTGGGTAAATTAAGGCTGAGATCTACTGGGCTGCATTCCCAGGAGGTTAGGTATTCTAAGTCACAGGATGAAACAGGAAGTCAGCACAAGATACAGGTCATAAAGACCTTGCTGATAAAACAGGTTGTGGTAAAGAGGCCAGATAAAACCCACCAAAACCAAGATGGCGATGAGAGTGACCTCTGGTGGTCCTCACTGCTCATTATATGTTAATTATAATGTATTAGCATGCTAAAAGACACTCCCACCAGTGCCATGACAGTTTATAAATGTCATGGCAACATCAGGAAGTTACCCTATATGTTCTAAAAAGGGGAGGAACCTTCAGTTCAGGTAATTGCCCACCCCTTTCCTGGAAAACTCACGAATAATCCACCCTTATTTAGCATATAATCAGGAAATAACCATAAAAGTAGACAGCCAGCAGCCCTCGGGTCTCTTCTGCCTGTGGAGTAGCCATTCTTTATTCCTTCACTTTCTTAATAAAGGTGTTTTCAATTCATGGAATCACCTTGAATCCTTTCTGTGTGAGATTCAAGAACCCTTTATTGGCGTCTGGATCAGGATCCTTTTCCAGTAACACAACCATCTAGTTTCACTTTTTAAAATGTTATTAAAGATCTGTCTTTATGTATTCTCTGACTTTGCCTGAAGTATATACCAATCATACATTTCAATTGCACAGGTTCTTTAATTGTACAGGCTATAGCTGCTATACCACAATATATGCATTCTTCAAAATCATTGCCTACTATAAAAGTTCATGTTAAAAGAGAATGAGGATAAACGTACTCAACTTTGTAACCACAGCACTAACAAAAATGGTAATTATTACCTGAGAGATAACTTGAAAGTTATTCAAGTCCAGGAAAGCAGAACAGTTGGCACTTGCCTCTGGGGATATTTTTAAATGCATAAAAACAATAGTGTGGTCTGCTGGATGCAGTGGCTGATGCCTATACTCCCAGCAATTTGAGAGGCCAAGGCAGGAAGATCACTTGAGGCAAGGAGTTCAAGATCAGCCTGGACAACACAGCCAGACTCTGTCTCTACAAAAAAATTTAAAACAATTATCCAGGCACAATGGTGCATGCCCACAGTCCCAGCTCCTCAGGAGGCTGAAGCAAGAGAATTGCTTGAGCCCAGGTGGTTGAGGCTGCAGTGAGCCATGATCGTGCCACTGCACATGAGCCTGGGTGGCAGAGTGAGATCCTGTCTGTAAAAACAACAATAACCACAAGCAATAGTGTGGGACTTATGCTTCCGGCCAAGATGGAGTAATAGAAATTGGATTTACCTTCTTGCATAAAACACCTAAAAAATCCTGGACATCCTAAGCTAATTAACACGAGAACTGAAAACCAAATACCACATGTTCTCACTTATAAGAGGGAGCTAAACATTGGGTACTCATGGACATAGAGATGGTAACAATAGACACTGGGGACTACTAGTGGGGGAAGGGAGGGAGTAGGGGAAGGGTTGAAAAACTGTCAAGTTTTTACTATGCTCAGTGCTGGATGTCAGGATCATTAGTACCCCAAACCTTAGCATCACACAATATATACCCAGATAACAAACCTGCAGAGGTACCCACTGAATCTAAAATAAAAGTTGAAAAAAAACCCGTCAAAATATCTGGACAAAACCTGGACAAATATATAAAATTAGAGCTCTCAAGATATTGGAAATAAACAATAAAGGACAGTGATCTCTGAGTGAAGGAAACAAATGAGGCAAACTTCAGAATTTCCCAGTTTACTCTTTAAAAAGAGTTTCCGGTCATGACACAGAGAGGACAACACAGGTAGAGCCCAGTGGTCTCCCTGAGGTGAGGAGATGGAGCTGGGAGTCCAGGTAAGCCAATATGGCTAGAGTTCTCAGAGCAGAGAACCAAAGAAGAAAGTGCATGGAGAGTGAGTGTCTGAGATTTGCAGAGGGTCCCCTTCAAGGTTTCCGTTGAGAACTGATGAAGCATGTGAGAGGAAACTACCTGAGACCAGGGAATAAACCATGGCAAATGATAATAGCAAACTACCCCACGTCTCATACAGGGCCAGGAATAGTAGCTATTTTCATCATCCAGAGAGTAAAACCTCATAATTCATGGGGCTGAGGTTAATAATATGAAGGATTTTGACTCAGTAGTGAGAAAAAATTAACCCTAGGGTAAATGTTGCTCTGGTCCTGCCAAACAAAGCGTAAAAGCATGACCCGAAAGTATCCAATTATCTCTCAATAACCTGACCACGCTCCAGAAAAAGTGCAAGAATATTTTTAATAAAACAAAAATATACAGCATCTCTCAAGATAAAAATCACAATGTTGTGCATCTAAAAAAAAAAATGACCAGGCATACAAAGAGTCAGAAAAATCAAACTGACATTGAGGAGAAGAAAATAATTTATCAAAAATACTTTTAAAATGACATAGATTATAGCATTAATAAATAAGAGTAACACAGTTATGATAACACAGTTATGATATTTGAACACATCCCATATGTTCAAAAGTTTAGAGAAAAATTTAACAAATTAAGATACATAAGATGTTTTTAAAAATGAACTTCAACAGATGAAAACTAAAATGTATGAAATGAAAAACACACTGGATGGGATAAACATCTGATTAGACATCACAGAAGGAAAGATAAATGAACTTGGAGACATAGCAATAGAAACTATCCAAAACGAAGCACAGAAGATTAAAAAAAAAAAAGACCAAGAAAAAATAAACAAAGCATCATTGAACCATGGAACAACTTCAAGCAGCCAAATATGTGTGTAATGTGTAATGGGAGTTGCTAAAGGAAAGAAGGCAAGCAGGGAGTTACAAAATATTTGAAGAAATCATAGCTGAAATATTTCCGAATCTGAAAAAAAACTATAAACTCATAAATCCAAAAAATTCAATAGACTCCAAGCACAAGAAAGAAAACATGAGAACGTGGGGATACACCATAATCAAACTGCTTAAAACTAGTGATAAAAGGAAAATCTTAGAAGAAACCTGAGAAAAATGACACTTCACATAAAGAGAAACAATAATAAAGATGACTTAGATTTCCTGTCACATACTATGCAAGCAAGAAGATAGTGTAGCAATATATTTAAAGCACTCAAAGAAAGGCCAGCATTGGCTGGGTGCAGTGGCTCAATCCTTTAATCCCAGCACTTTGGGAGCCCAAGGTGGGTGGATCATCTGAGGTCAGGAGTTCAAAACCAGCCTGGCCAACATGGTGAAACCCTGTCCTACTAAAAATACAAAAATTAGCCAGGTGTGGTGGTGCATGCCTGTAATCCCAGCTACTTGGGAGGCTAAGGCAGGAAAATCACTTGAACCTAGGAGGCAGAGGTTGCAGT
Organism: Homo sapiens; assembly: GCF_000001405.40. NCBI lineage: Eukaryota > Metazoa > Chordata > Mammalia > Primates > Hominidae > Homo > Homo sapiens. The sequence goes on along the minus strand of NC_000001.11, from coordinate 119,188,563 downwards.
GAGCCGAGGTCACGCCATTGCACGCCAGCCTGGCAACAAGAGCAAAACTCCATCTAAAAAAAAAAAAAAAGAAAGAAAGGCCAGCATTATCCTGATACCAAAGCCAGACAAGAGCACTGCTGTAAGAAAAGAAAATTACAGGCCAATATCCCTGATGAACAAACATGCAAAAATCCTCAACAAAATACTAACAAACAAAATTCAACAGCATATTAAAAGGATAATTCACTATAACCAAGTGAGATTTATCACTGGGATGCAAGGATGGTTCAACATATGTAAATCAATAAATGTAATACACAACTTTAACAGAATAAAAGACAAACCCATATGATAATCTCAATAGATGCAGAAAAGATACTGAACAAAATTCAACATCCTTTCATAATAAAAACTTTCCACAAATTATTTATAAAAGGAATGTACCTTAACATAATAAAGGTCACATATGACAGGCCCATAGCTAACATCATATTGATGAAAGTCCATAGCTTTCATCAACAGTGAAAAGATGAAAGCTTTTCCTCTAAGATCAAGAACAATACAAGGGCCAGACGCAATGGCTCACACCTGTAATCTCAGCACTTTGGGAGGCAGAGGCAGGTGGATCACTTGAGGTCAGGAGTTTGAGACCAGCCTGGCCAACATGGTGAAACCCTGTCTCTACCAAAAAGTACAAAAATTATCAGGGCATGGTGGCACATGCCTGTAGTCCCAGCTACTCGAAAGGCTGAGGTGGAAGGATTGCTTGAATCCAGGAGGCAGAGGTTGCAATGAGCTAAGATCGCAATGCTGCATTCCAGCCTGAGTGACAAAGTGAGACCCTGACTGGAAAAAAAAAATAATAAAAAATAAATAAAAAGGAAAAGAGAAAAAAAAGAACAATACAAGGAAGCTCACTGTCACCGATCCTGTTCAACATAGTACTGGAAGTCCTAGCCAAAACAATTAGCCAAGAGAGAGACATGAAAGGCACACAAAGGGCCCAAAACTATAAAACTATTATACTAGGAGAAAACAGAGGAAATGCTTTAGGACATTGGTGTAGGCAAAGATTTTATGGGCAACACTTCAAAAGCATAGGCCACTAAAACAAAACAGATAAATAGGACTATATCAAACTAAAAAGCTTCTGCACAAGAAAGGAAATAGCAGAGTGAAGAGACAATGTATACAATGAAAAAAAAATATTTGCAAACTATTTATGTGACAAGGGACTAATATCCATAACATATAAGAAACTGAAACAACTCAAGAGCAAAAAAAAATCCCAAAAATCCCATTAAAAAGTAGATAAAGGATCTGAATAGACATTTCTCAAAAGAAGATATACAAATTACCAACACATATATAAAGAAATTCTCAACACCAGTAATCATCAGAGAAACGCAAATCAAAACTGGAATGAGATATCATCCTACTCCAGTTAAAATGGCTATGATAAAAAAAATTTTAAAATAACAAATATTGGAAAGGATGTGGAGAAAATGGAACTTTTATATACTCTTGGTGGAAATGTAAATTTGTAGAATCATTATGAAAAAACAGTATGGAGGTTTTTCAAAAAAATAAAATTACAGCTATCATATGATCCAGCAATGCCACTGAATATTTATTCAAATGAAAGGAAATCAGTATATTGAAGAGATAATCTGCATGCCCATGTTTATTGTTATTACAACAGCAAAGATATGGAGTCAAACCAAATGTCCATAAATGAATGAATGGATTTTTAAAATGTGATACGTACGTACAGTGGAATACTATTCAGCTGTAAAAAAGAATGAAATCTTGTCATTTGTGGGAACATGAATAAGCCTGGATGATATCATGTTAAGTGAAATAAGTCAGGCATAATAAGATAAACACCACATGTTCTTACTCATATGTGGGAGCTAAAAAAAAAGGTTGAGCTCATAGAAGTAGAGAGTAAAACTGTAGTTATTAGAGGCTGGGTAGGGCATGGGGGAGGGGAGGATAGAGAGGTAGGTTAATGAATACTAAATTACAGCTAGATAGGGTAACACTAGATAAATTCTAGTTTTATATAGTACTGTAGGGTGATTAGAGTTAACAATTTATTGTATATTTTCAAAAAGCTAGAAGAAAGGATTTTGAAGGTTTCTAACAAAGAAATAATAAGTGTTTGAGGTGATGGATATGCTAATTACTCTAATTTGATCATTACACAGATGTATCAAAATATCACTCTGTATCCCATAAATATCTACAATTATTACACGTCAACCAAAAACAAAAGGAAAGGAAAATAAAAAGACACAAATATTTTCCTTAAAAAAAAAAAGGCCCTCAAATTGGAAAGGAAGAAGTTAAACTGTCTCTGTTTGCAGATGACATGAAAACTCTAAAGACTCTACCAAAAATGTTGGCACTAATAAAAAATTTCAGCAAAGTTGCAGGATACAAAATCAATAACAATAAAAAAATGTAGCATTTCCATGTTCTAACAATGAACTATCTGAAAAAGAAATCAAGAAAACAATCCCAACTACAATAGTCACCAAAAAAAAAAAAAAAAAAAAATGTGTAGGAATAACATTGATGACAAAGATTGAAGAAGGCAAAAACATTTTGTGTTCATGGTTTAGGAAAATATTGTTAAAATGTCCATACTACCCAAGGTGATCTACAGATTGAATGCAATCCTTGCCAAATTACAATGACATTTTTCACAGAAATATAAAAACAATCCTAAAATTTGCTTGGAACCACAAAAGACCCTGATAGCCAAAGCAGTCCTGATAAAAAAGAACAAAGCTTCAGGTATCACATTACCTGATTTCAAAATCTACTACAAATCTCTAGTAATCAAAACAGCATGGTACTGACATAATAACAGACACACCAATGGAATAGAATAGAGAGCTCAGAAATAAATCCATACATTTACGGTCACTTAATTTTCGACAAAGGTGCTAAGAACAAACAATGGGGAAGGCACAGTCTCTTCAATAAATGCTGCTGGGACAACCGGCTATCTACTGACAGAATAATTACATTAGACCTTCATACATTAGAAAAAATGGTTAATATCTAAAATATATAAGGAACTCAAATAACTCTAAAAAGAAAACAAATAATTGGGTTGAAAAATGGCAAAAGTTAATGATCATGCCTTTGAAGAAAACAATGAAAGTAAATAAAAAGAAAAAAAAATGGGCAAGGGACCTGAATGGATATTTCTCCAAAGAAGACATATCTTAAAAGAAATAGATATTTCTTAAAAGAAGGCAAACAGGTATATTGAAAAATGCTCAACATCACTAATCATTAGGAAAATGCAAATTAAAACCACAGTGAGCTATCATGTCACACTTGTCAGGATGACCATTATTAAAAGACAAAAGATAAGTGTTGGTGAGAATGTGGAGAAAATATAACCCTTGTATGTTCCCGGTGGAGATATAAATTATTGCAGCCATTATGAAAAACTGTATGGAAATTCTTCAAAAAACTAAAAATAGAATTACCATATGATCCAGCAATCCCACTTCTGGGTATTAACCCAAAAGATCTGAAATCTTATGTTGAAGAGATGTCTGCACTCCCATGTTCATTGCAGCATTATTCACTTGGCAGTTATGGAACCAACCTAAGTTTCCACTGATAGATTAATGGACAGAGAAAATGTAGTATATGTACACAATAGAACACTAAAAGGAAATGCTGGCCAGATGCAGGGGCTCACATCTGTAATCCCAGCACTTTGAGAAGCTGAGGGGGGAGGATCACTTGAGCCCAGGAGTTTGAGACCAGCATGGCAACATAGTGGGACCCCCAGCTCTACAAAAAATAAAAAAATTGGCCAGGTGTGGTGGCAACCATCTGTAGTCCCAGCTACTCAGGAGGCTGAGGCAGAAGGACAGTTGAGCTTGGGAGGTCAAGGCTGCAGTGAGCTGTGATCATGTCACTGCACTCCAGCCAGGGCAAAGGAACAAGAAGACCCTGTCTCAAAAAATAACATAACATACATAACATAACATAACATAACAAACATAACATAACATAACATGACATAACATAACAAACATATAAATAAAATAAAATAAAATAAAATAAAATAAAATAAAATAAAATAAAATAATGGAAACTAAAAAGAAAGAGATTTTGTCATCTGCAACAACATGGATGGAACTGGAGAACACTGTGCTAAGTGGAATAAGCCAGACACACAAAGACAAATACCATAGGTTCTCACTTATATGTGGAATCTAAAGCAATCAAATTTATAGACGCAGAGAGTAGAATGATGGCTACCAGAGGCTAGGGGTTTGGGTGAATGGGAGATGACTGTCAAAAGGTACAAAGCCTCAGTTGAACAGGAGGAATAAGTGTTTGTTTTTTGAAATCTATTACATCAGCATGACGTATATAGTTAATTCTAGTGTACTGTGCAATTCAAAATCACTAAAACAGTAAACTTCAAATGTTTCATGACAAAAAAATAAGTATTTAAAGTGATGGATGTCAATTTTATTGATTTAATATCAACCTAGATTTAATTATTCCACATTGTATTAATAAACCAAAACATTGCTTTGTACCCCATAAATATATACAACTATAATTTGTCAATTTACAAAAAAAAAAAATTAACTAGACCCTCATCTCACACTTTGTAAAAAAGTCAACTCAAAATGGATTAAAGACTTAAACATAAGACCTGAAACTATAAACTTACCAGAAGAAAACCTAGAAAAAAACTCCATTATATTGGTCTTGGCAATGATATTTTTTAATATGACCCAAATCACTTCTCAGCCTTTTGGCTAAGATCAATTATGGGTATGTCCCCAAATGACAAGCAACAAAAGCAAAATTGGACAACTGGGATTACATCAAACTACAAAGCTTCTGCATAACTACAAAAATAATGAACAGAGTAAGGAGACAACCTGCAGAATGAGAAAATATATTTGCAAACCAAACATCTGACAAGGGGTTAATATCCAAAATATATAAGGAATTGAAACAACTCAATAGTAAGAAAGCAAATAACCTAATTAAAAACTGGTCAGACGACTTGAATAGAATTTCTCAAATGAAGACATACAAATGGCTAGTAGGTATATGAAAAAAATATTCAACATCACAAATCATCAGGGAAATGCAAATTAAAACCACAATGAGATATCACTTCATGCCTATTAGAATGACTACTATCAAAAACACAGAAGATAAGATGTGTTGGCAAGGACGTGCAAAAAATGGAACCCTTATTCACTGTTGGTGGGAGTGTAAATTAGTACAGTCCTTATGAAAAACAGAATGAAGGGCAACCCCCTTTGTGTCCCCTCCCATTTTATGGGAGCTCTGTTTTCACTCTATTAAATCTTGCAACTGCACACTCTTCTGGTCTGTGTTTTTTATGGCTCGAGCTGAGCTTTCACTCGCCGTCCACCACTGTTTGCCGTCATTGCAGACCCGCAGCTGACTTCCAACCCTCTGGATCTGGCAGGGGTGGATCTGCTGCACTTGTGATCCAGCGAGGCAGTGTCCATTGCTGCTCCCAATCGGGCTAGAGGCTTGCCATTGTTCCTGCGCGGGCTAAGTGCCTGGGGTTCATCCTAATTGGGCTGAATAGAGCTATAACACTCAATGCATGGCCCAAGATTCCATTCCTTAGTATCCGTGAGGCCAGGAACCCCAGGTCAGAGAACAAGAGGCTTGCCGCCATCATGGAAGCGGCCCACCATCATCTTTGGAGCTCTAAGAACAAGGACTCCCTGGTAACATTTTGGCAATCATGAAGGGACCTCCAAAGCGCTTTCGCTTGCTATTCTGTTCTACCCTTCCTTAGAATTGGAGGAAAATACCAGGCACCTGTCGGACGGTTAAAAACGATAGGGCGGCCACCAGACTTAAGACTCAAGTGTGAGGCTGTCTGGGGAATGGCTTTCTAACAACCCCCAACGCTTCTGGGTTGGAAGCGCTGGTCTACCTGGAACCAGCTTCCACTTTCAATTTCCCTGGGGAAGCCGGGGGCCGACTAGAGGCAGAAAGCTGTCATCCCAAACTCTCGGCATTAGCCGGTTGAGATCATGGCGCAGCCAGAAGTCCCTACTCAACAGTCACCCGTGCGTGTGCCTCTACCTTTCCTTCTGACCCATACCTCCTGGGTCCTGACCACAACTTTCTTGAAAGTGTAGCCCCAAAATTCTCCTTACCTCTGAATCTACTTCCTCTGATCCCTGCCTCCTAGATACTAATGCTTCAGACTTTCACTTCCTCTCCCAAGTATTAGTATCTCCAAAGGGATCTAAGGAAGCTCTATGCTGCGACCTTAGGCCCCTAGGCTATGAACCCAGGAGTCTTGTCCCTGGTGTCCCTCCCAATTTAGGCTTAGAGCTCTCGACATGGGCAGTTATGTGGGACCTGTTCCACACCACCCTTGCCAGGGCCTTAGAACTGATAACCCAGTATTGTAACAACTGGAACTGGGTCTACAACAACATAATAGATCAGGATAAAAGCAAATTGAGTAAATAAAAGGGAGGCGCATAGTCCTATAGTGGCAAATGGGGGCAATGAGCGAACATCCTTCCACTGGGTTTCCAAAATCCATCTACAAAGACAGAAAGGAGAAAGAAAGAGAGAAAGAGAAAGATAGAAGTAGTAAAGAAAAAAGTGTACCCTATTTCTTTAAAAGCCAGGGTAAATTTAAAACCTATAATTGATAATTGAAGGTCTTCTCTGTGACCCCATAACACTCCAATACCATTTTGTTGTCAGTGTAAACAAAGGCCTAGCCCGAAAGCACTGAAGCCACTGACAACCAGTAGCCTTTCTATCAAAAATCCTTAACCCAGGAACCCGTGGATGGCCCAAATGCATTCAATCTGTAGCAGCAACTGCTTTGCTAACAGAAGAAAGCAGAAAAATAACCTTTAGAGGAAACCTCATTGTGAGCACACCTCACCAGTTCAGAACTATCCTAAGTCAAAAAGCAAAAAGGGAGCTTACTAACTCAAAAATCTTAAAGTATGGGGCTATTCTGCTAGAAAAAGGTGATTTAACATTAACCACAGCAAATTACATTAACCTAGCAGATTTCCTAACAGGGGATTTAAATCCTCATTACCATACAAAGGTCTGACCAGATCCAGCAGAAACTACCTTCAAGGCAGGATGATAGATGGTTCCTCCCGGGTGACTGAGGGAAAAAAAAAAAACACAATGGGTATGCAGTAATTGATAGGGAGACTCTTGCGGAAGCAGAGTTAGGAAAATTGCCTAATAATTGGTCTGCTCAAACATGGGAGCTGTTTGCACTCGGCCAACCCTTAAAGTACTTACAGAATCAAAAAGCCCAGTGTAGACCCTCACTGGGACGCAGAATACATGGAGATTGGTGCCACAGACATTTACTAACTTGCATGCTAGAAGGACTAAGGAAAAGTAGGAAGAAGCCTATACATTATTCAATGGTGTCCACTATCACACAGGGAAAGGAAGAAAATCCTACTGCCTTTCTGGAGAGACTAAGGGAGGCATTGAGGAAGCATACCACTCTGTCACCGGACTCTATTGAAGGCCAACTAATCTTAAAGGATAAGTTTATCACTCAGTTAGCTGCAGACATTAGAAAAAACATCAAAAGTCCACCTTAGGCCCGGAGCAAAACTTAGGAACCCTATTGATTTCACAACCTCGGTTTTTTATAATAGAGATCAGGAGGAGCAGGAGGAAGGGGACAAATGAGATAAGAAAAAGGCCACCGCTTTAGTCATGGCCCTTAGGCAAGCAGACATTGGAGGCTTTGGAACACGGAAAGTCTGGGCAAATTGAATGCCTAATAGGACTTGCTTCCAGTGTGGTCTACAAGGACACTTTTAAAAAGATTGTCAGAATAGAAGTAAGCCGCCTCCTCATCCGTGCCCCTTATGTCAAGGGACTCAATGGAAGGCCGCTGCCCCAGGGGACAAAGGTCCTCTGAGTCAGAAGCCACTAACCCGATGATCCAGCAGCAGGACTGAGGGTGCCCAGGGCAAGTGCCAGCCCATGCCATCACCCTCACAGAGCCCCAGGTATGCTTGATCATTGAGGGCCAGGAGATTAACTGTCTCCTGGACATTGACGTGGCCTTCTCAGTCTTACTCTCCTGTCCCAGACAACCGTCCTCCAGATCTGTCACTATCCGAGGGGTCCTAATGTGTCTGGTTGGTGGGTTCTTGGTCTCACTGACTTCAAGAATGAAGCCGCAGACCCTCGCGGTGAGTGTTACAGTTCTTAAAGGCAGCGTGTCCAGAGTTTGTTCCTTCTGATGTTTGGATGTGTTTGGAGTTTCTTCCTTCTGGTGGGGTTCATGGTCTCGCTGGCTCAGGAGTGAAGCTGCGGACCTTTGCGGTGAGTGTTACAGCTCTTAAGGCAGTGCATCTGGAGGTGTTTGTTCCTCCCGGTGGGTTTGTGGTCTTGCTGGCTTCAGGAGTAAAGCTGCAGACCTTCGCCGTGAGTGTTACAGCTCATAAAGGCAGTGTGGACCCAAAGAGTGAGCAGCAGCAAGACTTACTGCAAAGAGCAAAAGAACAAAGCTTCCACAGTGTGGAAGGGGACCCAAGCGGGTTGCCACTGCTGGCTGGGGCAGCCTGCTTTTATTCTCTTATCTGGCCCCACCCACATCCTGCTGATTGGTCCATTTTACAGAGAGCCGAGTGGTCTGTTTTGACAGGGCACTGATTGGTGCGTTTACAATCCCTGAGCTAGACACAAAGGTTCTCCACGTCCCCACTAGAGTAGCTAGATACACAGTGTCAATTGGTGTATTCACAAACCCTGAGCTAGACACAGGGTGCTGATTGGTGTGTTTACAAACCTTGAGCTAGATACAGAATGCCGATTGGTGTATTTACAATCCCCTAGCTAGATACAAAGGTTCTCCAAGTCCCCACCAGAGTAGCTGGATACATAGTGTCAATTGTTACATTCACAAACCCTGAGCTAGACACAGGGTGCTGATTGGTGTGTTTACAAACCTTGAGCTAGATACAGAGTGCCTATTGGTGTATTTACAATCCCTTAGCTAGACATAAAGGTTCTCCAACTCCCCACCAGAGTCAGGAGCCCAGCTGGCTTCACCCAGTGGATCCTGCACCAGGGCCGCAGGTGGAGCTGCCTGTCAGTCCCACGCTGTGTAACCGCACTCCTCAGCCCTTGGGTGGTCGATGGGACTGGGCGCCATGGAGCAGAGGGTGGTGCTCGTCGGGGGGGCTCGGGCCACACAGAAGCCCACAGAGGCGAGGGAGGCTCAGGCATGGTGGGCTGCAGGTCCCAAGCCCTGCCCCACGGGGAGGCAGCTAAGGCCCGGCGAGAAGTAGAGCACAGCAGCTGCTGGCACAGGTGCTAAGCCCCTCACTGCCCGGGGCAGGCGGGGCCAGCTGGCTGCTCTGAGTGCGGGGACCCGCCGAGCCCACGCCCACCCGGAACTCTCACTGGCCAGCAAGCGCCATGCGCAGCCCTGGTTCCCGCCCATGCCTCTCCCTCCACACCTCCCTGCAAGCTGAGGGAGCCAGCTCCAGCCTTGGCCAGCCCAGAAAGGGGCTCCCACAGTGCAGCGGTGGGCTGAAGAGCTCCTCAAGTGCTGCCAAAGTGGGAGCCAGGCAGAGGAGGCACCAAGAGCAAGCGAGGGTTGCGAGGGCTGCCAGCACGCTGTCACCTCTCAATCCCCCCTCTAAACAGGACACCCCAACTGCTGTTGGGAATTTGGCTGATGACCGCTCTAGCTACTTCCTGCTGGATAGGGGCAAAGAAGGGGCCCTGCAGTTGTAGTGTCTTTCAGAGGGGAACTCTCTAGGCCAGGGGAAGTGCCAGCACGTCGGTCCAGGGGTCCTCAGTAGAAGTTGTAAGTTGAACTCAATTGGTGTTCCATTTGTAAGAACATCTGTCGCTTGATGGCCTTGATTCTAGAGGAAACAAATTTGACAACCGGGTTAAAAATACAGGGTCCAAACGCAAATAACAGCAAGATGGCTGTCACGGGACCTAGAAAGGGGAGAAGCCATGTTGCCCAACTCCAGAGGTTGGTGTAAGAGTTTGAAAGGCATTGTCTGATTTCAGAAGTCTTTTCCTGTAAACGCTGGGCGGCATCTTGTACTATCCCCAACTGGTTAGTGTACAAACAGCACTCTTCCCCCAAGAAGGTGCAGAGTCCTCCTTTCTCAGCAGTGAGGAGGTCTAGGCCTTGGCAGTTTTGGAGAGTCACTGCTGCCAAATAGTCTATTTGGGATTGTAAAGTAAGAACAGATTTCGTTATTTCTTGCAAACTGTCTGAGAAATCCTTTGAGAGAGTGTGGTAGTAGGATAATGAAGTAGATAAACCGGCTATTCTGGTTCCTGTAGCAGTAGCCATTCCTAACCCTATAAGTAGGGGTATTAGTTGTATGGCTCTGCACTGATGGACTTGAGCTTTGAGGGGTACTGATAAGGTCTGATTTCCTGGGGCAATGTTAATGTTGGGACTTAGAAAGACTAAGGTGCAGGTGCCCGTCCAGTTAGTGGGGAGGCAGATATAGGTTGATGTTCCACCTAAGAAAAACATGCCTTGGCTGGGTAGACAGAAATTTACTCTGGCTTTTAAAGGAATGGGATACACTGTTTTTTCCTTACTACTTCCATCTCTCTTTCTCTTTGACTTCTTCTTTGTCTCTTCCTCTCTTTCTGACTCTCTGACTTTCTGTGTCTGTCCCTCTTTCTCTCTGACTCCTTCTCTTTGTCTCTTTCTCTTTGACTCTCTGTTTCTTCCTCTCTCTGTCTCTTTCTCTGTCTCTTTGACTTCCTGTCTCTTTCTCTCTTTCCTTTCTGCCTCTGCCAGCTGCTTATGCTGCTGTTCTCCCCTCTCCTTCCCATTTTGATGGCTTTGGCAGTATAAGACTCCCACCTCTTTGGGTTTTTGCATTGCGTGCAATAACTCTATAATTTCCTTGTGGTATTTAATGGGGGTTCCCCCAGAGGTTAGGAACTCCCTCTCTTTCCATATTGCAGCATGGGCATGTAGGATTAGATAAGAATACTTGCTATCTGTATACACATTTATTCTTTTTCCCTTTCCCAGTTCTAAGGCTCGGGTAAGTGCCACTAGTTCCGCTAACTGGGCACTGGTCCCTGGGGAAGAGGCTTACTTTCAAGTATGGTTACATCACTAACTATGGCATAACCTGCCCTTTGTATCCCATTCTCCACAAATGAACTTCCATCGGTATATAGGTTAAGGTCAGAATTACTTAAGGGGACTTCTAAGAGATCATCTCGGGTGGCGTAAGTCTGGACTATAATTTGTTGGCAGTCATGCTCGATTGGTTCCCCATCCTCTGGGAGAAAAGTGGCAGGGTTGAGGGCCATGCACGTGTGTATTTGAAGCACCGGTCCCTCGAGGAGTAGCACCTGGTATCTAAGTAGGCGGTTGTCTGATAGCCATAAACTTCCTTTGGCACCTAGTATGCCATTTACATCATGAGTAGTCCAGACAGTGAGATCCTTTCCTTGTATTATTTTGATAGCCTCTGAAACTAAGACGGCCATTGCTGCAACTACCCTTAAACAGTGAGGCCAGCCTTTTTCTACTATATCAATTTCCTTACTTAGGTACGCCATTGGTTGTGGGGTTGTCCCACGAGTCTCAGTAAGGACTCCAGGGGCTATCCTGGCTCTCTCTGTGATGTATAAAGAGAAGTTTTGTCCTGTGGGAAGGCTTAAAGCTGGAGCTTGTACTAGGGCCTGCTTTAAGGTTTTGAAGGCTGTTTCTGCCTCTGGTTCCCATTCTACTAGATGAGTATTTGCCCTCTGGGTTTCCTTAATTAGAGTATAGAGGGGCCTGGCTATCTCTCTGTATCTGGGGATCCATAGTCAGCAAAAGCCAGTAATTCCAAGGAACCCCCGCAACTGTTTTAATGTCTTAGGGCGAGGATGAGCCAGTATAGGCTGTATTCGTTCCTTGCTGAGGGCCCTGGTCCCTCTGGCTAAGATTAGGCCTAGATATTTGACCTGCTGTAGGCAAAGCTGGGCCTTCGACCTAGACACCTTGTACCCTTGATGAGCTAGAAAGTTCAAGAGATCTGGAGTAACCTGCTGGCACGAGGCTTCTGAACAGGTAGCCAAAAGTAAATCATCCACATATTGAAGGACCAGAGTGCCTGGACTTGAGAAGTGGCCTAGATCTTGGCCAGTGCCTAACCAAACAGATGAGGGCTATCCCTAAACCCTTGGGGCAAGACCGTCCACATAAGTTGGGGAGTGTGGTCTGTGGGATCCTCAAAGGCAAAGAGAAACTGGGAGTCAGAGTGCAGGGGAATACAGAAGATGGCATCCTTGAGGTCCAGAACTATGAACCATTCTGCTTCCTCTGGTATTTGAGGGAGCAGGGTATAGGGGTTGGGTACAACTGGATATAGAGGAATTACTGCCTCATTAATGAGTCTAAGATCTTGCACTACTCCCCACTGACCATTCGGTTTTTGTACTCCTAGAATTGGGGTGTTGCAGGAACTGCTGCATTTCCTTACTAGGCCTTGAGCTTTCAAATGTTTAACAATATTCTTTAATCCTTTATGAGCTTCAGGCCTTAAGGGATATTGCCTTTGATAAGGAATAAGTGGTGGGATCTTTTAACCTGATTTGGACTGGGAGGGCATTTTTTGCCCTTCCAAATTGTCCTTCCAATGCCCAGACTTCAGGGTTGATTCCCTCCTCAAGTAGGGGACAACAAATGGGTACCTTGTTCCCCATATTCATGTAGATAATAGCTCCAGCCTTGGCTAATATATCCCTCCCTAATAAGGGTGTGCGACTTTCAGGCATAACAAGAAAGGCAAGTGAAAAAAACAAAGTCTCCCAAGTACAACTGAGGAGGTGGGAGAAATACCTGGTTACAGGCTGTCCTGGGATTCCTCAGATGGTAATGGACCTTGAGAACAGTCATCCAGGACAGTAGATTAACACTGAGAAGTCCGTGCCAGTGTCCAGGAGGAAGTCAATTTCCTGGCCCTCAATAGTTAAACATACCTGGGGCTCACTGAGGGTGATGACATGAGCCGGCGCTTGCCCCGGGCACCCTCAGTCCTGTTGTTGGATCATCTAGTTGGGGGCTTCTGACCCAGGGAACCTTTGTCCTCTGAGGCAGTGCACCTTCCAGTGATTGCCTCGGCATAGTGGACATGGATGAGGGGGCAGCTTGTTTCTCATTGGACAATCTTTTTTAAAGTGTCCTAGTAAACCACACTGATAACAAGCCCTACCAGGTGATTGGCCTGCTCCATTTTCTGTCCTCTCTGAACCACCAAGGTTTGTCTGTCCGAGGGCAATGACTAAGGCTGCGGCCTTTCTCTGATCTTGCTTTTCCTTTTGGGCCTGTTCCTCTTGGTCCGTATTATAGAACACCGAGGTTGCCAGGTTTAAAAATGTCTCTAGATTTTGTCCAGGGCCCAGGGCTTGCTTTTGGAGCTTTCTCCTGATGCCTGCAGCTGACTGGGTAATAAACTTATCTTTTAGAATCAATTGACCCTCGAGTGATTTGGGTGACAGGGGAGTATATTTTCTTAAGGCCTCCCGTAGCCGCTCGAGGAAGGCAGAAGGATTTTCTTCCTTTCCCTGAGATATGGTGGACATCACTGAATAATTCATGGGCTTTTCTCTAATTCTCCTTAGTCCTTCTAGAACACAGGTCAACATATGTTTATGACTCCAGCCCCCATGATCTGAGTCAAGGTCCCAGTGGGGATCCATACTGGGGATGGCTTGCTGACCGGTAGGGAATTTGTCCCTTTCTTCAGCTGTCATTCTATCATTTACTTGACTAAGATACCAGGTATCTCCAAACTCTCAGGCTGCAGCTAAAGCCACATTCTTTTTCATTAAAGGCCAGGGTTTGATCTAACAGTAGCATGACATCTCTCCAAGTGAGGTCAAAGGTTTGCCCTGGACCCTGTAGGACATCTATGTACCTATCAGGATCATCTGAAAACTTCCCCAGGTCTGCCTTGATTGGCTTTAAATCACAGAGGGAGAAGGGGACATGTACCCGGGTTGGGCCAAATTCCTCTCACCCTACAGCTTGAAGGGGACATAACCGATAGCCCGGGGGCTTTTGTGGACCTTTGGAGATTTCTTTGCTTATTTCCTTCTGGGCAGGGGAGATTAGAGGAGGATTATCATTAATAGGAAGGGGAGCTATAGGGAGGCTAGGATATGGGGGCAAGCTGAGGTCCTCCTGTGGGATGTAAATTGTAAGCTTTCCATAGTTGTGTATTCTCCCTCAATGAAAAGAAAGCTCGGACATAAGGTATTTCACTCCATTTGCCTTCCCTCTTACAGAAAAGGTCAAGCTGCAGGGTAGTATTGTAATTTGTACTTCCCTCAGGTGGCCATTTTTCCCCATCAGAAGGAGAATATTGGGGCCAAGCCGTAGTGCAGAAAAAAATGAGCCACCTCTTTTTCAGGGTTTTTGGGTCAAATTGGTCCCAGTGGCTTAGGATGCATTTCAAGGGTGAGCCTGCTGATGCCTGAGTGTTTCCCATCTGAAAGACAAAACCGCCTGCGGTTTTGGTTTGTTTCTCCCCCTGCCCAAGAACCCACAACGGTCCCTGGACCCTGCTGATCGGAATAGCTGCACTCACTGATGCAGCAGCAGAAACAACCCCTGCCCAAGAACCCGCAACGGTCCCTGGACCCTGCTGATCAGAATAGTTGCGCTCACTGACGCAGCAGCAGAAACACTAGTTTTCCTCCCAGACCACATGGAGGACCGAGGAAGGTTGGATTTAGTGGCCCTTACTGATGAATTCTCAAAAACCTGCACCCTTGCCTGTCCTCCTAGACCACAAGGAGGACCGACCGAGAAAAATCGGATTTAGTGGCTCTTACCGACGCATTCTCAAAAACCTGTTAGAGTCCTAAGCATTCTCCTGTTAGTAATGGGACTATACCCCTGTCCTATAAAGATGTTATGCCCCAAAAATGAAGTGGAGGGCCATACCCTGAGGGAGGGAAGGGATCTCCAGGGTTGGAAGAGTGACACCTTTTGTCCTCACTTATATGAATAGGAAGGATACAATTTCTAAGGCTCCCCATATCCTAGCTTCAGGAACAGCTTTTGTTAGGCCTGTTAGTCTGAGAAGGGATCCTAAAATTCCAGGTAGTCCCCACTACGATGGGGCTTTGGGCAAAAATTATGTCTTTCTGATTGGTGAGCCCGGGTGCCTAAAGAAGGTAACAGAGTCTTGGAGTTAATACTAGAAATCATTCTTACAGGAGAAACTAGAAAAGCACCAGAGACAGGCAGCAATTTTTAGAAGTGGGACTAACCTCGGAGAAGAGAGGTGAGAGGAAGTTTGTCTGGCAGGCATTAGGACCCAGGAGGCAAGGGTCAGGATAGATAGGATAGATGGGTGAGTCTCGCTTGGGCGACATGCCTTTGAGAGTTCCGCTCATGGCCACAGGGTCAACCAACTTGTTGGGACCCGGGAGCTGCACGGCTTTCCTCTCTGTTGACCCTCGGCTCAGCCCAGAAGTACAGGAAAAGCGGAAGCTGGTTCTAGGCAAACCAATGGTCCCAACTCCGAAGAGTTGGGGGTTGTTAGAGAGCCCTTTCCCAGAAAGCCGGACACCAGTGTCTTTAGTCTGGCAGCCACACTAGTCGCTTTTAACTGGCCGACAGGTGCCCAGTATTTAGCCCCCGAATTCTAAGGAAAAATACAACAGAGTAGCAAGCGAAAGGGGTCCGATGGTACTCACTGCTTGGCGATAGGTGACAGTCTCACCGCTCAGCGATAGGCGTTGGTGTCACCACTCGGCGATAGTCTCACTGCTTGGCGATAAGCAAAAGTCCCATCTGGGTCGCCAAAATGTGTCCAGAATTGGTGGGTTCTTGGTCTCACTGACTTCAAGAATGAAGCTGCGGACCCTCACGGTGAGTGTTACAGTTCTTAAAGGTGGTGTGTCCGGAGTTTGTTCCTTCTGATGTTTGGATGTGTTTGGAGTTTCTTCCTTCTGGTGGGGTTCGTGGTCTCGCTGGCTCAGGAGTGAAGCTGCGGACCTTTGCGGTGAGTGTTACAGCTCTTAAGGCGGCGCATCGGGAGTTGTTCATTCCTCCCGGTGGGTTCGTGGTCTTGCTGGCTTCAGGAGTGAAGCTGCAGACTTTTGCGGTGAGTGTTACAGCTCATAAAGGCAGTGTGGACCCAAAGAGTGAGCAGCAGCAAGACTTATTGCAAAGAGCGAAAGAACAAAGCTTCCACAGTGTGGAAGGGGACCCAAGTGGGTTGCCACTGCTGGCTGGGGCAGCCTGCTTTTATTCTATCTGGCCCCACCCACATCCTGCTGATTGGTCCATTTTACAGAGAGCTGAGTGGTCTGTTTTGACAGAGCACTGATTGGTGCGTTTACAATCCCTGAGCTAGACACAAAGGTTCTCCACGTCCCCACTGGAGTAGCTAGATACAGAGTGTCGATTGGTGCATTCACAAACCCTGAGCTAGACACAGGGTGCTGATTGGTGTGTTTACAAACCTTGAGCTAGATACAGAGTGCCGATTGGTGTATTTACAATCCCTTAGCTAGACATAAAGGTTCTCCTGGTCCCCACCAGAGTCAGGAGCCCAGCTGGCTTCACCCAGTGGATCCCGCACCGGGGCCGCAGGTGGAGCTGCCTGCCAGTCCCATGCCGTGCGCCCGCACTCCTCAGCCCTTGGGTGGTCGATGGGACTGGGTGCCGTGGAGCAGGGGGCGGCGCTCGTCAGGGAGGCTTGGGCCGCGCAGGAGACCATGGAGGCGGGGGAGGCTCAGGCATGGCGGGCTGCAGGTCCCAAGCCCTGCCCCGCAGGGAGGCAGCTAAGGCCCGGAGAGAAGTAGAGCACAGCAGCTGCTGGCACAGATGCTAAGCCCCTCACTGCCTGGGGCAGGTGGGGCCAGCTGGCCGCTCTGAGTTTGGGGGCCCGCCAAGCCCATGCCCACCTGGAACTCACGCTGGCCCACAAGCGCCGCGCGCAGCCCCGATTCCCGCTCGCGCCTCTCCCTCCACACCTCCCTGCAAGCAGAGGGAGCCAGCTCCGGCCTTGGCCAGCCCAGAAAGGGGCTCCCACAGTGCAGCGGTGGGCTGAAGGGCTCCTCAAGTGCCGCCAAAGTGGGAGCCCAGGCAGAGGAGGCACTGAGAGCGAGCGAGGGCTGCGAAGGCTAGCAGCATGCTGTCACCTCTTACTAGGACAGCCAGTCACTAGATACTTCTCCCAGCCACTAAGTTGTGACTGGGGAACTTTTCACATGCTTTTCTAATTATGCCTGAAAGCCTCACTCTCTTGTTAGGGAGAGACATTCTAGCAAAAGCAGGGGCCATTATCCACCTGAACATAGGAGAAGGAACACCCATTTGTTGTCCCCTGCTTGAGGAAAAAATTAATCCTGAAGTCTGGGCAACAGAAGGACAATATGGATGAGCAAAGAATGCCCATCCTGTTCAAGTTAAAGGATTCCACCTCCTTTCCCTACCAAAGGCAGTACTGCCTTAGACACAAGGCCCAACAAGGACTCCAAAAGATTGTTAAGGACCTAAAAGCCCAAAGCCTAGTAAAACCATGCAATAGCCCCTGCAATACTCCAATTTTAGGAGTACAGAAACCTAACGGACAGTGGAGGTTAGTGCAAGATCTCAGGATTACCAATGAGGCTGTTGTCCCTCTATACCCAGCTGTACCTAACCCTTATACTCTGCTTTCCCAAATACCAGAGGAAGCAGAGTGGTTTACAGTCCTGGACCTTAAGGATACCTTTTTCTGCATACCTGTACATCCTGACTGTCGATTCTTGTTTGCCTTTGAAGATCCTTCGAACTCAACGTCTCAACCCACCTGGACTGTTTTACCCCAAGAGTTCAGGGATAGCCCCCATCTATTTGGCCAGGCATTAGCCCAAGACTTGAGCCAGTTCTAATACCTGGACACTCTTGTCCTTTGATAAGTGGATGATTTACTTTTAGCCACCCGTTCAGAAACCTTATGCCATCAAGCCACCCAAGCGCTCTTAAATTTCCTCGCCAAATTTCCTTTCCATGGCTACACGGTTTCCAAACCAAAGGCTCAGCTCTGCTCACAGCAGGTTAAATACTTAGGGCTAAAATTATCCAAAGGCACCAGGGCCCTCAGTGAGGAATGTATCCAGTCTATACTGGCTTATCCTCATCCCAAAACCTTAAAGCAACCAAGAGGGTTCCTTGGCATAACAGGCTTCTGCCGAATATGGATTCCCAGGTATGGCGAAATAGCCAGGCCATTATATACACTAATTAAGGAAACTCAGAAAGCCAATACCCATTTAGTAAGATGGACACCTGAAGCAGAAGTGGCTTTCCAGGCCCTAAAGAAGGCCCTAACCCAAGCCCTAGTGTTAAGCTTGCCAACGGGGCAAGACTTTTCTTTATATGTCACAGAAAAAAAAGGAATAGATCTAGGAGTCCTTACACAGGTCCGAGGGACCAGCTTGCAACCCGTGGCATACCTGAGTAAGGAAACTGATGTAGCGGCAAAGGGTTGGCCTCACTGTTTACGGGTAGTGGCGGCAGTAGCAGTCTTAGTATCTGAAGCAGTTAAAATAATACAGGGAAGAGATCTTACTGTGTGGACATCTCATGATGTAAATGGCATACTGACTGCTAAAGGAAACTTGTGGCTGTCAGACAACCGTTTGCTAAAATATCAGGCTCTATTACCTGAAGGGCCAGTGCTGCAACTGTGCACTTGTGCAACTCTTAACCCAGCCACATTTCTTCTAGACAATAAAGGAAAGATAGAACATAACTGTTAACAGATGATTGCTCAAACCTATGCCACTCGAGGGGACCTTCTAGAGGTTTCCTTGACTGATCCTGACCTCAACTTGTATACTGATGGAAGTTCCTTTGTAGAAAAAGGACTTCTAAAAGTGGGGTATGCAGTGGTCAGTGATAATGGAGTACTTGAAAGTAATCCCCTCACTTCAGGAACTAGCGCTCAGCTGGCAGAACTAATAGCCCTCATTCAGGCACTAGAATTAGGAGAAAGAAAAAGGGTAAATATATATACAGACTCTAAGTATGCTTACCTAGTCCTCCATGCCCACACAGCAATATGGAGAGAAAAGGAATTCCTAACTTCCGAGGGAACACCTATCAAACATCAGGAAGCCATTAGGAGATTATTATTGGCTGTACAGAAACCTAAAGAGGTGGCAGTCTTACACTGACAGGGTCATCAGAAAGGAAAGGAAAGGGAAATAGAAGGGAACTGCCAAGCGGATATTGAAGCCAAAAGAGCCGCAATGCAGGACCCTCCATTAGAAATGCTTATAGAAGGACACCTAGTATGGGGTAATCCCCTCCGGGAAACCAAGCTCCAGTACTCAGCAGGAGAAATAGAATGGGGAACCTCACAAGGACATAGTTTCCTCCCCTCAGGATGGCTAGCCACCGAAGAAGGAAAAATACTTTTGCCTGCAGCTAACCGATGGAAATTACTTAAAACCCTTCACCTAACCTTTCACTTAGGCATTGATAGCACCCATCAGATGGCCAAATTATTATTTACTGGACCAGGCCTTTTCAAAACTTTGAAGCAGATAGGCAGGGCCTGTGAAGTGGGCCAAAGAAATAATCCCCTGAACTTCAGGCCACACATTTCAATCCCTGTATCTTTAACCTCCTTGTTAAGTTTGTCTATTCCAGAATCGAAGCTGTAAAACTACAAATCTTCAAATGGAGCCCCAGATGTAGTCCATGACTAAGATCTACCGCAGACCCCTGGACCAGCCTGCTAGCCCATGCTCCAATGTTGATGACATCAAAGGCACCCTTCCTGAGGAAATCTCAACTGCACGACCCCCACTATGCCCCAATTCAGCAGGAAGCAGTTACAGCGGTCATCGGCCAACCTCCCCAACAGCGCTTGCATTTTCCTGTTGAGAGGGGGGACTGAGAGACAGGACTAGCTGGGTTTCCTAGGCTGACTAAGAATCCCTAAGCCTAGCTGGGAAGGTGACCACATCCACCTTTAAACACGGGGCTTGCAACTTAGCTCACACCCAACCAGTAAGGTAGTAAAGAGAGCTCACTAAAATGCTAATTAGGCAAAAACAGGAGGTAAAGAAATAGCCAGTCATCTATCGCCTGAGAGCACAGGGGAGGGACAATGATCAGGATACAAGCCCAGGCATTTGAGCCAGCAACGGCAACCCCCTTTGGGTCCCCTCCCATTTTATGAGAGCTCTGTTTTCACTCTATTAAATCTTGCAACTGCAAAAAAACAAAAACAAAACAAAACAAAAAAACAGTATGAAGGTCCCTCACAAAATTAAAAACAAAACTACCATATGAGCCAGCAATCTTACCACTGAGTATATATCCAAAGGATATGAAATCAGAATGGTGAAGAGATATCTGCACTCCCATGTTCACTGCAGCATTATTCACAATAACCCAGCTATGAAACCAACTTAACTGTCCATCAACAGATGAATAGATAAAGAAAATGGGGTACATATACACAATGGAATAGTATACACTCTTTAAAAAGAAGGAAATTCTGTCAATTGCTACAACGTAGATGAACCTAGAGGATACTATGTTAAGTGAAATAAGCCAGACACAGAAAGACAAATACCACATGATCTCACTCATATGTGAATCTAAAAAAGTTGAGCTTCGCTGGACACAGTGGCTCATGCCTGTAACCCCAGCACTTTGGGAGGCTGAGGCGGGTGAATCACTTGAGGTCAGGAGTTCAAGACCAGCCTGGCCAACATGGTGAAACCTCACCTCTACTAAAATACAAAAATTTCAATTTTTAAAATAAAAAATTTCAATTTCTAATTGCTTCTGTTGTATATAAATACTATTAAATTTGTAAATGTACAAAACATCAAAAAGTATGAAACAGGGATAAACTTGACAATAGATGTTTAATATTTGGTTACTGCAAACTACAAAATATTGCTGAGAAAAATTAAAGAAGATCTAAGTAAATGAAGTGATACATTGCATTAATGAATAGCAAGATTCTATATTGTTAAGATGTAAACAGTACTCCCCAGATTGATCTATGGATTCAATGCATACCCAATAAAAATCTACATAGGCATTTTTTTGGAGAAATTGACAAGGTGATTCTAAAATTTATATGACAATAGAAAGGCACTGGAATACTCAACACACTTTGAAAAAGTAGAATAAAGTTGGAGAATATACTACCTGACTTCAAGACATTATAAAGTTGTAACAATCACGACACTGCGGTATTGATGTCAGAAAGATAAATAGATGTATAGAACAGAATAGAGAGTCAACTGATTTTTAACAAAGGAGCAAAGGCAATTAAATAGACAAAGGAGAGTTTTCCAATAAATGGTTCTGGAACAATTGTATATTCATAGGCAAAAAAAGTGAACTTCAATCCATAACTCACAACATACTACAAAAAATAACTCAATTTGGATTATACACCTAAATGTAAAACCTACAATTACAAAACTTTAAGAAGTATTTGTTTGCTAAGTCATTTACAAATGTAACATTTCAACCCTAAGTACTTCAGCATATATCTGAAAAATTGATTACTGTATTTATTCATGTTATTGTTATATCCAATAAAGTTAAAACTGACACCGTAACATTACCTAATATACAGTCTATACTCAAATTCCCTTAATTGACCCAGTAATATTCTTTTCTTGCTATTTCAACCCAAGATCAAACCCAGGGTTACGGACGAATTTATTTTTCATGTTTCTTTATCTCTTGTAATATAGGACAGTTCCCTCCTTCCAACCTTTACTCACTTTATGACATGGACATTTTTCAAAAGCCCATATCTGTAGTCTTAAAGAGTGCTCAACAATCTGGATTTGTCTGACTGGTTATTGCTGTTTGGATGCAGGTTAAATATTTCAGCAAGTATACTACATAAGTGATGTTGTACACTTCCCATTTCATCCCAGCCAATACACCTAACATCAGTTTGTCCCATTGGTAATGCTAAGTGTTAATCATTTATTTAGGTGGCATCTGCTGAATGTCTCCATTTGGAATATGCCTTTTCCATTTGTAATTGATAGCTATCTGTGATGTAACACTTTGAGATGTATGGATAATACTCTGCTCTCTATTAGCAATTTATCATTGATGATTTTTACCTGAATCTGTTATTGCATAAACGTTGCAAAATGATATATCTGTAAATTTATCACCCTTCTACATATATTAGTTGGTATTCTTTTGTAAAGGAGAATTTTCCTCCGTCCTCCTGTCTTTTCTTTAGTATCACTATACACATGGATTTTTAAAAATTCAATGCATTATATCCAATTATATTATCATTATATATAATAAGTAATCACACATTATAATTAATGTGTTATATGTTATTGAGATTCTCAAACTGTCTGAAATGTGGCCACTCGGAGCCCCATCCCATCAAGCCTGTTCCTGTGTTCTTTAGACATCTTTTTTTTTTTTTTTTTTTTTTTTTTTTGAGACAGAGTCTGGCTCTGTCATCCTCGCTGGAGTGCAGTGGCATGATCTTGGCTCACTGCAGCCTCCAGCTCCTGGGCTCAAGCCATCCTCCCACCTCAGCTTCCCTAGTAGCTGTGACTACAGGCACGCACTACCATGCCTGGCTAAATATTTTGTATTTTTTGTAGAGATGGGGCCTTGCCATGTTGTCCAGGCTGGTCTTGAACTCCTGGACTCAAGCGATCTGCCCATCTAAGCCTCACAAAATGCTGGGATTACAGGCGTGAGCCACCGCATCCTACCTAGACATGTCTTTTCCAATCTTTGAGCACTCCCTTGATTTCTGACACTAAATATTCCAGGGTTGTCTTGTGGTTTCCTTTCTCCAAACTTAGAATTAGCCATTTGCCCAAAAAGTCCTGTTGTCTTTAGTGAAGAATGATATCTGGAAACCAAGATCTAATTTCCAGATGTGCTTAATGCTACTGGTACAGAGCTCATCATGGTATCCTCCAGTTTCAGAGTTCCTCCTAACTTTTCCCCATTTGTATTTAAATCTCTTTTCTTAAACAGGGAAAAACCTAAGTTCCCAACTGCCTGAACACAATTTTTTCTCCAGCCTGCAATACAAATAAAATAATTTCAGTACTCTAATGCCACTTCTAATAACAAATCTACTATTTCAGATTTTATTGCAGATCTTTGAGTGATGGATCCCATTCACATTACTATCTTCAAAAGTTACTTTCATTCTTTTCACCTACATCATTGTGTTATCAACTTGTCAAGTGGTTTTTTTTTTTTCTGAATGTATTCAATTGTACGGTTTGCTTCTTTCAACTTTTCAATTTATTTCTGAAATTGTAAAACATTCATATGACTCAAAAATTCAAACTGCATAAAAAGATATACTCAAGGATATCACACTCCCCTCCCTGTCTTATCTAGCTCATTACCCCGCCCCCCACCCCCCACCCCACCGCCCAGTCACCTCAGGTCATTATTTGCATTTTTGGTTTATCCTTCCTGTGTTTACCTTTTACAAAAATATGCAAATACATACACATATTTTTATTTCTCCTTCTTTCTGACATAGATAAAACTTACTACATATACTCTGTGGAACGTTGCTTTTTTCCACAAGAGTATATCCAGGAGATTGTTTCATATTGGGACATAGAGGCTTTCCACAGTATTTTTTTTCTGAGACAGAGTCTCACTTTGTCACCCAGGCCAGAATACAGTGGTGCCATCTCAGTTCACTGCAGCCTCGACCTCCAATGTTCAAGCCATCCTCCTGCCTCGGCCCCTGCCAAGTAGCTGCGACTACAGGCCCATGCCACCACCTCTGGCTAATTTTGGTATTTTTAGTACAGATGGGGTTTTGCCATGTTGGCCAGGCTGGTCTCGAACTCCTGAGCTCAAGCCATCCTCCCTCCTTGGCATCCCAAAATGCTGGTGTGCCACCATGCCCAGCCAGCTTTCCTCAGTTTTTTTGTGGGTACATCATACTCCACTGTGTGAATATATCATAGTTCACCATTCTCCTATGGCAAGAAATTAGTTTGTTTCCATTTTCGTTCCTTTTTTGTGAATAATTTTTGTGAATAATTTTAATTATATATATATGTGTGTATATATATGTGTGTATATATATGTGTGTATATATATGTGTGTGTGTGTGTGTGTGTATATATATAATTTTTTTGAGACAGAGTCTCGCTCTGTCGCCCAGGCTGGAGTGCAGTGGAGCAATCTCGGCTCACTGCAACCTTTGCCTCCCAGGTCCAAGCAGTTCTCCTGTCTCAGCCTCCCGAGTAGCCGGAACTACAGGCACCTGCCACCACACCTGGCTAATTTTTGTATTTTTAGTAGAGACGAAGTTTCACCATATTGGTCAGGCTGGTGTCAAACCTCTGACCTCAGGTGATCCACCCACCTCGGACTCACAAAGTGTTGGGATTACAAGCATCTGTTTTGTGGAAATATGTTTCCGGAGTTACGTGTCCATGAGTGTCTGAGTCTGCTAGGGCTGCCATAAAAAAATACCACAGATTGGGCCAGGCGCAGTGGCTCACGCCTGTAATCCCAGCACTTTGGGAGGCCGAGGTGGGCGGATCGTGAGGTCAGCAGATTGAGACCATGCCGGGCGTGGTGATGGGCGCCTGTAGTCCCAGCTATTAGGGAGGCTGAGGCAGGAGAATGGTGTGAACCCGGGAGGTGGAGCTTGCAGTGAGCCAAGATAGCGCCACTGCACTCCAGCCTGGGTGACAGAGCGAGACTCCATCTAAAAAAAAAAAAATACCAGAGACTATGTGGCTTAAATAATTCGAATGCATTTTTTCACAGTTCTGGATGCTGGAATTCCAAGATCAAGGTGGCAGCAAATAGGATTTCTTCTCAGACCTCTCTCATTTGGCTTGTAGATGGCTAACTTCTCCCTGTGTCTTCTCTTCACTTGGCCTCTGTGTATTGTCTGTGTCCTAATCTCTTACTACAAGATTGGATTAGGGCCCACCCAAATGATCTCACTTTACCTTAGTTAACCTCTTTAAAGGCTCTGTCCACGGATACAGTCACATTCTGAGGTACTGGGGGTAAAGATGTCAACATATAAATGTGACAGGAACACAATTCAGTTCTTAACAAAGAGTAAATGCTGGTATTGTTAAATTCACTTCATTGGGTTTATACAAGCTTGCACTATCACCAGCAATCAAGTGCTTCTTTTTATTTTTTTTAAATACAGTTGAAAAAAACTACTGCTTAGCAGCAACCACACTAAAAGTATTTCCTTTCATATTAGAGGCTATAATTTTATTTCTTCTATTTCAGCTCTCCTTGCCTAGATGATCATGTTTGAGTTTCACAAATTTCACGTTATATTGACATAATTTTCCTTTTCAAGAATTGCATATGAGGTACTTAATGTTACAGAAACACTTTGTGGCAGGCCAGGATGGATTTTAAGTTGTCGTGACTCAGATGTCTTCCCTTGAATCTGGATGTTGTTTCCCAAGGAATCCTTGCCCTGAATATCTCCTCTACTATAATAATGATTCTGAGAGTGGGACACGTGGGTTTTCTAAACTAATGAAAATGTGTCAACCTGGAGTTGCATCCTAAAGTCGCCGAGTTTTCAAGTCTATGTGAGGAAGAGAGGAAGTAAGTACACTCTATTCTAAAAAAGCATAAAATGAAAAACATTTTAGGTATGAGAAAGAAAGACTAAGTGCAGTACTTCCTGATCATTGTCCCTTGCATTATCGGTGTATCATGAAAAATAAATTCTCATTCTAGGGATTATGACTTCATGCGGAGGCAGTAACACTGCAAGAGATTTATAGCTATCTCTGGTCTCCTGCATTTTGATACCACAGGGTTACCGTCTCCAATTCTCACAGGTGAGTCCTTTTTAAGGTCTGTTCCTTTCCCTGCCATCAGCTTGCCCTTATTAAATAGAGCTTTACCTGTTAACTGCTCCCTACAATGGTTTTCTATTGATGAATAGTCTCATATTCTAGGCCTTTATTTTCCAAGTGAAATTTCATTCCAAAACCAATTACAAACAAGTATTCTGAATCTCTTTAATCTTTTAATTACAAAAGAAAACATCCTCACTATATCAAGTTTACATAGTACAGATGTCTATGAAAGTAAAAAGCAAAAGTTATTCTTTAACTCCAGAGGTAACTTATAATAGTATTTATATGTTTTTTAAAAATCTCAGTGAGGGAGCAGTTGGGAAATACACTGTCTTGCACTGTTGCTGGGTGTGTATGTTTGTTAACATCTCTGGAGATGCACATAATCTCAGAATTAGTGATTCACTTTTAGAAATTTACTCTGCAGGTATAAGATTTATTCTCTTATATATACAAATATATATTTACAAAAGTTCACTGGAAGTATTGTTTGCATTAGTAACTATCTAAACACAATTCAAATGTTCACCAAAAAGAGGTTGTATAAACAAATAATAATACTCTTACTCAACAGAATACTATAAAGCTTTTGATTTTTTTCTTTTTTTTTTATTATACTTTAAGTTTTAGGGTACATGTGCACATTGTGCAGGTTAGTTACATATGTATACACGTGCCATGCTGGTGCGCTGCACCCACTAACTCGTCATCTAGCATTAGGTATATCCCCCGATGCTATCCCTCCCCCCTCCCCCCACCCCACAACAGTCGCCAGAGTGTGATATTCCCCTTCCTGTGTCCATGTGATCTCACTGTTCAATTCCCACCTATGAGTGAGAATATGCGGTGTTTGGTTTTTTGTTCTTGCGATAGTTTTTTTCTTAAGAGACAGGGTCTTGCCAAGATGCCCAGGGTAGATTAGAATTCCTGGGCTCAGGGGATCTTCCTGCCTCTCTGCCTCCCAAATTGCTGGGACTACAGGTATGCACCACTACACCCAGCTGTTGATTTTTTTTAACTGAGGTGTATATGTTTACTAATATGCAAAGATGCTTAAAGCACAGTAAAGAGAAAAATCAAGTCACAGAGCTTGTAAGGGAAGAAAGCATGTGGGTATTTGTGACACCTCTGTAATATGCATAGAATTCTTCTAGAAAGATGCACAACAAATGACTGTTTCTCTTGGCAGTGGGATTCAGGAGTTGGGGTAGTAGGTTGGAGGGTAGAACTTTTACTTCTTATTCTGTATTCTTCTTTAGTTTGAGGGGTTTTTTTAAACCATGTGAATGTATTCCTTTTAAAATTGAAAAAAAATATTTTAAAGAAGCAATTTCCATGATCTGGACTTGCTTCTATTTACAGTCCCCTGTTAAGCAGATCATGACGCATTAGTTTTCCACTGTTTCCTGAAAAAAATTTTTCTACATCCTTTCTTTTTAATAGCCACTGTACATAATGAAAGAAAATGGTTGAGTTTTGTCTAAGTTATAGTACAGCTGGTAGGGAAAAGAAAAACAAGTTGGGCTTTATATTACATAATTCTTTGTTCTGCTGTAGTAACACACATAAACTTCCAGGCAACATACCAAGATATGCTTAAGCAAAAAGGAAAAGAGCAAGAAATCCGAAGTGGACAGCTTAGGCTGGAGACGTGTAGAACATCTGACTACCCGATACCACATTCCTAATTGTTTGTTACATGTTTACTTTCTAGATCCTGGAGACCAGGAAATAGTTTTCTCATACCAAAACTACATTACAGTTGTAAAACGTGAATGCTTAGTTACTTAGTTATTGGGAAAGATTTGACTAGTATTTATTTGAGAAAGATCAAGAATGATTAGAACTCACTAGATTGAGGTTTTATGAAAGAATATATTACCCTCTTAGACTTACAAAATTTTTTACAGTTACACAGAGAGAAGTATACGCTAAGTCTTGTATAGCTGGCCACAGTGAAAATCACACAGCATTGGACTGCAGGACCATCAGCATCTTATTCGGAGAATTTCTAGCTGTATCTCAGAGTTGCAACATATTATTGTTGGTCATGTCATTCCATGGTACTGACATCTTCTAAAAGTATTGGATGGCACATGTAAATTAAAATAAAATGAATATTTAATTTCATTTTTAGAATACTTAGCAGTATTTTGCAATTACCCTGGAGAACTGGCAGCTCCATGGGCTGCTGCAAAGCCAGGGCTAGCAATCCCTGCCAGAGAAGACCACTAGCATCAACTGCTTCTAAGAAGTCAGGAATGGTATGAAATGGAAGCAGAATATGTCACTGTCACTGCTTTGATTTGATTTTTTAAAATCAAGAATTGGCTTTCCCAAGTAGGTACCAGAACAGTGCTACTGTTCAAATATTTCTTAAAACTCTGTACTGTCAATTATGGGAAAGCAAAGCCTGGGCACTTCCCCTGCCCTCCCTGACCAATTCCAGCAAGGAAAACCATCTGTTTTTCCTTGGGCAAAGCCCAGAACAACTGAATGCTCAGTGCAACAAGAAACAGTTCCTCCCACCATTCCTCTGCCTCATCCAAATACAGCTGTTTGCTTCAGTCTGCAAGTGACTGAATGCACGGGCGATTTTTGTGTCCATTGTGTGAAAACAAACTAACATTTGCAACCCACTTTTAGAGTTTTCAAAGCATTTTTCCCTCTTCTATATCCTGTGCTCTTTCTTCACACACAATCACAAGTTAGAGGTAAACTGAAGTTTTTATGATGTACTCAACCTTCCCCCCTCATCAGAGTGTCAAATCAGGTTGAAAATGAAATTGGTAAATAGCTATTTGAGAATTGTAGGAACATTTTTATGTTTTCTGAGAAATAATCAATTAAAATTGAATTTTAATCACATCCCCACCTTCCAAAATGAGAGTTGAAGTTCTGATGTTTTAAAATTTGACCAAACTAGTATCTATGCTGTTTTATTCTATTCAGTTCAACGGAGCAGTTATTTATTCAGCATTCACTGTGCACAGGGTATATGCCATACAACCTCAAGCAAGGCTGGTCATGGCTCTAGAAGGATCTTAGGGGTCTGTGGAGAACATTAGACAGTGAGGAAATGGGCTAGGGTGTGAGTGATCCTTTGAAATGTGGGAGCACAGGGTGCTGAGGGAGCTCCAGGAGGGACACTAACTCCATCTTGGGAGAACATTTCTCATGTGGCTTCACATCTTCACAGTATGTTAAGCAGAAACATACTGTTTGAATTATAGACAGTGGTGTGAAAGCATCCTGTTTGGGAAAAGCAAATGAAAACATGCATATTTTTCCCCTTGGCTTTGTCCATGTTCATCATGTTTTCTTCCAAGTTCCTCCTCTTATCTCATCATGGGCTTATGACTCCTCATGAGCTGCACAGGATGCTGGCTATAAACAGAATCCTGGGAAAGGGTCTGAAAATGCCTGTGTAATGCCAGGGCGTGGGAGGCAAAGAGTGAAGGGTCCAGGCGGGGACACCAGGAGAGAGGAAAAGACACCCACAACACAGCTGGCTCTGGTTAGCAAAACAACCAAGGCCAGGGTAGGCAAGGCCAAAGGGCCCGAACCTTGCTAAGGATCAGACTGCTCAGTTGAGATGTTACTTTTGGGAATCTCTACTTGACCCTCTCCACCCCAGTACTGTCCTCCAAGCAGGGTTGAAGGACCCCTCTGGGCCTCCACAGAAACCTTGTTTCTCTCTCTGGTCACAAGAGCTTCAGGTGGGGCAATCCCCTGTTCACTTGTCACTCCTATTTAGCTGTAAGTGTGTAGAGTTCAAGACTGCTCTTTTATCTTCAGTGTCTTTCATACTGCCTGGCTCAGACTAGCTTTCGGAAAATATTTCCTTTTTTTTTTTTTCCCCTGAGACGGAGTCTTGCTCTGTCGCCCAGGCTGGAGTGCAGTGGCATGATCTTGGCTCATGCAACCTCTGCCCCTGGGATTTAAGCAATTCTTCTGCCTCAGCCTCCAGAGTAGCTGGGATTACAGGTGCACGCCACCATGCCTGGCTAATTTTTTTGTATTTTGGTAGAGATGGGGTGTCACCATGTTGGCCAGGCTGGTCTCAAACTCCTGACCTCGTGGTCCACCCACCTCGGCCTCCCAAAGTGTTGGGATTACAGGCGTGAGCCACCATTTTTTTAATTAAAAAAAAAAAAAAATACTGGGCTGGATGCCATGGCACACACCTGTAATCCCAGCACTTTGGAGGCTGAGGCTGGAGGACTGCTTGATGACCTGTAATCCCAGCACTTTGGAGGCTGAGGTGGGAGGACTGCTTGATGCCAAGAGATCATGATCAGCCTGGGAAACACAGTGAGAACCCTTTTCTAAAATAAAAAAATAAAATAAAATAAATTGCCTGGGTGTGGTGGCACATGCCTGTAGTCATAGCTATTTGGGAGGCTAAGGTGGGAGATTCTACTTGAGGCCAGGAGATTGAGGCTACAGTGAGCTATGATTTTACCTGTGCACTCTAGCCTGGGTGAGACAGTGAGACCTTGTCTCAAAACAATTAATTAAAACATGAAAAAATACTGGAAATCTTCAAATTAAATTACACACACACACTTAATCCTACTGCTTTTTTAAAAAAATTACATTAAGATGTAAAAGTTCCCCTTTCATGTCCTCCCTGTTTTCTTTGCTAAAATGGATATATCAACGTATACACTAAATGGTGGTTGAGTCAACTAATAAATGAGTGAATAAACACTCTTGTCTGTGTTGAGATCAAATCCTGGAAGGAGGCTCCCAGCTGTTGCATCTGGAAGTCTAAGCATTGGTCTCGAGTCAGGTGCAAATCCTACCCCCTTGAATTCAAGGCTGGCCATTCACTAGCCATAGCTGTAGCTGCTAACTAGTAAGCTTCTGAGAGCACAAATTATGTTCTTTACCTCATATTACTACACACTGTTCCACCAAAAAAGTGAGGAGGGGTGCTCAATAGCTACTTATTAAATAAGGAATCAACAAACTGTCCCTGCCTTACCTGCCCAGCTTTCTTCTCTTAAGATGCAGTGAATAGAACTTGTATTAGTTTCCTATTGCTTCTCTAACAAGGTGTCACAAACTTGAAGGCTTACAACAACCCAAATGGCTGGGTGCAGTGGCTCAGACCTGTAATCGCAGCACTTCGGGAGGCCAAGGCAGGTGGATCACCTGAAGTTAGGAGTTCGAGAACAACCTAGCCAGCACATGGCAAAACCTCGTCTCAACTAAAAATACAAAAAAATTAGCCGGGTGTGGGGTGGAGCCAAGATGGCCAAATAGGAACAGCTCCAGTCTACAGCTCCCAGCGTGAGCGACGCAGAAGACGGGTGATTTCTGCATTTCCAACTGAGGTACCGGGTTCATCTCACTGGGGAGTGCTGGACAGTGGGTGCAGGACAGTGGGTGCAGCGCACCGTGCATGAGCCGAAGCAGGGCGAGGCATCACCTCACCCAGGAAGCGCAAGGGGTCAGGGAATTCCCTTTCCTAGTCAAAGAAAGGGGTGACACATGGCACCTGGAAAATTGGGTCACTCTCACCCCAATACTGCACTTTTCCAATGGGCTTAACAAACGGCACACCAGGAGATTATATTCCTCACCTGGCTCGGAGGTTCCTATGCCTACAGAGCCTCACTCATTGCTAGCACAGCAGTCTGAGATCAAGCTGCAAGGCGGCAGTGAGGCTGCGGGAGGGGTGCCCGCCATTGCCCAGGCTTGAGTAGGTAAACAAAGAGGTCAGGAAGCTCGAACTGGGTGGAGCCTACCACAGATCAAGGAGGCCTGCCTGCCTCTGTAGGCTCCACCTCTGGGGGCAGGGCACAGACAAACAAAAGACAGCAATAGCCTCTGCAGACTTAAATGTCCCTGTCTGACAGCTTTGAAGAGAGTAGTGGTTCTCCCAGCATGCAGCTTGAGATCTGAGAACGGGCAGACTGCCTCCTCAAGTGGGTCCCTGACCCCCAAGTAGCCTAACTGGGAGGCACTCCCCAGTAGGGGCGGACTGACACCTCACACGGCCAGGTACTCCTCTGAGACAAAACTTCCAGAGGAACGATCAGGCAGCAACATTTGCAGTTAACCAATATCTGCTGTTCTCCAGCCACCGCTGCTGATACCCAGGCAAACAAGGTCTGGAGTAGACCTCCAGCAAACTCCAACAGACCTGCAGCTGAGGGTCCTGACTGTTAGAAGGAAAACTAACAAACAGAAAGGACATCCACACCAAAAACCCATCTGTAAGTCACCATCATCAAAGACCAAAGGTAGATAAAACCACAAAGATGGGGAAAAAACAGAGCAGAAAAACCGGAAACTCTAAAAATCAGAGTGCTTCTCCTCCTCTAAAGGAACACAGCTCCTCACCAGCAATGGAACAAAGCTGGATGGAGAATGACTTTGACGAGCTGAGAGAAGAAGGCTTCAGAAGATCAAACTACTCCGAGCTAAAGGAGGAAGTTCGAACCAATGGCAAAGAAGTTAAAAACTTTGAAAAAAAATTAGACAAATGGATAACTAGAATAACCAATGCAGAGAAGTCCTTAAAGGACCTGACTGAGCTGAAAACCACAGCACGAGAACTACATGACGAATGCACAGCCTCAGTAACCGATGCGATCAACTGGAAGAAAGGGTATCAGTGATGGAAGACAAAATGAATGAAATGAAGCGTGAAGAGAAGTTTAGAGAAAAAAGAATAAAAAGAAACAAACAAAGCCTCCAAGAAATATGGGACTATGTGAAAAGACCAAATCTACGTCTGATTGGTGTACCTGAAAGCGACAGGGAGAATGGAACCAAGTTGGAAAACACTCTGCAGGATATTATCCAGGAGAACTTCCCCAATCTGGCAAGGCAGGCCAACATTCACATTCAGGAAATACAGAGAATGCCACAAAGATACTCCTCGAGAAGGGCAACACCAAGACACATAATTGTCAGATTCACCAAAGTTGAAATGAAGGAAAAAATGTTGAGGGCAGCCAGAGAGAAAGGTCGGGTTACCCTCAAAGGGAAGCCCATCAGACTAACAGCGGATCTCTCAGCAGAAACTCTACAAGCCAGAAGAGAGTGGGGGCCAATATTCAACATTCTTAAAGAAAATAATTTTCAACTCAGAATTTCATATCCAGCCAAACTAAGCTTCATAAGTGAAGGAGAAATAAAATACTTTACAGACAAGCAAATGCTGAGAGATTTTGTCATCACCAGGCCTGCCCTAAAACAGCTCCTGAAGGAAGCGCTAAACATGGAAAGGAAAAACCGGTACCAGCCACTGCAAAAACATGCAAAATTGTAAAGACCATCAAGGCTAGGAGGAAACTGCATCAACTAATGAGCAAAATAACCAGCTAACATCATAATGACACGATCAAATTCACACATAACAATACTAACCTTAAATGTAAATGGGCTAAATGCTCCAATTAAAAGGCAAAGACTGGCAAATTGGATAAAGAATCAAGACCCATCAGTGTGCTGTATTCAGGAAACCCATCTCACGTGCAGACACACACATAGGCTCAAAATAAAGGGATGGAGGAAGGTCTACCAAGCAAATGGAAAAGAAGAAAAGGCAGGGGTTGCAATCCTAGTCTCTGATAAAACAGACTTTAAACCAACAAAGATCAAAAGAGACAAAGAAGGCCATTACATAATGGTAAAGGGATCAATTCAACAAGAAGAGCTAACTATCCTAAATATATATGCACCCAATACAGGAGCACCCAGATTCATAAAGCAAGTCCTGAGTGACCTACAAAGAGACTTAGACTCCCACACAATAATAATGGGAGACTTTAACACCCCACTGTCAACATTAGACAGATCGAGACAGAAAGTTAACAAGGATATACAGGAATTGAACTCAGCTCTGCACCAAGCGTACCTAATACACATCTACAGAACTCTCCACCCCAAATCAACAGAATATACATTTTTTTCAGCACCACATCACACCTATTCCAAAATTGACCACATACTTGGAAGTAAAGCACTCCTCAGCAAATGTAAAAGAACAGAAATTATAACAAACTGTCTCTCAGACCACAGTGCAATCAAACTAGAACTCAGGATTAAGAAACTCACTCAAAACTGCTCAACTGCATGGAAACTGAACAACCTGCTCCTGAATGACTACTGGGTACATAACAAAATGAAGGCAGAAATAAAGATGTTCTTTGAAACCAATGAGAACAAAGACACAACATACCATAATCTCTGGGACACATTCAAAGCAGTGTGTAGCGGGAAATTTATAGCACTAAATGCCCACAAGAGAAAGCAGGAAAGATCTAAAACTGACACTCTGACATTACAATTAAAAGAACTAGAGAAGCAAGAGCAAACACATTCAAAAGCTAGCAGAAGGCAAGAAATAACATCATAGCAGAACTGAAGGAAATAGAGACACAAAAAACCCTTCAAAAAATCAATGAATCCAGGAGCTGGTTTTTTGAAAAGATCAAGAAAATTGATAGACCGCTAGCAAGACTAATAAAGAAGAAAAGAGAGAAGAATCAAATAGACGCAATAAAAAATGACAAAGGGGATATCACCACTGATCCCACAGAAATACAAATTACCATCAGAGAATACTATAAACACCTCTATGCAAATAAACTAGAAAATCTAG
Organism: Homo sapiens; assembly: GCF_000001405.40. Taxonomy (NCBI): domain Eukaryota; kingdom Metazoa; phylum Chordata; class Mammalia; order Primates; family Hominidae; genus Homo; species Homo sapiens. Next base: position 119,154,041 of record NC_000001.11, on the reverse strand, counting down.
AAGAAATGGATAAATTCTTCGACACATACACCCTCCCAAGACTAAACCAGGAAGAAGTTGAATCTCTGAATAGACCAATTACAGCCTCTGAAATTGAGGCAATAATTAATAGCTGACCAACCAAAAAAAGTCCAGGACCAGATGCATTCACAGCCGAATTCTACCAGAGGTACAAGGAGGAGCTGGTACCATTCCTTCTGAAACTATTCCAATCAATAGAAAAAGAGGGAATCCTCCCTAACTCATTTTATGAGGCCAGCATCATCCTGATACCAAAGCCTGGCAGAGACACAACCAACAAAGAGAATTTTAGACCAATATCCTTGATGAACATTGATGCAAAAATCCTCAGTAAAATACTGGCAAACCAAATCCAGCAGCACATCAAAAAGCTTATCCACCATGATCAAGTGGGCTTCATCCCTGGGATGCAAGGCTGGTTCAACATACGCTAAATCAATAAATGTAATCCAGCATATAAAAAGAACCAAAGACAAAAACCACATGATTATCTCAATAGATGCAAAAAAGGCCTTTGACAAAATTCAACAGCCCTTCATGCTAAAAACTCTCAATAAATTAGGTACTGATGGGACGTATCTCAAAATAATAAGAGCTATCTATGACAAATCCACAGCCAGTATCATACTGAATGGGCAAAAACTGGAAGCATTCTCTTTGAAAACGGGCACAAGACAGGGATGCCCCCTCTCACCACTCCTATTCAACATAGTGTTGGAAGTTCTGGCCAGGGCAATCAGGCAGGAGAAGGAAATAAAGGGCATTCAATTAGGAAAAGAGGAAGTCAAATTGTCCCTGTTTGCAGATGACATGATTGTATATCTAGAAAACCCCATCGTCTCAGCCCAAAATCTCCTTAAGCTGATAAGCAACTTCAGCAAAGTCTCAGGATACAAAATCAATGTGCAAAAATCACAAGCATTCTTATACACCAACAACAGACAAACAGAGAGCCAAATCATGAGTGAACTCCCATTCACAATTGCTTCAAAGAGAATAAAATACCTAGGAATCCAACTTACAAGGGATATGAAGGACCTCTTCATGGAGAACTACAAACCACTGCTCAGTGAAATAAAAGAGGATACAAACAAATGGAAGAACATTCCATGCTCATGGGTGGGAAGAATCAATATCATGAAAATGACCATACTGCCCAAGGTAATTTATAGATTCAATGCCATCCCCATCAAGCTACCAATGACTTTCTTCACAGAATTGGAAAAAACTACTTTAAAGTTCATATGGAACCAAAAAAGAGCCCACATTGCCAAGTCAATCCTAAACCAAAAGAACAAAGCTGGAGGCATCATGCTACCTGATTTCAAACTATACTACAAGGCTACAGTAACCAAAACAGCATGGTACTGGTACCAAAACAGAGATACAGACCAATGGAACAGAACAGAGCCCTCAGAAATAATGCCACATATCTACAACTATCTGATCTTTGACAAACCTGACAAAAGCAAACAATGGGGAAAGGATTCCCTATTTAATAAATGGTGCTGGTCGGGCGCGGTGGCTCACGCCTGTAATCCCAGCACTTTGGGAGGCCGAGGCGGGTGGATCATGAGGTCAGGAGATCGAGACCATCCTGGCTAACAAGGTGAAACCCCGTCTCTACTAAAAATACAAAAAATTAGCCGGGCGCGGTGGCGGGCGCCTGTAGTCCCAGCTACTCGGGAGGCTGAGGCAGGAGAATGGCGTGAACCCGGGAAGCGGAGCTTGCAGTGAGCTGAGATTGCGCCACTGCAGTCCGCAGTCTGGCCTGGGCGACAGAGCGAGACTCCGTCTCAAAAAAAAAAAAAATAAATAAATAAAAATAAATAAATAAATAAATGGTGCTGGGAAAACTGGCTAACCATATGTAGAAAGCTGAAACTGGATCCCTTTCTTACACCTTATACAAAAATTAATTCAAGATGGATTAAAGACTTACATGTTAGACCTAAAACCATAAAAACCCTAGAAGAAAATCTAGGCAATACCATTCAGGACATAGGCATGAGCAAGGACTTCATGTCTAAAACACCAAAAGCAATGGCGACAAAAGCCAAAATTGACAAATGGGATCTAATTAAACTAAAGAGCTTCTGCACAGCAAAAGAAACTACCATCAGAGTCAATAGGCAACCTACAGAATGGGAGAAAACTTTTGCAATCTACTCATCTGACAAAGGGCTAATATCCAGAATCTACAATGAACTCAAACAAATTTACAAGAAAAACACAAACAACCCCATCAAAATACGGGCAAAGGATATGAACAGATACTTCTCAAAAGAAGACATTTATGCAGCCAAAAAACACATGAAAAAATGCTCATCATCACTGGCCATCAGAGAAATGCAAATCAAAACCACAATGAGATACCATCTTACACCAGTTAGAATGGTGATCATTAAAAAGTCAGGAAACAACAGGTCCTGGAGAGGATGTGGAGAAATAGGAACACTTTTACACTGTTGGTGGGACTGTAAACTAGTTCAACCATTGTGGAAGTCAGTGTGGCAATTCCTCAGGGATCTAGAACTAGAAATACCATTTGACCCAGCCATCCCATTACTGGGTATATACCCAAAGGATTATAAATCATGCTGCTATAAAGACACATGCACACGTATGTTTATTGTGGCATTATTCACAATAGGAAAGACTTGGAAACAACCCAAATATTCAACAATGATAGACTGGATTAAGAAAACGTGGCACATATACACCATGGAATACCATGCAGCCATAAAAAATGATGAGTTCATGTCCTTTGTAGGGACATGAATGAAGCTGGAAACCATCATTCTCAGCAAACTATTGCAAGGAGAAAAAACCAATCACCGCATGTTCTCACTCATAGGTGGGAATTGAACAATGAGAACACATGGACACAGGAAGGGGAACATCACACACTGGGGACGGTTGTGGGGTGGGGGGAGGGGGGAGGGATAGCATTAGGAGAGATACCTAATGCTAAATGACGAGTTAATGGGTGCAGCACACCAACATGGCACATGTATACATATGTAACAAACCTGCACGTTGTGCACATGTAACCTAAAACTTAAAGTATTAAAAAAAAAAAAAATTAGCCGGGTGTGGTGGGCGCCTGTAATCCCAGCTACTTGAGAGGCTGAAGCAGGAGAATCGCTTGAACCCGGAAGATGGACGCTGCAGTGAGCCAAGATCAGTCCACTGCACTCCAGCCTGGGCAGCAGAGCAAGACTCCATCTCAAAGAAAACAAAAACAAAAACAAAAACAAATGTATTAGCTTACGATTCTTGGGGTAAGAAGTCCTGAAATCAAGGTGGAGGCAGGGCTGTGTTCCATCTGGAGGCTTTAGGGGAGAATCCAGGCTTTTCTTTTCTACCTGCATTCCTTGACTCTGGGTCCTCTTCCATCTTCCAACCTCTGTTTCCATCATCACATTTCCTTCTTAGACTGACTCTCCTGCTCCCCTGTTAGAAAAACCTCTATGATTACATTGGACTAAACAGAATAAACCAGGATAATATTCTCATCTCAAGATTCTTAATCACATCTGCAAAGTTCCTTCTGCCATATAGCCATCTTCAGGGCCCATCATTCTATCTACCTTTGGGGCAGAGAAACAGAAAATCTGTGCACATACTGGTCCACCCTCTCCTAAAGAGCAGTGTGACTTCATTTGCATTCTCTTTGATCTTAGTTTCCTTACTTGTAAATAAGAAAATGCATTTAACAAATATGTTACTAGACATGCACATTCTGAACTTTGAGGATGCATAATAAAGCAGACAAAAGGCTATGCTCCCATGCTGCTTATGTTCTAGAGGCGGAGAAAATAAAGTAAAATGTTTTAGGTGGTAACTGGTGAGCATTGGTGAGGAGACCAGCATGTCTGGAGTAAAGCAAAGCAGGGGGAAGTTAATGGGGAAAGGGCCAGAAAGAGAGGTTGGGATGGGGGATGCAGGTCACTTAGGTCTTATAGGTTTTGAGAACTTTGGATTTTTTCCAAATGACATGGAAAGTCACTGGAGGGTTTTGGGCAGAGTAGTGACCATGAGCTGACATACATTTTAATAGGTCACTCTGATGGCTGATTGAAAATACACGTAAGCGGGTGAAGGAGGAAGCAGGGAGATGTGTCGGTACCTTATTCTCTTTACTCTCACCTTTCTTTATGCTCTATTCATTTGCATATCCTTGCTTTCTTCATGCAGTTCTCTCTCCTAAGGGCACCCTGCTCCTCTTTCCAATTCAAAATTCTATACAGACACTCCTTCAAGATTGAGCTCAGTACTCATCTTAGAGCAGTAAGGAAACTTTGGGAGCTTATTCTTTGCCCCCATTTTCAGATGAGGACACTGAGGTCCAGAACTCTTAGGAAGCCTGTCCAAGGTTATACGAACAGCAAGCAGTGAGGCTAGGATTGCTGACAAAGTGTGATTCTAAGGAAATCACAAGGGCTTCCTGATACAAAGATGTTTCTCTTGAATTTTCTTCTTCTTTTTTTTTTTTTTTGACAAACCCACAGCCAACATCTTATGTCTTGAAATTCTGTTTGTTGTTTGCCTTCTCCTTCATTAAACGGAGATCTTGACGAGCACAGATGGTATCCTATTCAGCTCTGTGCATTTAGTACAGTGCCTGGCACAAAAGACACCCAATAAGTATTTGCTAGGTGAGTAAATAATGGAATGTCAAGCTCTTGAAAATCTGTGTGTGTGTGTTACTAGTCTCATGTCTTCCCCAAGTTCACCATCTCATGGTGTTAAATGTCAGTTGGACAGGTCTAAAAACTTTTTTTTTTGAGACGGAGTCTCGATCTGTCTCCCAGGCTGGAGTGCAGTGGCACGATCTCGGCTCACTGCAACCTCCACCTCCTGGGTTCACACCATTCTCCTGCCTCAGCCTCCCGAGTAGCTGGGACTACAGGTGCCTGCCACCATGCCCGGCTAATTTTTGTTATTTTTAATAGAGTCAGGGTTTCACCATGTTAGCCAGGATGGTCTCGATCTCCTGACCTCGTGATCCGCCTGCCTTGGCCTCCCAAAGTGTTGGGATTACAGGCGTGAGCCACCGCGTCCGGCCACCAAGGACAGGTCTAAAAACTTATGAGCTGAGTGTTCTAGAAAAGGAGACCTTATTATTGTCTTAAAAAAAAAAAGGAGTGGCAACAGGATTAGAGTGGGGATCTTCCCAACACAGTAAAGATCAGAGCTAGAGACCCTCTTCTTTTCCTTCCCTCCTTAATTCTCAAGCAGTCTGGGATAAGAGGGATGAACTAAGTTCTAAACGAATGTCACTCTTTGAGGAGAAACCACAGCCCTGTGTCCTGTGACCTTCTGTGCACTAGGCATGGTAGTCTTGTTTTTACTGAGGTGATAACTAGCCGTGACAACGTAAGTGGTAAGTGTACCCCCGCCTCTTACTCCTGTGGTGGGGTTGTGCATGCAGACCAGGAGAAAGGCCCCAAGAAGTATGTCCCTGTTTTCACTGTCAGTGGTTGTGTGGACTCATACTGAATTATCTAGTGGCTAATATTTTTAAAAATAGGGGACTTGGCTGGGCGTGGTGACTCATGCCTGTAATCCCAGCACTTTGGGAGGCTGAGGTGGGTGGATCGCCTGAGGTCAAGAGTTCGAGACCAGCCTGCCCAACATGGTGAAACCTCATCTCTACTAAAAATACAAAAATCAGCTGGGTGTGGTGGTGGGCACCTGTAATCCCAGCTACTCAGGAGGCTGAGGCAGGAGAATCACTTGAACCCAGGAGGCAGAGGTTGCAGTGAGCCCAGATCACTCCACTGCACTCCAGCCTGGGCAACAGAGTGAGACTCTGTCTAATAAAAAAAAAAAGGTGGAAAAGTTAAGGACTTTCCAATGTCACTTTACTTGCTATAGCAGTGTTAGAACTGGGAATAAAGTCCCATCTTCTTTTCAGTGCACCCACTGCCTTCTGGGACACATTTTCTTGTTTTTTTGCTTCAATCCTCCTAGTGGAAGTTTACCCTCTCAGATTACAACTGATATGAACAGATCCTTAAAAACAGAACTGGCACACAGAGAACTTGATGATAAATTGGAAGATGATGCAAGCACAAGGACTGAATCCAGAAATAAATCATATCTTCACATAATGTTTATAGAAATTGCATTTTGAAAATTTTCCATAGAAATTATTTTACCCACGACAGGAATGCTACTCTCTCCCACAGGGATTTGACCAAACAGAAGGGGAAGCAGAACGGAGGAAGAGTAGTAATTTAGATTTATATACGAATTACTTGGAACCTAAGTAATAATGCTTAACTAATCACAATGTTTTATGCATTCTGCTTTTTAGCGGAAAGAGCAAACCACAAGAAAGCAAGCATATATTAGAGAATTAAAAAATGCTTCCAGGGTTTCTTAGGCTCAAAAACTTTTTTTCCCCAACTCTCTGCACTATCTAAAATATCCCATTGCACATTTCCCTCCTCCCCCTCACATGTGTTTTGTTCATTTAACCAATTTGCCAATATTTATTGAGCTCCCCCCTTTTTTTTTCTTAGTTTCCACACACAGCACTGATGAGCCTCTCTTGCATGTGCCTAGTACTGTAAGTCAGAGATGAAGATAAAGGTCTTGCCTTTAAAAAGTATAATGCCTGGTTAAAAAGTTATCCTAAGATGATTTTGGTTTTTATCATTTTTAGTTTATTCCTAGTTCTGTAAATAGATAGTTCTACAGTGAATATTTTCATTCGGATCCATTGTCTATCATTTTGCATCTTGTTCTGTGCATCTGGGGAAGGGGCTGGCGGAGGGACTGACCTTTACGGATTGGTTAAGTCATATTCCTTTGCCCTGAGGTTCATCAAATGGGAGTAATCAAAAGATCAGAAGATCAAAGGGTGAGAGGAGAGAGAGGCAGGGGTATTTATTTCCCACCCACCACCTCTCCAACACATATATACTTTGTTCTCCACACCTGCAAGCTGTGCGTTGACAATGGCTCCATTCCTCTTCTAAATGCCACAGCACCTGTTAGGTAGCCCTCTTCTGGAACTCTCTCTTGGGCTAGCAGCTGTCATACAAATCATTGCGACTGCCGATTACAAAAGAAGAAGCATATTTCTGAGAACAAGCAAAAAGTAATCCAGTTGGGAGCTAGAGGAACTGCCACAGAGAACAAAAACAGGTCAAGATATTCTTCCTACTTACCCTTCGAAAAGAGATCTGTGGAAAGCCACTTCATATTTAGGTGTCTGAGAGAGCTGCATATTCTCTGTCTTTCATAAACCGAAACCTGCTATGCTAGGATGACAAGTAGGGCCAATTTCATTTGGTTGAGCATAGCTTCCTGGAGCACAGTCTTCAGAAAAATTTTGAGGCCCATTCTCAGTACCTGCATCTCAGTATCTTCCACAGACATGGGGTCAGCAGATATACTCTAAAACGTGGATTCTGACTGTAATACCTATTTCTGTATCTCTAAATGATTGTAATCTGAGACAAGGCAGAAACGAGTGTCTTGAAATACAAGAGTTACAATGGTATCATCTAGCTCTCCTCTTTCTTTCACTCATTTTACATACAAGGAGAAAGAGGCACATACACGGAAAAAGAGGCACGTGAAGGGTAAATGGTTCAGAGATCAGTAATGTATGCAGATTTTCTCCAAGATCATGCTCAGTTCTACCTATTAAGGGAAAAAGTAAAGAAAAACATAGTTGATTGCAGTTGTTAATGCATCTGGGGAAGTCCAGTGAAATCTCACTGGCTGAAATGGAATTTGACTGAGACAGTGAGGTCAAGACCCTATTTTTAGAGGCAGAGATATCTTTTAATCATGTTTTTATAAATATCAAGATCTAAGCATTATGTTTTACTTTCAGTAGTCACACCTAGGATCATAGCATCATACTAGATAGACAGGGTGTTGGATAGGATCTAATGTAGTTTGATTACAAAGACAAACAGAAAAGAGCCTATCTAAAAGCCACTCGAGGGAGCTTTTTGGAGATCTTGTTAAAGTTCCTTTTGTAAAAGATAAGCTTTGAACGGCAAACCCTGCTCCCCCAAGTTATAAAGTAGCTGGGAGCAAAAGATGGTGATTTTAAAATAGAGTAAGTGTACAGATAGCATAAGGATCTTGTCTTTAGGACCATACCAAGTGGAAAAGATACACCATGCAAAGAGAGACAACAAAGTAAAATACACTTTCAAAAGTTGAATTTTGCTAATTTTAAAGTTGTATTTCCTCTATGGGATACATGTCCTAAGACTGATGATGAAAAATGGGGATAAGGACCATTGAAATAGTCTTACAATTCTCCCAAATTATTCTCTATTCTAGATCCATACCCAAGGGAGCAATTCTCTGCCTTCTTTAAAGACCTGTTCTCTAATGTTCAAATGGCCATTTGTAAGAGTATGGAGAGAAAACATTAAATATGAACAGGAATCCTGGGGCCTGTAACATTCCTATGTAATCAGTATTCCTCCTGGTTCTGAACACTAAGGACTCTACTTGTAATGGAGTCAGTTTTCATGCATATTATTCACTTGTGTCTGCTCTGACTCTACCCACCTTCCCCACCTTCTCTCAACTCTCATCAAAATATCTTCACTGTTGTGGGGTGGAAAATTGTCCTTAAGGCAAGAAGTTGAACCTGGCAATATAAAAAGTGTGGCCTTGACCCTTAATCTTAAGAAAAAAGTGCTCTGAGAAAAATCCCATTTTGCTATTCACATCACTTAGTCTCTTCTTGGATTTTGCCCTTTCTTCCAGAAATAAAGTGACAATGATGACTCCCTATAAAACCCTTTAAGCCTTCCCAAAGGTAAGATGAGCTTCTGATTATTGTCCTTACAGTAAGATGCTATAATTTGCTCTCTCCCAAAAACTACTAGGGAAAGACAACATCTTTTTACATTAGGGGTGGAGATGAGAGTATCAGCCTTTAAAAATAAGACATTTGCTTGTTCTGACTTTGAAACCTGACACAAGGATGTGGCTTTATGTGGAACCTTCCCCATTTGGACCCGCCCTAGCTTTAGCCTCTTCAGCTTTACTGTGGTGTCAAAGTAGAACATTCATCTGGAGATGGATTTCTTTTTTTTTTTTTTTTTGAGATGAGTTTCGCCCTTGTTGCCCAGGCTGGAGTGCAGTGGCACAATCCTGGCTCACTGCAACTGCCGCCTTCCAGTTTCGAGCGATTCTCCTGCCTCAGCCTCCCGAGTAGCTGGGATTACAGGTGCCTAGCACCATGCCTGGCTCATTTTTGTATTTTTAGTAGATGGGGTTTCACCATGTTGGCCAGGCTGGTCTCAAACTCCCGACCTCAGGTGATCCGCCCACCTCGGCTTTCCAAAGTGCTGGGATTACAGGTGTGAGCCACTGCGCCCAGCCGAAGGTTCTTCTCATTGTTGCTTTTACTTGTGTGATTTTGGTCAAGGTACTTAATATCTGTGGACAAGTTTCATTAGTTATAAAATAAGAGGAAGAACTAAAGTTAAGCCAAAGGTAAAAAAAGAATAATCATTATTACAGTTTCCCATATACTTTTATGACTCTTGGAGGTTATCTCACTCAAAAGCAGGATCTGCCTCACTTTAATTTGGGTCCTTATAATAGGTCCAGCATAAGATGGCATGGTCAGAGAACATGTACAGAGAACTATAGTCCATAATTATGAAGAGAGAGGTTTGTTTGCTTTTATTATGGAATCTCTTCTATATTTGAAAAAACATACTCAATATAAATGAAAGGTCAGGGGTGAATGAATTGTGCTTTAAGTAAGTTTTGAATACAATTGCCATCTAGTCTTTGCAGTCTGCAAAATTCTTCTTTAAGTGAATAAATGTGTAGGGCAACTCTCCATTACCTTGATCAGCATCTAATACCAACCTGACACTTAGAATTAAATTAGAGAAAGAAAATTGGATACTTTGAGACTTGAGGGCTGATTATACTGCTTGAGCTAAGAATGGATTTAAACTCTTCCCTTATCCCATTTAAATCTAACTAGGTATAAACTCTCCATTACTAAGGAATAGAGGTGTGTCTGCAGAGGTGGAGGTTCCCCTTGATGTTCTTGGACAAGGAAACCTAATCCTTTCTTCTGACACACATGGTTGCAATAGAAACCATTTCCCAACTGCCAGTCTGGTTTTAATCTGTTGTTTCTAGCAGGAGAGGATTTGCAGGGAATGTTAAGGAGAGAACAAAATTACCAGAACTTACTATAAAGTAAAAGTGTTGATGAGAAATCAAAATTTAAACAAGTGTTCAAAATTGTAAGCATGAACATATGTAGACATATAGTTCACGTTATAAGGATAGGACTATAAAACTTTTTAATCTTAGGTATGTTTAAAGTCTGCTTTCCATACAACATTTATATCTTACTTTACCAAAGTTCTTTAGCTTACTCAAATGATAGCAGTGGTAAAATACCGTCATTAAATACAGTGGTGCTTCATTTAAACACCACTGTTGGAGAATGAATTATTCCATAGGAGAATTTTCCATATAACCAACTGCATAATACACACTTTTCTTTTCTTTCTTTCTTTTTTTTGAGACAGTCTTGCTCTGTTGCCCAGTGTGGAATGCAGTGGCTTGATCTCGGCTCCCTGCAACCTCTGTCTCCCTGGTTTAAGCAACTCTCGTGTCTCAGCCTCCTGAGTAGCTGGGACTACAGGCGCACACCACCATGCCTGGGTAATTTTTGTATTTTTCGTAGACATGGGGTTTCACCATGTTGGCCAGGCTAGTCTCGAACTCCTGACCTCAAGAGATCTGCCCGCCCCAGCCTCCCAAAGTGCTGGGATTACAGGTGTGAGCCATTATGCCCAGCCCATGATATATACACACTTTTAAATGTTAACCATTTTGTATGAAAACATTTCAAAAGTGTATTGTAGGTTTTTTCTTCAAAGATACATTGAATAATATATCTTTCCCCGAGGAGTCATGGTTACCATTATTAAAAACTTATTAAAATACGTTAAATATACTGAGCTGAATATATTCCTCCTCTTAGAAGATGGTGAGCTTTGTAGTCATACTTTCCCCAACACCAAAATGCTTACTGTGAAAAAGTACAAAAGTAGACAGAACTGGTTCATTTTTAATACATCCTGTGTCTTTTCTGTTAACTGTTCCTTCTGGCTGTTAAAAGCATAACAATTGCTGACAATAAGCTGTGTAATTTGTTAAAATCCAATTTACTTTTAAAAGAGGTGCCTACTCTGCATAAGAGACTATTCTAGGTGCTGGGGGAGATGTTAGAAATATAAACTATAGTCCTTGTCCAAGAAGCAAGGCTGGCTGAGTGACACCTGAGAGTTACCAGGTCACCGCCACGGTGCAAAACACAGTTTATTACTTCTAACAAAGTCTAAAAATTAGCAAATATTTTCAATTTTAAAAATCAGGATACTAAAGTTATAAAACTTGTGGTCTTAAAGTCCCACCTTTTTTAGTGGGACTATGTCTTGGAAATACCTCCCACGGAAATATTATTGGTCATAGGAGTCTGCAGATACGACTAAGAACTACTTCTTGAAGAAATAAAGTAGGTACACCCTTTGACAGCTTTTGGTGCACCATAGTCTTATTGCTAGGTTTTATCTTGCTATCTAGATGACTAAAGATGTCAGAAAGCTAATCTTGCTAATTGCTAGGGTCATGTAATCTCATTAATAAAATATATGTAAAACACTGTACTATAATGCTTTGCTCTATGTATGAGTAAAACATGTAGGGCATTTATTAAACTGCATTTTACAAGGCATAACATATATCCCCCTTCCCCTGGCAAGGTTTGTTTCCAGGGTCTCAGTAATATCACATTCTTTGGGTTCTACAACACCTCTTGGCTCCTTTATTTCCATCATCTGGCTACTTTCACTCCACAAACTCTATCTGATGGTCTCAAGGATTTCCTTGGTTTCAATTACCATCTGTTTGGTAGTTCAAATCTCTTCTGAGCTCCAGACCCATGTATCTATTTAATGGGCATCACATTTTGGAAGTACTACAAGCACCTCAAATTTAACAGCCAAAACCAAACTGATCAGCTTTGTTGAAGACTATAACTTGATTTCCTAGTTTTTTTTTTGCCTTCATCCCTTTCCTGCTCACTTCTAAATTACACCAATTATACTTGAACTTCACCAGTACTTTGTATACCTACAAGATTATCCTATATGGTTTTAATTTACTGTTTTGTCTTACCCTGGTAGATTTCAGCTCCTTTATAGGCATCTCTTATCTCCTACCTCTCCTTGGTAATTTTCAGTAGCTGGATGAATTATAAACAAAACACATAAAGGAATTGTCATGAATTTCTTCCAGTTATATTTTTACTGAAACACTCGTTATCTGTCTGGGAGATTTTTAGGTGAATTAACAGAAGCAGAAAAACTGTATTAAACTTTCTCATAACCCCAAACAAAACAATTTCTTCCATCAGGTATAACCTTCCTGCAGCCTTCCCTAGACTAGGTTGAAACACCACAGTCATAACCACTCCTCCTTAAAACTTGCGGTGCTTGCTTCTTTAACACCTATTAAGTGTACATCATTTATTTATCCGCTACTCTATTAGACTGTACACAACTTGAAGACAAGATATGTCTTTCTCTGTACCTTCAGTGCCCAGCACATTACGGTAGGGTTCAACAAAGTTTACAGGACGAATGAAATAAGGCCACATAAGTCCAGTGCGGTGGCACATGCCTGTAATCCCAGCACTTTAGGAGGCCGAGGCAGATGGCTTGGCTTGAGCTCAGGAGTTTGAGAGAGCCTGGGCAACATGGTGAAACCCTGTCTCCACCAAAATACAAAAATTAGCCGGGCGTGGTGGCGCACCCTTGTGGTCCCAGCTACTCAGGAGGCTGAGGCAGGAGAATAGCTTGAGTCTGGGAGGTGGAGGTTGCAGTGAGCCGAGATCGCGCCATTGCACTCCAGCCTGGGCGAGAGTGAGACCTTGTCTCAAAGAAAAAAAAGGGAAATGAGGCCACACATGTCTAAAAAGACCACTTATATTACCCTCTAAGAGAACTGGGAGTTTCTAAACAAACTTTTTAAAGGTTGCCTTCACATAGCTAAGATCAGAAATGCAGCCTACTTGACTTTCTTCCAGTCTAAAGCGTTGCTACTAATAACCCCCAAGGAAATTCTCCTTCCAGGAAGGCTGAGCAGACAAGGGATCCAGGGAAAAACACTAAAGCCCCACCCCGCTCCTGTCCCCACCTGCTCGGCAAGAACTGCAGTCCGCCCGATAGCGGCTGCGCTGCGCAGCCTGGAGGCCCAAGCCGCGCCCAGCAAGCAGGAGTCGCGAGACTGGGATTGGCTCTCTGAACAGACGTCATTCCAAACAAGACGGCTCCGCCCTTCTCAAGATGGCGCTGCACTCAATGCGGAAAGCGCGTGAGCGCTGGAGCTTCATCCGGGCACTTCATAAGGGATCCGCAGCTGCTCCCGCTCTCCAGGTAACCAAAGACGGCCCTTCCCTCCGCGGCTTCCCATCCCGCGAGGTTCTTCTCATCCCACTGCCCTCTATTTATTTCTCTCCTCCCGCTTCTTAGGGAAAGTACATGCCTTCCCTCGCCTAAGGTCTACTCGTCTATGACTGTCGGCCTGCTCAGAGCGTAGTGACGTTGCAAGGATACGTGATGACGTAAAGGTTTCTTGGTGGAAAAAGCGCGCCGCTTTCTGACCTCTTGCCGCCACCTCCAGTTCTGGGAGCGGAGCGCCGCCGCTGTTGCCGGGCAACGCGGTGAGCCTACCCCGCGTGTGATGTTTTCAGAGACGGGTTGTTTTAGAGACTGCTCTTCTTGTGGTCTTATTACTGTTTTTACCCTCCTTACCCTAACAACACGCTAAGGGGCTATCGGAGAGAGTAGAGAAGTTTTGTTAGGCATTGGGCAGCTTGGGTCGGGGCAGCAGGTTGGCAGTGTGGTACTTGAGCAAGTGTCAGTGCATCTTCCATTCTGGTTGCTCCTGGTGGCTCCACAGCACTGCTCTATCTAGCAGGCTGTGAAAGAGTGACCGCAAGCTGCTACAGAGTTTGTCCTGTCCTGCGCTTGACAACACTGCTGTTACCATTAATCTCGTCGTACGGAGACCATGTCGCGGCCTGGTCTTATTGGGAATTGTCTTAAATATTTGGAATTTTACCCTCATAGCAAAAAAGTCAGGGGGAGGGGATACCCTTTCAGTTATTCAGGATTTTACCAAACGTCTTCCAAGTACAGTCTCAGTGGCAAGCACTTTGACATACTTTATCTACGGGAGATATATTCTGGGAACTAGAGAGAAAGGAGAGAATGTGATTTTATTAGGTAATTTCCCGGCATCATTTGCATATGTATTGCCATAATGAGTAGGTGTGAGGATGTCGCACCTATTGTAACTGTTGTGTTGAAAACAGCGCTAGACAGGAAGGTAGCCTAGAGGTCAAGGGTTTGGTCTGCCACTTGACAGCTGTGTGACAAGTCACAATCTCTCTGGGACTTTTCTTCTTTTTTTGCTCATATTGAGTGGAGGAAGAGAGCTGGACTGATTGACACGTTAATGTTCTTTCAACCTCTGGAAAATCTATAGTTCCATGATTATGAAGCCAAAACAAAGCCAATGAGAGTAATTATGAAAACCAAAATTTAAGTTCAACTTATTTTTCTAGTCATGTCATAAATTTTTTGAACTTCCGTTTTTTATTAATGTGAGCCTCACAAAATTCTTATAAGCTAATATATTAATATATACCGGAAAGCTGCTTGTCAGCAAACAACTATTCAAATGTCACCTTAAATTTCAGCAGCAATGTTAGGTAAGACAATTCAAAATTAGATAAATTTATCAAAAATTCCTCTCCTTGAAATTTGAGGGTTTGATTCTGCAGAACTAGAATGAGATGATTATTTATAATTTATAGCACATTAACACCTATGCTATCAAAGTAGCTAAGCCGTAGACCCAAACTTCCCCTTATTCCAAACTAAAGAATTGAAGATGTCTTGAGAATAGAGAATCAAAGAGAGAGAGAAAAAAAAGACAAACTGCAGCCTGCTAATGACTGCCCAGGGAAGTTTAAGACACTAAGTCATTATAAATGCTAAAGAAAAAATTTCTTAAACCTCTACTATTGTTTCAGTGGCATTTATGAATAGGGCTATTAAAGTTAATTATTAATCTAGATTGTTTCAAGATGTAGAATTTCCAGTACCGATGAATGTTTCTAAACCTTTAATTTAGCTTTGAGTAGAATAAGTATTAAATGTGAGAGTATTTTTTTAAAGTATAAATCTACATATAATTTCAGTCATTGAAAATGATGGTTTGAAAGATTAATGTGGTTTTTTGAAAGACTGAGAAAAGATACAAAATTGTGTTCATAGTGTTATTACGATGTTATGTTTATATATAAGTGTTTATATAAACGTATACATAGAAAAAAAGCCTGGAAGGGAACAAACATTTTTAACTTTTTTATTTTGCTTTGGCCTTCCTAAATAGTGGGTTAAAAGTTATTTGTTTCCTTTTATAGCATTACATATTTTTCACATGTCTAAATTGAAGACACACACTTTTTAATAACCAGAAAAACGTTTTGAAATCATAAATCTTTATACAGATCTTTAGTCATTAATATCATTTGTGATATTTTAGGATTCTGAGGAAGATACTTGTCCCACAATGCTGTTATTAAAATGGCCTTAGAAAAGGACTACTAAAAATTTATGGCCACTTTTCCTGTATGTATCTTCTTTTTCTCTTGAAAAGCTTCCTTTGAAGTCAAAGGGATTTTGTGAACAGATGCAGAAATATGTGAAAGAGGCATTGGATTCTTAAACCAGATGCATTAGACATTTTTATGATATCTCATAACCTTTGTAGAAAAAAATTATTTTGCAAGAGTATAGTATAATGGGAAAAAATGTATATTTATCATATGAATGGTTCCATCAAAAACCAAGAAATAGCCAAGTTAGTTTTTATTAGCCTTGGCTGTGCACTTACTCCCTTAGGTGTAAAGCAAAAGTGAATGAGCCATAACAGTGCTATGTTAGAAACTCTAACTAATAAAGTGTTGTGATTCCTAAGTTGTTTTAATGGTTTTTAGTGTTTTCTTTTTTTAAAACAAAATCTTGGGTAAAAATGTTGGCATAGGGCATCTTTGCTTATCTCAGAGGATGCAGATGTAAACTCAAGTTGAAAATAAAACAGGGAGAAACAGGAATAACAGCACATCACTCCATACTCATTATGGGATGTCTACAATTTATATGAAAACGGTTTATTTTGCCAGGTGTTGCCTGACAGAAAACTGTTGAAATCTGACAAGATGAGCGTAGTCATAAAGTCAGAGGAGTTAAGATCTGACATGTTCTGTTTAAATGTTGATGGTATTAGGTAAATTTAAGCCTGTCATCATTGGCCAAACACAGAATCCATACTTCTTTAAGCACTAAGTCATGATTGTATTGTGCAAAGAGTGAAATATTGATGGTTAGTAGATTTTTGCAAAAGTATTTGTTATTCAGTTGAAGTATGATAAAGTGTCCACATTTTATTGCAGTTGAACATGTTTCATTATTAGCGGTTCCTAGTCTGGGTTTGGCCAGTATTCACATAATGTTCTTGCTGTTAACTATCGCTAAGTATAGCCATTAGATGAAGAATTACGCCTAAAAAGAAAAAAAGCGTGGTTTAAAATTTTTGACCCTGTATTTAATTCTCACAAGATTTAAATTTTTTTAATTTTAAAATAATTTTAGATTTACAGAGTTGCAAAATTAGTACAGAGAATTTCTGTATACCCTTCACCAAGCTTTGTCTTGAATAATCATAATACAGTTATCAAAATCAAGAAATTAATATTGGTACAATAATAGTAATTTAGCTACAGACTTAGTTCAAATTTCACTAGTTTTTTCACTGTCCCTTTCCTTAGTCCAAGATCAAATCCAGGGTCCCACAATGCATTTAGCTTTCATGTCTCTTCTAATGCATACATTTTCTCCTTCATGACCTTGGCACTTTTGAAGAGAACCAGTCAGTTATTTTGTAGAATGTCTCTCAGTTTAGGTTTGTCTGATTTTTCTTTGTGTTTAGACTGAGGTTATGGATTTTTGGCAAGAATACCACGAAGAGATATTGTTCATAACAAGGCCTTGAGGCAGGTATTGCCACCTTATTTCAAACGTGAAGAAATAGTCTTTGGTTAAGTAACTTGCCCAATGTCACACAATGGTGGAATTAGGATCGTAAGATTTAATGTAGGCATTTCATTCCATATTTTGCAATTAGTATTTGTTATTGTAGGTTTCTGGAATGTTAATGACATTAAATTGGCATAGTGTTCCCACTGACTTTTAGCTTTTCTCTGCCATGTATTGTTCATGCAACATGCAACATGAGCTAATCAGCATGGTATGTGTTCAAGAGCTACTACAATCATCTGGGAATTTTGCTAGTTGATTACTCTGCCAGTTTGATGAGGTTACTTCATCTCTCATGGCAAAAAAAGGTGTTGCGTGGATCCACTCTAAAGCTCCTTTTAATCTCAGTCGGTGAGTCTTATTTGTTTAAAGTGCTTTTGTGGTTGGTTGCTTTTGTGAACTGACCTAGTTTATTAAAATGATAATAATATTTAAATTCTTTGCAATATAGCTTTGAGGAGCTAATGAAAACTACTGATAGTAACTGTTGAAAATATAGAGGAAGGAAGAACTGTAGCTGAATGCTGAGGATTTATGCTAGCAGATAGTACGGCAGCCATGGCCTGGAAATGCTGAAGAGAGTGATGCTGCTGACCTCCAAATTCTTGCTCAGTATATCTTTCGAATGACTGCAAGTTACAGAAGAGCTGTCTGCAGAAGCTTCTACAACTATATGTACACACACACACACACACAGACAAATATATATTTTTTATACAAATTTATTTATTTATTTATTTAAACATCTATTGGCCAAGCACGGTGGCTGACGCCTGTAATCCCAGCACTTTGGGAGGCCGAAGCAGGTGTATTTCTTGAGCTTAGGAATTTCAGACCAACCTGGGCAACATAGTGAGACCTTGTCTCTATAAAAAATTCAAAAAATTAGCTGGGCTTAGTGGCATATGCCTGTAGTCCCAGCTAGTCAGGAGACTGAGGTAGGAGAATCACCTGAGCCCAGGAAGGCTTCAGTGAGCAGCGATTGTGCCACTACACAGTTAAGATCCTGTCTGAAAAACCAACAAACAAAAAAACCCCAAAACCCATCTCTCTCTCTCTCTCTATCTCTCTATCTATCTATCTATCTATCTATCTATCTATCTATCTGTCTATCTAATCTATCTATCTCTATATTCCATGTCTTTCAGAAAAGGAACTAACAGCTAGTGCCTGCTATGTGCTAAAGTCTCATGGTATGTGTTTTACATACTTTATCTTATTTACTTCATACAACAATTTGTAAATATTATTCATCCCATTTTATAAAAGAGGAAACTAAGATTCAGAGAGTTTAGGTAATTTTCCCAAGTCACAGAGTAAGTAAATAGCAGTGACACAGTTCAAACCTAGTCTTGCCTATGCTTTTCCCACCTTACCAGTAGTCTTTTATCAAATGAAATCTTACATGAATCCCTGTTATATAAAACAGATAAAAGCAAAGCTTTTCTGATTTAAGAAGCAGAGGAGTATTTTTAGCCCTGCTTGTTTGATTTCCCTCTCCCCCATTACCCGCCCCACTCCACAACCCAGGGGCTCCTGAGACAGTGCCACACAATTTTGGATTTCTTAAGATGTAGTTTGAAAAATACTGCAGCTTCCATAAATATCTAAGTAAGTTTGTTGATCAGGACCACATATGATGGATGGATTATTTTTAAGGAGCTGCACCGTAAATGAGTGGTTTGAGAGTATTTACTTTGATGTGTATATATTTTATAACTACAATACAGTATTCTATTGATCTTAAGCTACATAAGAGTACATGAGATAATAGCAGTCAAACAACTTTCTTTCCTTTTCTTGCCTTCTTTCTTTTTTACAGCTTACTGCTGCCAAACATGCTGATCTTTGTGCCCAAAGATAATGCTTTGGATTCAGTCTGTCACTGTTGTAACTAACCTAGCCTCTAGCCTCCTCACAGAGAACACTTACTCTAGTTCTTTTCTTGACTCTATTCTAATACCACCATTCAAGAGTTCAAGAGTTTCTCTTCTGAAGATTACAATATGAGGCCTAAATCTTTCTCCTAAATTTCAACAGAGAAATTTACTCCTTTAGGGTAGAAGCTGCTCAGCCACACTGTGAGACCCTAGATGCCTAGAGATAATTTATAGGCACAGAGATGATATGCTGACTCCAGCTTGACTTAATTTAACTCTGCTCAGGCATTTAGTTTTCTCTCTCTACCATTTCTTGACAATATTCTATCTTTTTTTTCTCCAGTTCAGAGGCTTCACAGATTTCCTGAACTTCTCTGCTTACTGAGCATAGCAAGGTCATTTATAGGTCCTTGCACTGACCCATCACCTGAGTTCTGTTAGGTTTCTACTCATTAACCAAAATTCATCTGTAGCTTTCTTTTTTTCTTGCCACACAGTCTTCTGTTTTTTTTCTAGAGCTACTGCTCCATTTCTAATTGAGAAAGTTCTAATTGAACCGACTTCTGGTTGACTAAAGAACTGTTTTTTGTTTTTGTCTTTGTTTTTTTTTTTTTTTTTTTTTTGCCCCTTTGCCTCCTAAAAAGCAGAGTGAAGCCAATCTGATTTTTAATTCATGGATATTCTTACAACTTCCACTTCTACATCTTTTGCATTCTTTGTGGATGCACCAAACAGCATGCAAGAATGTCAGTTTCTCCTTCACATTCTTATCTTCATGTTCTGATTGTGACTCACTGAGGATGGAGCCCTGAATGACCTTGGTTAGGTTGCTTATTATCCCATTTTCTTGAGATGATAGGTGTAGATTTTTCAGTAAGGTAGTTGAAAGTATAAAATAAAATAACATTTACCTTGTAAAACATTTTAAAGTGGAATCTATTCTCTTTAATAATATCCTATTTTAATACAGCATTTTGTAGTTTTTCAGAATGCTTCACATTCTCATTTACTCTTGAATACAATATACAAAGTTCCTCTATTTAGCCATCAAAAATTTTTACTCGTTGATTAAACTTTTATTGTGCCTTCCCATTTTTTTTAACCAGTTTTGCAAGATGATGAATATAAAGTAAATATCAGTGTTCTTTCAAGTTTTACTTCAGTGACTGTTATCCTATTTGTACTAAAATTAGTTTAATGTTTAATTCATTTTTGGGCCCTGGTCTGATAGTACCATGATAATTTCAGTTATTACTAAACATGATGATAATGGAGGTGGTGGTGATAATAGCAAACATTCATTGGATGCTTACTATGTGCCAAGCATGGTTTTAAGTATTTGACATTCATTAACTCATTTAATCCTCATAACTCAATAAGGTAGGTGCTATTAGCCCTATTTTATAGATGACGATGTTGGGAGGTTAAATAACTAACCTAAGGTTACATAGCTAGCAAGTGTCAGAACCAAAATGTAAACCCAGCTAGCCTGATTCCAAACCCTGTGCACTAACTACAATGATGATAAATTCTGAAGCAAAGTACACATGTTAATTTGCTGATAACTGCCTTGTAACTTTTAAATCTGTTCTATGAAAGTCACTTATATATCTTGCCATGGTGACATGTAGAGTAGAAATTATAAATCATCCTTTGTTGTTGCTATTCTTACAGTCTTGTTTCGCTCAATGAATTATGAGGAAGAAGCAAAGCTGTCTTGTAAATTTATCTCCATGTCTCTATTTGGCTACTACCACTAGGATTACCTTGTATAAAATAAGGGCTTTTAACACATGAGTCCCAAGGTGCATGTAGGAAGTTCTGTTTATACACAGTCTATAGCTAAAAGGGCAACCTGCACAGAGCCCTGCAGGTAGAGGAGAGGTGGTGAGAGCTAAAGTTGATGGCTGACCAAGGGACCACTATCTAGGGTCTAGTTGGGATTTATGGCTAGAGTGCTTTCTTCAAGAAGTGGCAGAAGTACAGTCAGAAGGTGGGAAGTAAGAAAATAGTGTTGTGGGCCATTTCTGCAAGGGACAAGGAAGAATTTGATTCTGAAAGATTGTCCTTTGAAGGAGTTCTTAAAGAGGTCTATAATTCATTAATTATAGAGTATTAAGGTGAGTATATTAGTATATTAATTAGAATGGTGATGAGGCTTTAAAATTAGCAATATTGAACAGAATTCATTTTATACATCAAACAAAGGGCTTCTCATGAACTTTTTGTCACACTCCTCATGAACAGAGACTTTGCATGGAGTGTTCAACTTTATTATATGAATAAAGCCTACTCTTTATTCACCACGTTACTTTGGACCCCTTTTGGGAAGCAGGAGAATATAATAGTGAAGGGAAATGGAGCTGTTTACTCAAATCGCAGATTTGGATTCCTGTCCTCCCATGGGGAGAATGGTCTGAGCAGCCAGTTCATAAATTTGCTGGAAAAGAGAAGAGGCTTCTTGGGCTGAGGGTAAGTGTGCAGTGCGAAGTTGGAGTCCCAAGGGAGATGTAAAGGACCAGACTGTGTGGAACTCTTGCCAGTCCTGGGGAGAGAGTCAGATTGGCCCACCGACTGGCTACTAGCTACCTGGCAAACTTTGGCTTTTCCCATGGCTGGCAACCTTCCAGCTACTCCCATGCCACTAAGCTATGAGACATCCAGACTCAATAAGTTGACTGGCTCTTCATTAAGAGGAAGTGGGGGAAAGTAGACCATGCATGACTATTTGGATCAGCCAGGCCTGGCTCTACCACCACATTTTAAATGTGATTCCAGGCAGTTTTTTGACTTCACTAAACCTCAGTTGTCTCATGTGCAACATGTTAATAATACTCCTCACATTGTAAGAATTTTATGTAGATTTGAAATCCTACCATATATAAAGTTCCTTGGCCACTGCACAGCACCTGGTAGGTCCTCCCTGCTTGATGATGACTTCTTCAATAATATATAATTCTATCCAACAACCTTTCTCTCTTTTACTCTTATCACTCTTAGTAGGATTCTTTCCATTGCCATACTATTCTTCCCGCCCCCCACCACACCCCCTAGAATCAGTCTGACTTTGTTAATCTCCCAAAAGCAGAGCTCTAATTATGTTGTTCCCTTGCTGAGAAGCCTGTGGGGGCTTCTCATAAAGTCCAGACTTCCCACAGAACGTTTAAAACTTTGTACAGTCCGGGCCGGCGCTGTGGCTCACGCCTGTAATCCCAGCACTTTGGGAGGCCGAGGCGGGCAGATCACGAGGTCAGGAGATCAAGACCATCCTGGCTAACACGGTGAAACCTCATCTCTACTAAAAACAAACAAATTAGCCGGGCGTGGTGGCGGGCGCCTGCAGTCCCAGCTACTCGGGAGGCTGAGGCAGGAGAATGATGTGAACCCGGGAGGCGGAGCTTGCAGTGAGCCGAGATCGCGCCACTGCACTCCAGCCTGGGTGACACGAGTGAGACTACGTCTCAAAAAAAAAAAAAACAAAAAACAAAAAACTTTGCACAGTCCGGATCCAAAATACCTCTCTAGACCATTGCTATCTTACATAGATCCTTTGCCCTAGAGTTCACAAAATTTCCAAGTTTCCTCGGAGCTACTCCCTTTTACTTCCTTATTAATGCCATTACCTCTTCTTGGAAAGGCCTTTCTTCCTATCCTTATCTGTCTGTACTCTATCATTCTTTAAAAACAAAACAGAAATATGTACAGCTTTTTGCAATGTCAATTATACCACAATAAAGTGTTTTAAAACAAACAGCAACAACCAAAAAACCTCAGATATCGGTTCCAAAAACTTTGTTCTTAAGCTGGAAATGATTGCTTCCATTTTGAAATTTTATAGGACATTGTATCTCTCTTATAGAAAAAAATACATCCTTTATATTCTGTCTCTGTTTTTAGACATTTGCTTTAAGATAGATGGAAGAGCATGCTCTTTTTCATTTAGACCTTTTGTGAATACCTCAGCAGAAAACAGTTTAGTATGCACCATACCACAGGTGCAGCATAAGCTGCTACTCAACAGGCAGACCTCACCAGGCAGTATGTTTCTAGAGGCCACCACCAGTCATGAAAGACAGGAAGATTTGCCTGTTGAGCCGTGGCTGTGATAACTATGTGTGTGAGAAAATGAGTTATTATAATAAAGATTTAATTCTTAAATCTTTGGCATAATAACTCCTGTTACAGAAGGAGCTCAATAAGTATTTAATGAGTGAATGAATTCAGTGAAAAAAAATCAGTGAGACAACACATGAGACAGTGCATAGCATTGTCATCAAGGAGATTGTTGAACTTAAACCATACATTTTTGTGTGCATTTTTATTTATTTAATTACAAAAGTTGTGTAATGTTTGTTGCAGTTAATAAGTGATCTTATTATTGCCCAAAGTATCCACATGTTTATAAATGATTGGAAGGTCATACCAATTTTATTTCAACAATTTTCTGAGAGGGTATGAATTTCAAACTTGTCGCTTAACTGACTTTTATTGTCACTCTGGCCCTAATTGTATTTTTCACAGGTACCACTAATTATACTAGGATTTGCCACCTCTTTATATTATACTGAGGTTTGTTACATCTGTATATAGAAAAGTGTAGACATACTCAAGATTGAGATGAAAAGATTTTATTTTGAGTATGGTTTTGTCTCAAAGGACTGTCTAGTTCAATAAGTGTGCCATATTATCTATACAACAACTGATGTGGTTTTTGCTTTTATAATCAAGAGTATGCTTTCTTCAACTTATAAAGGAAATAAAAAGCTCATTTATTGTATTGACATTGCCTTTTTTTTTTTCTCATTTACCCACCTTAAGTCCCATTTAAGCAACCTGTCAAACCATGCCTAGCACTTTTGCTCTGTAGATCTTGGTATGCCCTGCATAGATGGAGAGAACAGCCCTAGGTCTCACTGCACCGTTACACGATGTAGACAGGCCATTTGTAAGCTAATGCAACTTCATTTTTCTTTGCACCTTGATAAATGCAGAGAAATGTGATTCAAGCAGATTTTATATCTATATAGCCAAGGTTGTGCAAAGAATTTATATTTTCTTCTTTTAAAGTGGCCAGTGATATTATAGTAGTTGGTCAGGAAAGCTTTATTGCAATGCTTGCTTACCAAATTGTCATTACATGTTTAATAAAACCTTTAATTGTGCTATATCATATCTGTTAGAGAGAATGGGATTTATTTTATTTTATTTTTTTTTTATTTTTATTTTTTGAGATAGAGTATCACTCTGTTGCCCAGGCTGGAGTGCAGTGGTGCAGTCATAGCTCACTGCAGCCTTGATGTCCTGGACTCAAGCGATCCTCCTTGTGATACTCAGCTTCCTGCGTAGCTGGGGCTACAGGCACAAACCACCACATTTGGCTGATTTTTTTGTTTTTTATTAAACACAAGGTCTCACTATGCTGTCCAGTCTGATCTCGAACTCCTGGGCTCAAATGGTGTTCCTGCCTCAGCCTCCCAAAGTGTTGAGATTACAGGTGTGAACCACTCTGCCTGGCCAAGAGGACGGGTTTGATTGTGGCATCTTTCTGGTAAATCTATGTCTAACTGTATTCAAGCTGCTATAACAATATACCATAGACTGGGTATCATAAACAACAGACATTTATTTGTCACAGTTCTGGAGGCTGGGAAGTCCAAGATCAAGGTGCTGACACATCCACGTCTGGTGAGGGCTTCCTTCCTAGTTCATTCTCTGAGATCTCTTTTATGAGGGCACTGATCACCTCCCAAAAGCCGCACCTCCTAATGCCATTACATTGGGAATTAGGTTCCAAAATATGAATTTTGGGAGGACACAAACATTCTCTTGCAGTCTGTGACTACAGTGGCCAGACATCTTGTAAAATCCAGAACCAGTTATACTTTATAACCATAAATCTTTAAAGTGTCTTTGAAATTTCAGTGTTTCAGCATCCACATGACATCTCCTGCACCATTTCTAACATTCTAAAATAGAACAAAACTTCTTTAGCAGACCATATTTCCTTAATTTTGATTGAGAATATATGAACATATCTATGACTAAAATAGAGACACAGCTTGCCCTCTTGTCTTTCTTTTCCATCTAACTAGCAGGGTTTTTGGTCAGGCTTCCATGACACCTGTCTTTTTGAAAGTCAGATGCTTACCAACCATGTGGATATAAAGTCAGCCAGTTTCCATTTTGACCACAAGTTAGAAGGAATGGGGAACGAGAGGGGTGGCTCTTCAAAAAGGAGTAACAAAGCCATGACCACTGATGGGATTACTGTCAGCTGAATACCATTTAAATTGCATTTTCTGCAGGGAGATCATTAAGAATAAAGCATGTATATTGTGGGGGGCGCAGGGTGGGGGTGGGAGTGGGTGGGTGGTGGGGAATGTTAAATCAAGCTTTTTTAAACTTCTCTCAGTTCAAACCCTGGGGAAAAGACCAGAGTTGAGGAATTAAAAAAGGGAGACAGAGATGGCAGAAGAATCATTAGAGTGTAGATCTAAGGATTCCGAGGGTGTAGAGAATGTCAGGAAGAAGAAATGAAGAGCAAGATAGTGACATGGTAAGATAAAGACTAAAAATTATCCATTAGAATTTAGCCTATAATCCCAGCACTTTGGGAGGCTGAGGTGAGTGGATCACCTGAGGAGTTTGAGACAAGCCTGGCCAACATAGTGAAACACGATCTGTACTAAAAAATACAAAAATTACAGGCCAGTGGTTGTGGGGGCCTATAATCCCAGCTTCTCGAGAAGCTGAGGTAGGATAATAGCTTGAACCCAGGAGGCGGAGGTTGCAGTGAGCCAAGATTGCACCACTGCACTCCAGCCTGGGCAACAGAGCAAGACTCCATCTCAAAAGAAAAAGTTAAAAAATTTTAAAAAAAAGAATTTACAGTTGGTATTATCACTAAAGACATTAGCAACAAAAGCTTTAGAAGAGTTATTAGTGCAGAAGGTTAGTTACAATGAGAGAAGAGGTGAGAAAATGAGTTTTGCTCTTTTGACGATCCCAATTGAGAAGGGAGTGAGCATGTAAAGGGAGCTATAAAGAATGGCCTTACCAAAATTTTCTTGAAGGTAAGGTCTTTTGGGATGAAAGAAACTTGAACATGACCATTAGAGCAAGTAAAGATAGAGAGATTGACAATACAGGAAAGAGATGGAAAGAAATGGGAAAAAATGTAGTCCAGAGCAAATGATTGAACACTAGGAGAGTGAGAGAAAGGTAGAGGTAGGTGTGGGTCTAGGTAAGTTTGCTGAGAATAGTGTGGGAAATCGAGGAGCTCCAAACCCTGTTGAGCATCATTCTCTCAGATGGCTTTAGACCTGAGGAGATGGTATAGGTTAGTGGGTTTGTATATGGGTTCTGCAATTTGTCTCCTTGCATTCAAACCAAAGTTCTTCCACTCAATAAATGGGTATCCTTGAGCAAGTTACTGAGCCTCTCTGTACCTCATTTTCATTTATAACATCGATAAGAACATCGAGATAAAAGCTTGAGCTAGACTGCCAGGATTTGGAGCTAGTAAGCTCTACTGCTTACTGGCAGTGTGACCTTGTGCAGTCGCTTGATTTTTCTGTGCCTTAATTTTTTTTCATCTGTAAAACAGAGACAGTAATAGTATCTATCTCAGTTTTTGGCTCTGAGCAGCACCATGGAGGTTGGCAAGAACAAGCGCCTTATGAAAGGCGGCAAAAAGGGAGCCAAGAAGAAAGTGGTCGATCCATTTTCGAAGAAGGATTGGTATGATGTGAAAGCACTTGCTATGTTCAATATAAGAAATACTGGAAAGATGCTAGTCACCAGGACCCAAGGAATCAAAATTGCATCTGATGGCTTTGAGGGTTGTGTGCTTGAAGTGAGTCTTACTGATTTGCAGAATGATGAAGTTGCATTTAGAAAATTCAAGCTGATTACTGAAGATGTTTAGGGCAAAAACTGCCTAACTTCCATGGCATGGATCTTACCCATGACAAAATGTGTTCCATGATCAAAAAATGGCAGACAATGATTGCTTCATCTGTTCTGTGTTGGTTTTACTAAAAAATGCAACAATCAGGTACGGAAGACCTCTTATGCTCAGCACCAACAGGTCCTCCAAATCTGGAAGAAGATGATGGAAATCATGACCTGAGAGGTACAGACAAATGACTGGAAAGAGGTGGTCAATAAGTTGATTCCAGACAGTATTGGAAAAGACATAGAAAAGGCTTGCCAATCTATTTATCCTCTCTGTGATGTCTTCGTTAGAAAAGTAAAAATGCTGAGGAAGCCCTAGTTTGAATTGGGAAAACTTATGGAGCTTCGTGGTGAAGGTAATAGTTTTGGAAAAGCCACTGGGGACAAGACAGGTGCTAAAGTTGAACGAACTGATGGATATGAACCACTAGTCCAAGAATCTGTCTGAAGTTCAGACTTTTAATAGTGGCAAATAAAAAGTCCTATTTGTGAAAAAAAAAAAAAAAATAGTATCTACCTCAGAGTGTTACCATGAGTGTGAGAATTCAATCAATTAATATTTGTAACGATGTAGAACAGTGCTAGGCACACTGTAGGTATTATGTAAGTTTTTAAAAAGGGTTTTATAAGCAGGGTTGAGAGCTTAATTGAAATTAGAAATTGTAAATTAGATTTGAAACAAAATTCTGCATTATTTTGAGATTTTTTTTTTTTTTTTTCAAAACTGCTCAGCTATTAAGGGGTATAAGTGAAGAATGAGTTCTTTAGCCTTGATCCAGGATTGGAGTTTTTGTCTTGGCTATTGGGACACTATGGCAAGGGGAGTTGAGGTTGCTCGGGAGAACATAGTCCAAGTGATGACCATGGGGCCAGGCTGGGTAGGGAAGAAGAGAAGACAGGTAGGGAGTGCTGTATCAGCAAAAAATGGAAAAATCAAAGTCTGTAATTTCTAAATAAGCTTGAAGATACAGTGGGAATTAAAGGATGAAAGAGTTAAAAGGTAGAAGGTTGCAGACTGAGTAGAATATTGACATTTATGATTTCAAAAATGGAGAAATTCTGTGTGATGGCAAGGCCCAGGGTATAACATGAGAATAAAGGATTGAGGTTGAGGAGATCCAACAAATGTATTGAATGCTAGTGTATTGGATGGGTAGTCTACCTGATAATTGAACTCTCTTGGAGAACAGAATTTGACTCAGAGAGACAGCCAGCTTCCTAATCCTTTAATCAGTTTAGAAGAGTATTCAAGAGGTGGAAAGATAATAACAGAGGCCTGAATAAGTGTAAATATCTACTCTCCTCTCATTTATGTAGTCATGTAAAATTTTTTGGACCCATTGTCTCCTGAATGATTAAAAGACCCTGTTCAGTGGAGGATTATTTGAATATGTCACCTGGTGAATTCTGTCCTCATCTCTAATTCATGAGAGTAATAAGGTTGTGAGTATTTTATAGTATTGATTCATTCAACAAATATTTATTGAGTACTTATTATATGGTAGATATTGGAGATAGACTAGTGCAAAGCAGAAATCTTAAATTCTAGTAGGAGAGACAGGCAACAAGTAATTAAGATATATAGTATGTTAGATAATAGTGATATGGAGAATAAAACAAAACAAAGCAGGAATCAGGAGGTGGGGACTGCCAAAGGGTATCACAGTTGTAAATTAGGTGGTCAGCAGAGGACCCCAAGAAGGTGACTTTTAATGGAAGACCTGAAGGTGGTGAGAACATGTACAAAGTAGACATCTGAGGGAAGAGGATGCCAGGAAGAGGAAAGAAGAATGGAAAAGCCATGAGGTGGGGGCTAAACTGTCATGTTTGAAGACCAGCATAGAGGCCAGTATGGCTGCAGGAGAGTGAGCATTTTCTGTAACAAATACTATATAGCACTTACTATGTGTTGGATACTTTTCTAAATACTTCACAAGCATTAACTCATTTAATTCTTGTAACAGCCCTATAAGACAGTACAGATGAGAATCTGTGAAACAGATGTTAAGTAACTTGTCACACAAGCAACAGAATGCACACAGCTAACAACGGTGAAGAGCCAGGGCCTTAACCTTGGGGTGGTTTGCATTATGCTGTTTATTATAGTAATAGTATACGAAGTCACATGGCTAACAGGAGGGTGGACGTGGGGAGGTCAGTTGTATAGTACCTTAGAATAAATTGTAAAGACTTTGGCTTTTTCTGGGATTAAACTGGGAAGTCATGGGAAGGTTTTGTGTGGGAGAATAACCTGATCTGATGTAAGTTTTAAAGTCTCACTCTGGTTATCATGTTAAAAATAGAATATAGAGGAACAAGAATAGAAGCAAGGAGACCAAGTAAGAGGCTACAGGATTCAAGCAAGAGATGATGGTGGCTTGGACTACGGTGAGTGGTGAAGATGGTTTCATGAGGCATGATCAGGTTCTGGATATTTATTTTATTTTTATATTTTATTTCATGTCATTTCATTTCATTTCATTTCATTCCAATTTTTGAGACAGAGCCTCACTCTGTCACCCAGGCTGGAGTGCAGTGGCACTATCTCGGCTCACTGCAACCTCCACTTCCTGGGTTCAAGCGATTCTCCTGCCTCAGCATTCCAAGTAGCTGGGACTACAGGCGCACACCATACCTGGCTAATTTTTGTATTTTTAGTAGAGACAGGGTTTCACTATGTTGGTCAGGCTGGTCTCGAAATCCTGAGCTCAAGTGATCTGCCCACCTTGGCCTCCCAAAGTGTTGGGATTACAGGCATGAGCCACCATACCTGGCCATGGATATTTATTTTAAAGGTAGAGCAAATAAGATTTTCTGACTAATTAGATGGAGGATGAAAGAAACAAAAGAGTCAATGATGATTCCAAAGTTTCTGGCCAGAGCAACTGGAAGAATGAATTTGCAATTTACTGAGACACAAAATAATGCAACAGTAACACGATTTTGGGAGGGAAGATCAGGGGTTATCAGGAGTTAAGTTTTAGGCAAATTGAGTTTAGATGCTTCGTGAACATATAAGTGGAAATGTCAGGTAGGCAGTTAGATATGTGAGACCAAAGCTCAGGAGAGAGGTATAGATGGAGATGTACATTTGAGAGTTCTCAGTATAGACTGTGCTGAAAGCCTTGAGATAGGGTGTAATTATCTGTGCAGTAGGTTTAGAAAGAAGAGAAGAGAGGAGAGGAGGGGAAGGAGGGAGGGGAGGGGTGGTTCAAGTACTAAGCCTGTGAACATTCCAACATTAAGAGGTTGGGATGATGAGAACCAGACAAGATAGTATTATCCAGATAGGTAAAAGATGAGGAGGAAGTGGTAACATGCTGGAAGCCAAGTTAGGAAAATGTTTTATAGACTAACATTAACGTGTGTGTGTGTGTGTGTGTTTGCATGCACACAAGTGCATGCTCTTGCACACAGTCAAAAACACCCTCCCCTCCCTGACACACACATATCTTATATGTACATGGAATGATAAGGAGTATCAACTACTTTTCTTCACTGATTAACATAGTCTCTACTTGCAGGCAGATTTAATTGGGAAGCCAAATTATTAAGTAAGATAGCTTGATGGGTATGGAATCAGAGCAAAGGGAGTTCATTAAAGCACCTCATTGGCTAGGGTAATCAAGCTATCATTACCCAAAGATCCATCTCCAGTATGGGACACACGTGTTCCTTGGGCAACACATTGCTGGCCTGTGCCATAGTGCCAATTGACTTGGGCAGTTCTTTAAAACACAAGGCCAGAGTTTTCCCAGTAGAGCTTCTTTTTTAAAGTTTCCACCCTTCAAGGGAACATATTCTTTCTTTAGATATGTTAATGTGCCTAACTTTGTTTCTATAAGTGTATTAAGTCTTGTCCTCAGAGTTCTTAACACTTTTTGATGAGGAAGGGTGTGGTCACTATTTCCTTTGATTAAAATGTGGATCTTCTATCTTGAAAAATGCGTATATGCATTCTCAAAACTGTATACAGTTTCACAAGTTAATAAACCCAAGTTAAGAACTCCTACATTTTTTTCCTATCCTCAGAGAGCTGATTTTTTCTTCTCAATTTCTCTTACTTTTCTTTTTTTTCTCCATCACCCGCCTCACACCCATTTCCCCAAGTCCCCAGAGTCCATTCTATCATTCTTATGCCATTGTGTCTTCGTTGCTTAGTTCCCACTTGTGAGAACATACTATGTTTGATTTTCCCATTCATAAGTTACTTCACTTAGAATAGTGGTCTCCAACTTCATCCAGGTTGCTGTGAATGCCATTATTTAATTCCCTTTTATGGCTGAGTAGTATTCCATGGTATATATGCCACACTTTCTTTACCCACTTGGTTGATGGGCATTTAGGCTGGTTCCATATTTTTGCAATTGTGAATTGTGCTGCTATAAACATGTGTGTCTACATATCTTTTTCATATAATGACTTATTTTCCTCTGGGCAAATACCCAGTAGTGGGATTGCTGGATCGAATGGTCATTCTACTTTTAATTCTTTAAGGAATCTTCATAGTGTTTTCCATAGTGGTTGTACTAGTTTACATTCCTACCAGCAGTGTAAAACTGTTCCTTCTCACCACATCCATGCCAACATCTATTACTTTTTGATTTTTAAATTATGGCCATTCTTGCAGGAGTAAGGTGGTATCACATTGTGGTTTTGATTTGCATTTAGCTGATAATTAGTAATATTGAGCATTTTTCCATGTGCTTGTTGGCCGTTTGTATATCTTCTTTTGAGAATTGTCTATTCATGTCCTTAGCCCACTTTTTGATGGGATTGATTGCTTTTTTCTTGCTGATTTGTTTGAGTTCTTTGTAGATTCTGGATATTAGTCCTTTGTCAGGTATATAGATTCTGAAGATTTTCTTCCATACTGTGAGTTGTCTGTTTACTCTGCTGATTATTGTTTTTGCTGTGCAGGCACTTTTTAGTTTAATTAAGTCCCATCTATTTGTCTTGGTTTTCATTGCATTTGCTTTTGGGCACTTGCTCATGAATTCTTTGCCTAGGCCAGTATCTAGGAGAATTTTTCTGATGTTATCTCCTAGAATTTTTAGGTTTGAGGTCTCAGATTTAAGTCTTTGATCAATCTTGAGTTGATTTTTGTATAAGGTGAGAGATGAGGATCCAGTTTCGTTATTCTATATGTGGCTTGCCAATTATCCCAGCATCATTTGTTGAATAGGGTGTCCTTTCCTCACTTTATGATTTTGTTTGCTTTCTTGAAGATCAGTTGGCTGTAAGTATTAAGCTTTATTTCTGGGTTCTCTATTCCTTTCCATTGTACTACGTGCCTGTTTTTATACTAGTACTGTGCTGTTTTGGTAATTATAACCTTGTAGTATAGTTTGAAGCTGGGTAATGTGATGCCTCCAGATTTGTTCTTTTTGCCTAGTCTTGCTTTGGCTATGTGGGCTTTTTTTTTCTTACATATGAATTTTAGGATTGTTTTTTCTAGTTCTGTGAAGAGTGTTGGTGGTATTTTGATGGGAATTGCATTGAATTTATAGATTGCTTTTGGCAGTATGGTCATTTTTACAATATTGATTCTACCCATTCATGAACATGGGATGTGTTTCCATTTGTTTGTGTCATCTATGATTTCCTTCAGCAGTATTTCAACGTTTTCCTTGTAGAGCTCTTTCACCTCTTTGGTTAGGTATATTCCTAAGCATTTTATTTTATTGCAGCTGTTGTAAAAGGGGTTGAGTTCTTGATTTGATTCTCAGCTTGATTGCTATTGGTGTATAGCAGTGCTACTGATTTATGTACATTGATTTTGTATCTGAAACTTTACAGAATTCATTTATTAGATCTAGGACCTTTTTGGATGAATCTTTGGGTTTTCTAGGTATGTGATCATATCATTGCCAAAGAGCAACAGTTTGACTTCCTCGTTACCAATTTGGATGCCCTTTATTTCTTTCTCTTGTCTGATTGCTCTGGCCAGGGCTTCCAGTATTATGTTGAATAGAATTGGTGAAAGTGGGTATCCTTGTCTTATTCCAGTTCTCAGAGGAAATGCTTTCAACCTTTCCCCATGCAGTATAATGTTGCCTGTGGGTTTGTCATAGATGGCTTTTATTACCATAAGATATATCCCTTCTATGCTAATTTTCCTAAGGGTTTTAATCATAAAGGAATGTTAGATTTTGTCAAATGCTTTTTCTGCATCTGTTGAGATGATCATATGATTTTTGTTTTCATTTCTGTTTGTGTGGTATATCATTACGTTTATTTACTTGTGTATGTTAAACCAACCCTGCATCCCTGGTATGAAACCCACTTGATCATGGTCGATTATCTTTTTGATATTGTGTTGAATTCAGTTAGCTATAGAAGATTTTTGCATCTATGTTCATCAGGGATATTGGTCTGTAGTTTTCTTTTTTTGTTATGTCCTTTCCTGGTTTTGGTATTAGGGTAATGATGTTTTCATAGAATGATTTAGGGAGGATTCCATCTTTATCTTTTGCAATAGTTTCAGTAGGATTGGTACTAATTCTTCTTTGAATGTCTGATAGAATTCGGCTGTGAATCCATCTGGTCCTGCACCTTTTTTTGTTGGCAATGTTTTTTATTACTGTTTCAATCTCATTACTTGTTATTTTTTTTTAAGAGTTTTTGTTTCTTCCTGGTTTAATCTAGGAAGTTTGTATATTTCCAGGAATTTATCCATCTCCTCTAGGTTTTCTAGTTTATGCACATAAAGGTGTTCATAGTAGTCTTGAATTGTCTTTTGTATTTCTGTGGTGTCAGTTGTAATATCTCCCATTTCATTTCTAATTGAGCTTATTTGGATCTTCTTTCTTCTTGGTTAATCTCACTAATGTGTATCGATTTTGTTTATCTTTTCAAAGAACCAGCTTTTTGTTTCATTTATCGTTTGTATTTTTGTTTGTTTCAATTTCATTTAGTTCTGCTCTGATCTTTGTTATTTTTCTTCTGCTGGGTTTGGGTTTGGTTTGTTCTTCTTTCTCTAGTTCCTTGAAATGTGACCTTAGATTGTCTATTTGTGTTCTTTCAGACTTTTTGATGCAGGCATTTATTACTGTGAACTTTTCTCTTAGCACTGCTTTTGCTATATTCCAGAGGTTTTGATTGGTTGTGCTGCTATTATCATTCACAGTTCAAATAATTTTTTAATTTCCATCTTTATTTCATTGTTGACCTAAGGATCATTCAGTAACAGATTATTTGATTTGCATGTATTTGTATAGTTTTGAGGGTTCCTTTTGGAGTTAATTTCCAGTATTATTCCACTGTGGTCTGAGAGAGTACTTGATATAATTTCAATTCTCTTAAATTTATTGAGATGTGTTTTGTGGTCTATCATATGGTCTATCTTGGAGGATGTTCCATGTGCTGATGAAAAAATGTATATTCTGCAGTTGTTGGGTAGAATGTTCTATAAATATCTGTTAAGTCAGTTTGTTTTAAAGTATAGTTTAAGTCCATTTTTTCATTGTTGACTTCCTGTCTTGATGACCTGTCTAGTGCTGTCAGTGGAATATTGAAGTTCCCCACTATTATTGTGTCTATCTCATTTCTTAGGTGTAGTAATAATTGTTCTATAAATTTGGGAGCTCCAGTGTTAGGTGCATATATATTTAGGATTGTGATATTTTCCTGTTGGACTAATCCTTTTATTATATAATGTCTCTGTTTGTCTTTTTTAACTGTTGTTACTTTAAGGTATGTTTTGTCTGATATAATAGCTACCCCTGCTCACTTTTGGTGTCCATTTGCATGGAATATCTTTTTTCCACTCCTTTACTTTATGTGAGTCTTTACGTGTTAGGTGAGTCTCTTGAAGACACTAGATACTTGGTTGGTGAATTCTTATCCATCCTCCCATTCTGTATCTTTTAAGTGGAGCATTTAGGCCATTTACATTCAACATTAGTATTGAGATGTGAGGTACTGTTTTATTCATCATGCTAGTTGTTGCCTGAATACCTTGGGTTTTTAAAAATTGTGTTACTTTTTTATAGGCCATGTGATGTTTATGCTTTAAGGAGGTTCTATTTTGGGGTTTTGTTTCAAGATTTATGACTCCTTTTAGCAGTTCTTGTAGTGCTGGCTTGGGATTGGTGAATTCTTTCAGCAGTTGTTTGTCTGAAAATGGCTTTATCTCTCCTTCATTTCTGAAACTTAGTTTTGCTGGATGTAAAATTCTTGGCTGATAATTATTTTGTTTAAGGAGGCTAAAAATAGGACCCCAATCCCTTCTGGCTTGCAGGGTTTCTGCTGAGAAATCTGCTGTTAATCTGATAGGTTTTCCTTTATAAGTTACCTGATGCTTTTGCTTCACAGCTCTTAAGATGTTTTCCTTCATCTTGACTTTAGATAAACTGATGACTATGTGCCTAGGTGATTATGTTTTTGTGATGAATTTCCCAGATGTTCTTTGAGTTTCTTAAATATGGATATCTAGATCTCTAGCAAGACCAGGGAAGTTTTACTTGATTATTCCCTCAAATAAGTTTGCATAACTTTTAGATTGCTCTTCTTCCTCAAGAACACCAATTACTCTTAGGTTTGGTCATTTAACATAATCCCACATTTCTTAGAGGCTTTGTTCATTTTTAAAATTCTTTTTTCTTTGTCTTTGTTGGATTGGGTTAATTCAAAAGTTTTGTCTTTGAGCTCTGAAGTTTTTTCTTCTGCTTGTTCAATTCTATTATTAATACTTTTCAGTGTGTTTTGCTTTTCTCTAAATGTGTCTTTTATTTCCAGAAGTTGTGATAGTCTTTTCTTTACCATATCTATTTAACTGGGAACTTTTTCCTCCATATCCTGTATTTTTTTAAATTTATTTAAGTTGGTTTTCACCTTTTTCTGGTGCCTCTTTGCTTAGCTTAATAATCAACCTTCTGAATTATTTTTCTGGCAATTCAGAGATTTCTACTTGGTTTAGAGCCATTGCTGAAGAGCTACTGTGATCTTTTGTGGGTGTTATAGAACCTTGTTTTGTCACATTACTAGAATTACTTTTCTGGTTCCTTCTCATTTGGGTAGACTGTTTCAGTGGAAAGATATGGAACTCAAGGGCTGCTGTTCAGGTTCTTTGGTCCCACAGGGTGGTCCATTGATGTGATGCTCTCCCCGTTTCTCTAGGGATAGGGCTTCCTGAGAGCCAGACTGCAGTTATTGTTATTGCTTTTCTGGGTCTAGCTACCCAGTGGGGCTACCAGGATCCAGGCTAGTGCTGTAAAGAGTCCTGTGATGTGACCCATCTTCAGTTCTCCCAGCTGTGGATACCAGCACCTGCTCTGGTAGAGGTGGCAGGGGAGTGAAGTGGACTCTCTGGAAGTCCTCGGTTGTAGTTTCGTTTAGTGCACCAGTTTTCTTCAGTACTGGTTATGCTCACAGTGAAGTTGTCACGTGAACAGACTCAGGACCTCTGGTTAGCCAGGGTGGAATTAGCTGTTGTCTTCTCTTTCTTTGGAGCAGGGTTGTTCTGCTATTAGTTGAATTGGTTGGCCTCCAGCCAGAGGTGGCACAGAGTGCCAGCTGCAATAGTAGAAGGGGGATATAGTCTTGCCCTACATTGGCCAGGATGAGTACTCAGGTTTCTCAGGTGATGGGCAGGGCCATGGAGCTCCCAAGAGATTATGTCTTTTGTCTTTGGCTACCAGGGCCGATAGAGACAAACCATCAGGTGGGTGCAGGGTTAGGCAAGTCTGAGCTCAGACTCTCCTTAGGTGGGGCTTGCTGCAGCCACTATGGGGGATGGAGGGGTGGTTCTCAGGCCCATTGAGTTATGTTCCCAGGGAGATTATGGCTGCCTCTGCTGTATCATACAAGTCACCAGACAAGTGGGGGAAAGCTGGCAGTGACATGCCTCACTCCACTCCCATGCAGCCAGCAAGGCCATTCTCACCTTCACCGTGCCTCCCTAACTGCACTGAGTTTATATCCAGGCAGCAGGAGAGCAGGGCTGAGATCTTGCCTTAGCCTAAAAGCCTCCCAGCTGAGAAAGCAAGCAGGGCTCTCAGTTCTTACCTCCCTGCCTGCCTGAACCTTTGGCTGTGACTTCTGTGTTTGTATC
Source organism: Homo sapiens (assembly GCF_000001405.40). Classification (NCBI taxonomy): domain Eukaryota; kingdom Metazoa; phylum Chordata; class Mammalia; order Primates; family Hominidae; genus Homo; species Homo sapiens. The sequence goes on along the minus strand of NC_000001.11, from coordinate 119,116,932 downwards.
TGCACTTCCTGTTCATTCCTCTCTACTCCTCTGCCCTGGATTCTACTCGGGGAAGTTCGTGCTCGGTTGAAATTATTACAGAGTTCAGCTAGGAGCTTCCCTTAGCCTGTGGCCTCTCCCCAGTTCCACTGGCTGCGTTTCCTTCTCCAAGGACCTCTGTGAGATAACGCGAGGAATGGCTTCCCTGGGGCTTGAGCTGAGGACTGGGAATGCTTACAGGGCTCTTTCTGCTACTTGTACTTTTATATTTCACTTAGCTCCCTAAATCCATTTCAGCTCTAAGTATGGTTAAATCCTCCCGTGATCTGGATTTTTAGGTTCCCCAGTGAGGATGTGTGCTCAGAGGCTTTTTCCCCCTTTCACACTTTGGGAACTCACAGTTTTTTGGCTATCTTGTGGCATTTGCAGCAGAAAGCCACTTCTTTCAAAGGGTCTGTGAATTTTTTCAGTTTTCCTGGTATATTCCTGCGATGGTTCTTGGAGCCAAAGTTCACAATGTGAGTCTCCAGACACTGTTCTGTTCTTTCTAAGTGGGAGCTGCACATTAGTCCTGTCTCTTACCTGCCATTCTTTTTTTCTCCCTAACAACTCCTACTTTAAGTTGACTTATCTTTGTTTTACGGAAGAACCTGGAAGGTAAACGTATTTATTTCTTTCAAATGCTGAGCCCTCCTCCTCATTGTTGCCTCCTCCACTTACTAACTATACTTACTCCACTTACTAACTACAAAGCTGGTCTTATGCTGTATACCACAGGACTTTTATGTGAATAATTAGGTATTTCTGGTATGATAGAAAGTCAAATCTTCAATAAGTAAAGTCTGGGAGAGTGAAGCAGACTTTATATCATATTCCTTACTATACAAATGTACTTAGAGTGAAGGTCTAGTGTATGCTTACACAATAGCGCAAACGCATAATGCTTATGCTAGTCAATTCTGAAATCAGCCTTTAGTGAGGGTGTGAGAGTCTTTCTATAAGACAATGCTGCCTAAACATTTGGGAACACACACACACACTTGGTTAATGTTTTGAAGGAAATAGTGGAAGAGTAAAAATATTTGCCTGAAGGGAGAGAAAAAAGCTTTCCAGAATATTAACAGTAACACCCATCTGAACTTCACAGAAAGTGTCATGGGTGTCAGTGATTAGAACTCATCAGATATTTGGCTGTCCTTTTCAACCAGAAGATCGATTTGAACCAGATTACCACATTCATGGTTTAGTTTTGAAGAGAGAAAGAAAGAGAGAGAAAACTAATTATTTGTCTCTTTGTTCAAAGGCCTTTTTGTATTGTATATCCCTGAAAAGCTCATAGGGGAGCCAGCCTTCACATCCATTAAGGTTAGCCCTGAAACTGTTGAATTTGATCTCTTCCATTTGCCATCTGGATACAGTAGAGAAAAAGCTATGCTACATTGGGTTGCTGGACACTATCCAGAAAATAACATGTCAGGGCATCAAAGGCTTGAGGCACTTGGTCCAGTCTGTCTAATGATCACAGGCAGGGTTTGCTCTCCAGTTTTGTAATATGTTTTATTTTTTCAGTGACAATATATATCCCAGCAAAATAGATCACAAGGGTTACTGCCAACTTGTCAAAGCTAGGATGCTTCCATCATAGACTTCAAAAAAAGACCATATTTTAATTGGGCAAAGCTCGATTGCCACAACTGAGGAAGCTCCATCGCCCTTTATCCTAGTCTATCCCCTTTCTTATAGACAGCACTTACTGCAAGAAGGATTCTAATTCATAGATTGTTTCATCCCATCCCCAAGTCCCAAATTTAAAATGTCATTAATATTGACATTATTTAAAATTGTATTAAGTGTTTGTAAGTGGGCCTAGTATCTGGCTAGTTAATGACCATACTGGCAGCTTTCCAGAAATCTGACAACCACATCTCATTATTCACACCAACTGGAGCCAATTGAAGCTGATTTTTCTTTTATTCTGTTATTTTAAAATGTGGATGGGAAGCAACAGCAGTGGCATGTCTTCTAGTCTCCTCTGAGATTGGGGAGGAGGCTTGCATAATAGGACTTATAATATCAGGGAGCATATGGCTGCATTTAAGGTAGCTGGAAGCCATCTACGCTGTGATAAAACAGGCTTTGGTTTAGTTCTTTGCAGGATGTACTTAGGAATTCATTTATAGCTTCTGCAGTAGGTAAAATTGTAGGGAATTGCTATTTTGTCTCTTACACAGGGATGGGATGGCAAGAAGAGTTGCCAAATCCTACCCATGAAAATTACTTTTCTTGTGGACAGTAATGGTCCTCAACTATACTCTGATTACTAGGACAACTCCCAAATCTCCTAACCTGAACCAGGAAGCTGAAGAAGCCTTGCTAAGTTGTGTTGCTAAGGGGTGTTGTTTACCTTGTTCAGGTTATCTGGAAGGTCCAAAGTTATTATATTCTGCTCCAAACTGATACTGTCAGTACTCCTATCTTCTCCTCATTTAGGGACTTTACTCCAGAACTTTCTTGTTATTATTTTCTTCTTTTAGATGCTGGTATTGAAAACAAACAAAGTCTCCTCCAAACTATAAAACAAGCAAAGCAGTGTTAATTCTTAGCAATATTATCCCTGCTAAGCATTGTACACATACTCATAGCTTCCATTTGGGCACTTTCAGACTAGTCTGTCCCTTTCTGTAGGTTGGCGACTTGTTTTTCCTTTAGCGTTTACCTGCTCTCAGATCCCCTCTCTGGTTTAAAAATAAAAGAGGAAAGGCTGTTATAATCAAGTCATTACTAGAGCCAGACTTCCTGGCCCCACCATCTCCTACCTGAGTTACTTAAACCCTTCTGTGCCTTAGTCACCTTATCTGTAAAATACAAATAATAATAGTGCCTATGTTATAGGTTTGTTTTGATAGCTAAGTAAGGTATATAAAGAAAAGAGCATAGTGTAGGAGAGTGCTCAGTACTGTGTATATTTACTACTGTTGTTTCTTATTAGATATAACTTAGAATAGACAAGTTTACTTATTTTTACCTCAAGCAAGTATTTAGCATCTTAAGCCTTTTATTAATTATTGTAAATGAAAAGAGCTAGAGGTGTGCTGAAAGAATTACAGAGATTAGCAAGCAGGAGAGTTGAAGCAAGAGAGATCCTTAAAATTATATTATTGTCTTATTATAGTTGAAGAAATAGCAGAAGCATAGGGTGTTGGAAAGAGCCAAGAGGCTCAATCTCCATGAGAAGGTAAACTCCAAAAGTGCAGGGATTTGATCTTTTTGTTCAGTTTTGTCTTACCAGCACATAAAACAGTGCCTGGCCTCATGATGGTGACCTCCTTATCTTCAGTCATCTCCTTGATCTCAGCTTAGTCCCTCACAAACTCCCATGATTTTTTTTAAAGGACATTTATCTTTTACTTTTTAACCTTAAAAAAAATTTACTGCCAATATCTGTCTAGACCCCTTCCTAGTCTTAAGGAATCTGCTATCTGAGTGAGCTTTGGGGTGACACAAACCCTTTCTGCTACAACGGAAGCCAAATTGAGGGATATCCTTACTTTCTTTGCCCTTAGGTAAAATGAGCAAGGAAAGGCACATGACCTGGGCTCAGACAATAGGTTTCACCTGCTTGGGCATATGACTCTTACAGGGGGCAACTAAAAGACAAAGGATGAGATTCATGGTTGTGTTCTAGGCCCTAGCAGTATACAGTGGCAGTGTCAGCATCCTGACTGCGTTGTTTCTGCTACTCAGCCTTTTCTGCTTTAGGTAGGCAAACTCAATTTGTTGCATACAGTAAGAAATTTTGAATGGCTTCAAATCCAGATCTTGTCATCACTAACAGTAGCATAACTTCACAAATATCACCTTTTAGCATTCTAATCTCTAAACCCTACCTACTGACCATGGACTCACTTAGTCAACTATGTTTCAACCTCATCATGTCACTTATCTATTGACCTTACTTCTTTCTCATGATGTGTCACCCTATTCCTTACGGTCAGTCATGGTAGTCACTGCCTTACAAATACTCTCAATCCCTTTGCAGTCTCTTCCTCTGTTGTGTGCACTCAGCAAACCCCCACTTACTCTTCACTTTCTTCACACTTATACTCAAACAGCCAAACAAGACTGCAGAAGAATATTATATATTACAGTTAGCTAACTTTAAATTCCAGAACAAAAACTGGAAATGGGCATTTACTGTTGCCTGGTAACTTTTTCTAGTAAATTGGCTTGCCCCACTCTCTGAAACTCTGTGTTATTTCTACTTCTGAAACTCTCCTTACTTCCCAGACAGATAATGTTCTCACTTCATACTTCATTAAGAAAATAGAATGAGACATGAGCACCGTATTTTTGTGTTAGCAGTACGCCTGTGTTCTCTGTTGTTGCAAGACACAACGGAAGAGATGTTCCTGCTCTTAACATTGGTTGCTCAGTCCTTCTGTGTTCTGCATTTACTCTCTGCTGACTTTGATGATTTAACACCTGTTTTTATATTCTCTCTCTTCTGCATCATAAATGTCTCCCTCTCTGCTGGGTAATTTCCATCACCATAAAAACTGCTCTGATATTTCCCAATTAAAAAACAATTTCTTGGCTCTACATCTTTCTTTACTGTTGCCATGCTTCTCTGCCACCTTTCATGGTAAACTTTTCTAATAAAGTTGTCAGAGTTGGGTATATAAGGAATTTAGACATCTCCACTTCATCCTAACAACAATTAAAAAGCTGAACAGGCTAGACGTGGTGGCTCATGCCTATAATTGCAGCCCTTTGGGAAGCTGAGGCGGCCAGATCACCTGAGGTCAGGAGTTTGAGACCAGCCTGACCAACATGGTGAAACCCCGTCTCTACTAAAAATACAAAATTAGCCAGGCATGGTGGTGCATGCTTGTTATCCCAGATTCTCAGGAGGCTGAGGTAGGAGAATCGCTTGAACCCAGAAGGTGGAGGTTGCAGTGAGCCAAGATCGCACCACTGCACTCCAGCCTGGGCAACAAGATCAAAACTCCGTCTCAAAGAAAAAAAAAAAATCTGAACAAACTCAAAAATCAAACCTTCTTAGATCTGTCAAAGAAATGAGGTCACAGCGAAGACTTCTGCCCCCCAAAATTGGAGATACAGATATTTGGATACAGAGAACCACAATGTACTGGTATAAAAACCCATGAGCAGAAACCTCCCTAGGAACCAGTGACCGAGCGGGGATATCCAAGCTGTAATTGAGGAACTCCTGGAGGCTCAGCATGGAAAACTCTGACAGCTGAAAATATGAGGGGGACTCAGTCATGTGGGGAAGCCTACATTTTTGTGAATTTTCCTTCCAGAAGTTTTACCAGGTTCTCACAACAAATATTAGAGAAAAATCCTCTAGTGCTTCCAGCAGGGAGAAGGGGAAAGGAGTCATTTTGAAATATGCCAGAGCACTCTTTTTAACAAGGCCTCAGAGGAAACTATTTTACCAGAGACTAATCTACTGAAATTTGGCATAGTTGAACCTACCTGGAGGAAGGCAGATTCCCAACTTCAGCCTCTTCCAGCCATCCTGTCTCACCTAAGAGGGGGAGAGAGATGAAAAAATAAGCCGAAAAGCACTTGCGAATTTCACAGTTCAGGGTCACAGGTTCACCAAATCACTGAGACCTAATCATAAGACTGTAGAATACTTCATCACCCCCTACAACTTGCCACTACACTATTAAAAGCCTGTTTACTGAAGTTCCTTTTACCTAGTAGATTATGTCCACCTTTGAACAAAAAGTTACAAGACATACTAACCAGTAAAAAACACAATTTGAAGAGACTAAACAAGCCTCAGAACTAGAGTCAGATATGTCAGGAATATGAGAATTATTAGACCAGGAATTTTTTTTGACTATGATTAATATGTTAAGGGCTTTAATGGAAAAAGTAGACAACATGAAAGAACAGATAGGTAATTTAAGCAGAGAGATGGGAATTCTAAGAAAGTTTTAAAATGCTAGAGATCAAAAACATTGTATTAGAAGTGAAGAATGCCTTTGATAGGTTCATTAGTAGGGTGGACATAGTTGTTGAAAGGACCTCTGAGCTTGAGACAACAGAAACTTCCAAAACTGAAAAGCAATGAGAAAAAATAAAAGATAAACAAGAAAAGAATATCCAAGAACTATAGGACAACTATAAAAGTTACAAATACATGTAATGAGAATATTTGATGGAGAAGAAAAAGAGACAGGAACAGAATCAATATTTGAATAAAAATGACTGAGAATTTTCTCCACATTAATGTTAGACAGCAAACACAGATCCAGGAAACTCAGAGACCACCAAGCAAGATAAGTGCAAAAGCAAACAAATAAAACCCCCAAAACTATACCTAGGCATATCATATTCAAAATTCAGAAAATCAAATATTAAAAAAAAAGTCCTGAAAGAAGCCAGAGGGAATAAACACCTATAGAGGAATAAAGATAAGAATTACAATTGACTTCTCTTCAGAATCCACGCAAGCAAAAAGAGAGTGGAGTGAAATATTTAGTGTTAAGAGGAAAAAAAATCAATCTGGAATTCTGTTCCCTGTGAAATTATTATTTAAAAGTGAAGAAGAAATAAATACTTTCTTAGACAAACAAAGATTTAGAGAATTTGTTACAGGACACCTGCCTTGCAAGAAATGTTAAAAGAAGTTCTTCAGAGAAAAGGAAATTGATATAGGTCTGAAATTTGGAGCTACATAAAGAAAGAAAATGCATCAGAGAAAGAATAAGTGAAAGTAAAATGGAAACTTTAATCTTTCTTATTCCTAATTTAGCTAATAGATAACAATTCATTCAAAATAATTATAGCAACAATGTATTTGATTACATATGCATATATATATGCTTATTTATGCTTATATATAAGGGAAATGAATGACACCAATGATACAAGGATGGGAGGAAGGAATTAGGCATATTTTGTTATTACTAGGTATTTGTACCCCCTGTGAAGCAGTAGGTGTTATTTCAAAGTCACTTGGATTAGTGGTAAATGTATGGTGCAAAGTCTAGGGCAATCATGTAGAAAAATAAAAAAAGTGTAATAGATATGCTAAAAAAGGAAAGAAAATTGAATCATATAAAATGCCCAATTAAAAACTACAGAAAAGTATGGAAGACAAAAATAAGAACAAAAAAAAGGCAGAAAAGTGTGGAAGACAAAAATAAGAACAAAAGGCCACAAGTAGAAAACAGTAGCAAAAATGGTAGATGTTAATCCACCTATGTCAATAATCATTTTAAATGTCATTGGTTTAAATATACCATTTAAAAGACAGATTGTTGAAGTGGATCAAAAAAACCAACAAGAATCAACTTATGTTGTCTACAAGAAACCCACTTTAAATATAAAGACACATATGGATTTAAAGTAAAGAGATGGGGATATACCATGATAAAACTAAATAAAAGAAACTAGCTAAAAGGGGATCAACTGTATTAATTTCAGACGGAACAGACTGAATGTCAAGGAAAGTTATCAAGGATAAAGAGAAACATTACTTAATGATAAAGAGGTCAATTCTCTAAAAAGACATGATAATCCTTAATGTGTATGTGCCTAACATCAAAGTGTAAAAATACACGAGGCAAAAACTGATAGAACTCCAAAGAGAAACAGATGAATGCACTCTTATAGTTGGAGAAATGGAGAGATCTAGCAGGCAGAAAATTAGTAAGGCCATAGAACTCAACACTCCATAAATCAACTGAATAGAACTGACATCTATAGATGATTTGTATCTCACAATAGTAGATTACACATCTTCTTAAGCTTACATGGAATATTCACCAAGATAGACCACATTCTGAACCATAAAACAGATGTTAACAAGTTTCAGAGAATAGAAATGTTACAACATCTGACCTTAGACCATATGGAATTAAACTAGTAGTCAGTAACAGAAAGATGCTGGAAAATCCTCAAATACTTGATGATTAAACAACAAACTTATAATAACACGGTGCTCAAATATAAAATCTCAGGAGAAATTCTAAAATATTTTGAATTCCATGAAACTGAAGGTACAACTTATTGAAATTTGTGGGATGCAGTGAAAGCAGTGCTTAGAGGGAAAATTATAGCATTAAATGAATATATTTGAAAAGAAAAAGATCTAAAATCAGTTATCAGAACTTTCACCTTAGATAGTAAACTAGCAAAATAAAAGCACATTAAGTTGAAAATAAGCAAGTGAAAATAAATAATAAATTGGAGCAGAAATCAATGAAATTGAAAATGGGAAATCAATAGGGAAAACCTACAAAACCAAAAACTAGTTCTTTGAAAAGTTCAATAAAATCAATAACATGCCTCCCAAAAAAATAGTAATAAAATCACTAACCCTTAGCCAGGCTAAGAAATAAAGAGATGACACAAATTACTTATATCATAAATGAAAGAAGGAATATTACTATGGATCCCACAGACATTAAAAGGATAATAAGGGGATGTTATGAACAACCCTATGCCCACAACTTTAATAACCTAAATAAAATGGGCCAATTCCTTGAAAAGCACAATTTGCTAAAACTCACAGAAGAAGAAATAGACAATCTGAATGGGTCTAAATCTGTTAAATCAATTGAATCAATAATTTAAAACCTTCCAAAATATAAAGTACCAGGCCTTGATGGGTTCGCTGATGAACTCTAGTAGATGTTTTAGGAAGAAATTGTACCGATTCTCTGTAATCCCTTTCAGAAGATAGAAGCAGAGGGAATACTTCCAAACTCATTCTGTGAACCCAGGCATTACCCTATACCAATAAAAGACAAAATACAAAGACATTACAAGAAGAGAAAATTATAGATCAGTATGTCTTATGAATATGGATGCAAAAATCATCAACAAAATACTAGCAAAGTGAATCCAACAATGCATAAAAAGAATTATACACCATAATCAAGTGGGATTTATATCAGGTATGTGAGGCTGGTTTAATATTTGAAAACCAATGAATGCAATCCATCACATCAACAAACTAAAAAAGAAAAATCACAAGATCATATCAGTAGATGAAAAAAAGCATTTAACAAAACGCAACACTCATTCATGATAAAAACTCTCAGTAAACCAGGAATGGAAGGGAACTTCCTCAACTTGATAAAGAATGCCTGTGAAAGACCTGCAGCTAACATCATACTTAATGCAGAGAAACTTGAAGCTTTCTGCTAAGGTTAGAAACAAGACAAGGATGTCACCACCCCTTTTCAACATTGTGCTGGAAATCCTAACTAATCTCTCTCTCTCTCTCTCTCTCTCTCTTTCTTTTTCTATTTCTCCAACTATAAGAGTGCATTCATCTAGAGAGAGAGAGAGGCATTATATAGGAAACAGGTAGAAGGAGACTATATCAGTTGACTGTATATATATTTACAGTCAAAGAAAGGCAATACAATGGAAGAGAGAGTCTTCATCAAATGATGCTGGAATGATTAGACATCAGCTTGAAAGACACGAATCTAGACACAGACACTACACCCTTCACTTAAATCAAAATGGATCCTAACACTAAATGTAAAATGCAAAACTATAAACCACGTAGGAGACAGCATAGGATAAAGTTTACATGACTTTGGGTATAGCAGTGACATCCATAAATGAAATAATTGCTAAGCTGCACTTCATTACAATTATAAACTTCTGCTCTGCAAAACACAATGTCAAGAAAATGAGAAGTCAAACCACAGACTAGGAGAAGATATTTGCAAAGGACAAATCTGATAAAGGACTGTTACCCAAAAATATACAAAGAACTCTTATAACTCAATAATAAGAAAATGAACAACCCAGTTGAAAAATGGGCAAAAGACCTGAACAGACACTTAAACAAAGATATACAGATGGCAAGTAAGCATATCAAAAGATGTTCAACATCACTTATCATTAGGGAATTGCAAATCAAAACAACGAGATATGACTACACACCTAACAGAATGGCCAAAATTCAAAGCACTAATACCTCCAAATGCTGGCAAGAATGTGAAGTGACAAGAACTTTCATTCACAGATGGTGGGAATGCAAAATAGTACAGACACCTTGGAAGACAATCTGGCAGTTTCTTACAAAACTAAATATACTCTTACCATACAATCTGGCACTCATGCTCCTTGGTGTTCACCAAAATCAATTGAAAACTATGTTCCAAAAAACCTGCATGTGGATATTTGTGGCAGCTTTATTTATAATTGCTAAAAGTTGGAAGTATCCAAGATGTCTTTTAGTAGGTGAATGGATAAACTGTGGTACATCCAGACAATGGAACACTCTTCAGCACTTAAGAGAAATGAACTATCAAGCTATGAAAAGATATGGAGGAAATTTAGATGCATATTACTAAGTAAAAGAAGCCAATCAGAAAACGCTACATATTTTATGATTTCAACTATATGACATTCTAGAAAAGGCAAAATTATGGGGACAGTAAAAAGCCTAGTGGTTACCCAGGCTTTGGAAAAGGGAGAGATGAATAGCCACAGCACAGAGGATTCTTAGGGCAGTGAAACTCTCCTACATGATACTATAATGGGGGATACGTGTTATTATACATTTGTCCAAATCCATAGAATATACAACTCCCAAGGGAAGACCCTAGTGTAAACTGTGGAGTTTGGGTGATTATGATGTGTCAGTGTAGGTTCATTGTTAACAAATGTACCACTATGGTGTGGGATGCCAGTAGTGGGGAAGGTGATATATATGTGGGGACAGGATATATGGGAACTCCATTTTCTGCTCAATTTTGCCATGAACCTAAAACGTCTCTAAAAAATAAATTTATTAATTTAAAAAGAACTGTTAATACTTTCTCTACTTCTGACCTTCTAAAACAGCCTATTCCAAGTTGGTTTTTATTCCGTTGTCTTCCTTCTACCTATTTCCTACCTATCTTTCTTATTAAAATCTTTAGTAACCTTCACAGTGCCAAATCCAATAGTCAATATTTAGTACTCATATTCTTTGATCAGTCATTAGCATTTGACACAGTTGACTCCACCCTCCCTCCTAATACACTTTTATTTTTTTGAGATGGAGTCTCACTCTGTTGCTTAGGCTGGAGTGCAGTGGCTCAGTCTCGGCTCACTGCAACCTCCACCTCCCAGGTTCAAGCGATTCTCTGCCTCAGCCTTCCTAGTAGCTGGGATTACAAGCGCGCATTACCACACCGGCTAATTTTTGTATTTTTAGTAGAGACAGGGTTTCGCCATGTTGGCCAGGCTGGTCTCGAACTCCTGGCCTCAAGTGATCCGCTCACCTAGGCCTCCCAAAGTGCTGAGATTATAGGTGTGAGCCAATTATGCCCGGCCTAATGCCCTTTTTTAATGCCTTGGTTTCCAGGACACCACATGTTCCTGTTTTACTCCTACCTCCCTGGCTGCACTTTGTCGGTCACTTATCTTGGCTCCCCACTCCACCAACCTGTATGAGTTGGCGGCTCCTAAGCTACCTCCTGAGTTCTCTACCACACAGTTTCCCTCAGTGAGCTCATCTGGTTTCATCTTTTAAATACCATGAATATGCTGATGATTTTTGAATTACTGTTCCAACTCTCCCCTATGCATCAGATTTGTCTCCATTTACCTAATTAACATTTGTGTATAGAAGACTAATAGTAAGCATCTTAAACTTGTCCAAAATAGAACATTTGATGATAATTTTCCATTTAGTCCCATCACAGAAAATGGTCCTAGGTACCAGTTTTACCAATTAATCCTTAGTATTCATCCTTGGTACCACCCTTTTCCTCAGCCCCACACCCATTTCACCAGCAAGTCTTATTGAAATTCCCTTCCAGGTATTTGTCAAGTCTGTCCACATCTCTCCATTTGCTTGCCAAAAATACCCTAATCAAATCCACTGCTGCTGCTTACCTCTGCTCCTGCAATGATTTTCCTGCTTGGATTCTTGACTGCCTTCTATCATTTCTTGATCTAGAGGCCAGAGTAATCTTTGTAAAATATAAATCTGATTGAATCACTCCTTTCTTAAAAATCCTCGAATCATTTGCCAGTCCAAGCTCCTTGTCATAGCATACAAGGCCTTGTATGATCTGCTCCCTCACTGCTTTTCCAACCTCATTTCCTGCTGCTCTTCGTCCTGTGATCACTTGATCACTGCACACCAGGAACACTGATTTCCCTTTTTGTTCTTGCTGGTTTTTTTTTTTTTTGGCCTCTTCTTACAATTTATTATCTCCTATATTATTTAGGTAAAAGTTCAAATGTCATGTGCTCCAAGGTACTTTTCATGTGCGTCCTATCTAAAGTAGGGAATTCTCCATTACTCTGTTATTTCACCATGTTTTTTTTTTTTTCATGGCACTAATCACATTCTGTATTTATCATTGTTATTTGCTTTCTTATTTTTTACATGTCTCTTTATGGAATTTAAGCTCCACAATACCAGGGCCACATATTAGATGCTGAACAAATAATTTGTTGAATGAATGACTCTCCCACTAATTTAGTGTTCTTGGGCAATTTGGTTAATTTCTTGAGGCATCAGTTTTTTCATCAGAAATGTGTTGCTGTTTGACTTTTCTATATTTATATTTTTATATTTTATATTTTTAATATTCTTATGTTATATGATTCTCAAAAGGAAGAAAATGGAGGCAAGGACACCAGTCAAAGTTTATTGTAAGATTATAGGTATAAGGGGGAAAGGATCCTAATATTATGGGTATTAGATAGTTTAAAAAGAATTTGTTACATCTCTATATATTGACCTGGAAGGATGTCTATGGTATATTGTAAGATGGAAATAAAAGCAGAGTAATATATGGAAATATATGGAAATATGGAAAGTGGAAATAAAGGCCTGGCTCAGTGGCTCATGCCTATAATCCCAACACTTTGGGCGGATGAGGTGGGAGGATCACTTGAACTCAGGAGCTTGAGACCAGCCTGAGCAATATAGTGAGATTCTATCTCTATTTAAAAATATATTTTTTATTTTAAAAATATATTTTTAATTAAAAATAATACATTTTTTAATTAAAAGAAAAAAATATATATTTTTCCTTTTTAATTAAAAGAAATCTATTTTTTCTTTTAATTAAAAAGGAAAGTAGAAATAAAGTGCAGAGTAACATATGATCCCAATGTTGTTTAAAAATGTGCCCTAACATATGTAAATTGTTTCATATTTTTAAATAAAGTTATAGATAAATACACTTGAGTCTTAATTTTGATGGCTTTATTTAGGGGTAATATGAAGGAAGGAAGAACAAATTTTTTACCTTTTAATTTATATAGTTCTATGTTATTTGACTTGTTACCAGAATTATTTGACAATTTTTTAAAATCTAGTATGGTGAAGAGGAGTAAAAAGATGACATTATGGCCTGAAGTTTCAGTACAAAAAAGTTAAAGTACAAATTCTCCTTTAAACCACAGGATTCCTTTTCCAGAGCTTCTAAAGGAGATATTGGGTCAGTGGCATATGATAATTAAAATAGTATATTATTAACTACTAGGTATGGGCCTGATATTCCTATGTCTAGCTCTTGTAAACTTGATTAAGCCCAAAGCTCTTGACCCAAATCCAAATGTTGGGATGTGAATTACCACCTATCTGAGGTAATGGGTACCAGAGACCAACTTGAGCTACTGCATGAGGGAAGAGCAAGTTGAGGAAGCCAGACCTGGCCCTAGCGTAGGCTTATAGGGATAACAGAAACGGCAAGACTCCTCTGGTGAAAAAGAAACAAACAAAAAACCACAAAAACCAAAACAACCAACCAACCAACAAACAAGCAAACAAACATGGACCAGTAATGGTCCTTGAATCTGGTCAATTCGATGAGCAATTCTTTGACACAAGTGGTAAACAAGATCAGATAAATAAAGTAAGCTCTCTTGTTCTCTTTTCCGTGAATATTACCTGTTGTAGCAGAAAAAAAAGTAGAAAACTGCTGCTTTAGATCCCCATTTATTGAGAATAAAAAATGAGGAACCAACAAAGACAAAATTAGAGAAATCAGAGTGTAAAATACAAACAACGCAGTGTAGCTTCATGAAAGTGAGAGGGGAGTGTTTTATAGGATGATAATAAACAGTGTCAGTTGATAGATTCAAAGAGATCATTGAAGAGCAGCAAGACAAAAACAGCCTATTGGATTAAAGGATTAGGAATCATTTTTTGTTTTTATTTTAGAAGAGCTTTAGTAATTCTGTGGGTAAGAAAGCAGATTGTGGAGAGATTAAGGTAGGGGGTAGCTTATAGAGAGTTAAAGTGGTGGTGGCAGGTATAAAGTTCTTAAAGGAATATTTGGGAAGAGTAGGAAAGGGAGAAATGGCCCAAGATGGGGGTAAACCTCTTTATATTTCCATAGAGTAGGAAAGACTTGAAGGATCTGATAAAGAGTTAAAGATTAAAGATGGAAAAAACATAAAACCTGATGCAGAAATATTCTGAAGAACACAGAAAGGATAGAATTAGTAGCACTGCGGGAAAGGGTTAATCTTAGAGGGACCCCTTTCTGTGAAGTCAAAGACAGAGGATGGTTATCTATGTGGAAATATTTGCAAGTACGAAGTAGAAAAGTTGGTACAATGTACTGAATTCAGTAAAGTAAGAACTGAGGTTACCGGTTAAATAGAGAGAAGCTCTTGGGAGCTTAAGCAGACGGAGATTTAAAATTAGTTCTAAGTAAAATAGACCAATGAATTGGTTGTGCTTGGCACAATCACAACTGGACTATAGACTTCTCAAGGGAATTACTATTTCATGACTGTTGTGTTCCCACTCCTCAACACGGTGTTTGGTACATGGCTAGTGCTCAATAAATGTAAATGGATGGATGAATGAATGAGGATCTGGTATTTTTATTTTAACTAAATCGAATTATTGCCCACCCCCCCAACCCCCACCGCCACCACCGCTTCCAACAAGGGCCTGGGTGAAGTTAAATGTAATCATTAAACTAAGTCCATAGTGGTCTGCAGTTTGTAAATAGGACTTAATAAAATAGATGATTATCTTTTTTATAAGCCCAAAATTGTGTGTGTTGGCTTTCTTAGGATAAAGGGTAGTGGTAATATTTTATTTTGGCAGTGCTGGATGAAAAGGAGGAGTTGTTAGAACTAGCACACATTGTTCTGCGGCTTGTAGCTCTGGAATATTTGTGGTTTCAGTGGCCCTTAAGGAGCCTGCTCTTTCCTGCTCTTGTGTCCTCATCAGAATGTTCCAGTAACTTTGAGATAGTTCAGATCTCCCTATTTAAAACTGAAGAAATGACTAGCATGTTTGTTAGAGAGGCTTGGGAGCTTGGGTTCAGGAATCCTGTGTTAGATGTGATAAGTGAACACCAAGATTGCAGATTTGAGGACATGTGGGTTTACTTCAGTAAAAGATTTTGATGAAAATGAGGACAGGGACAGACACTGCTTGAAAACATAAATAGGCTTATAGTCTTTTATTTTTCTATGAGAATAAACAGAAAAGTAATTATGAAATTATCTCATTTACTCATTTATTTAATAAGTATATATTAAGCACCTGTATTATGCAGAGAAAAATGTTAGTAAAATGTGACTTGGTAACTGGGAAACATTTTGACTATCCTTCATAAAAAGTAACATGACTCTTATATTGTTTTTATTTTATTTTTATTTTTATTTGTACAAATTTGTGGCATACATGTGAAGTTTTGTTACATGTATATAATACATAATGTGAAATTTTGTTACACGTATATAATACATAGTGATCAAGTAAGGGTACTTAGGGTGTCCATCATCCAAGTACAATACATTTTTGTTAACTATAGTCACCCTACTCTGCTGCCAAACATTGAATTTATTCCTTTTATCGAACTGTATGTTTTTACCCTTCAACCCACTTCTCTTCATCCTCCCCTCTCACCCACACTCATCCCTCCCAGTCTCTGTTATCTATCTTTCCACTCTTTACTTCCATATGATCAAATATTTTAGCTCCTACATATGAGTGAGAAGATGGGATGTTTGTCTTTTGGTGCCTGGCTTATTTCACTTGCCAGGGACGGTGGCTCAAGCCTATAGTCCCAGCACTTTAGAAGGCCAAGGTGGGAGTATCACTTGAGCCCAGGAGTTCGAGACCAACCTGGGCAACATGGTGAAATCCCATCTCTACAACAAATACAAAAATTAACTGGTGTGGCTATTCAGGAGGCTGAGGTGGGTGAATCACTTGAGCTTGGGAGGTCGAAGCTACAGTGAGCCGAGATCAGGCCACTGCACTCCAGCCTGGGTGACAGAGTGAGACCCTGTCTCAAAACAAACAAAACCCCCCCAGTTCTATCCACATTGCTGTAAATGAAAGGATTTTATTTTATTTTCTAATGTCTGAGTAGCATACCATTGTATATATGTACACATTTTCTTTATCCATTCATCTGTTGATGAACACTTAGATTGATTCCATAGCTTTGCTATTGTGAATAGTGCTGCAGTAAACATGCGAGTGCAGATATCCCTTTGATATATTGATTTCTTTTTCTTTGGGCAGATACCCACTAGTGGGATTGCTGGATCAAATGGTAATTCTATTTTTAGTTTTTAAAGACATCTCCATACAGTTTTCCATAGAAGCTGTACTAGTTTCCATTCCCACCAGCAGGGTATAAGAGTTCTCTTTTCTCCACTTCCTCACCAACATCCATTATTTTCTACCTTTTCTGATTTGGGTAAGATGATATCTCATTGCGGTTTTGATTTGCATTTCTCTGATGATTAGTAATATTGAAGATTTTTTCAAATACCTGTTTGCCATTTTCATGTCTTCTTTTGATGAATATCTATTGATTTCCTTTCCCTACTTTTTAATGGGATTGCTTTTCATTTGTTTGTTTTGCTGTTGAGCTGAGTTCCTTGTATATTCTGGGTATTAGTCCCCTGTCAGATGAGTAGTTTGCAACTATCTTCTCCCATTCAACAGGTGTCTATTCACTCTGTTGATTATTTCTTAAACCAAAATAAGCTTTGAAGTTTAATTAGGTCCTACTTGTCTATTTTTGGGTTTGTTGCCTGTGCATTTGAGGACTTAGTCATAAATTCTTTGCCTAGCCAGTGTGCAGGAGAGCTTTTCCTGGGTTTTCTGCTAGTATTTTTATAGTTTCAGGTCTATGTTTAAGTTCTTCATCTATTTTGAGTTGATTTCTGTATATGGTAAGAGATAAGGGTTCAGTTTCATTCTTCAATATGTGGCTCTCCAATTTTCCCAGCATTATTTATTGAAGAGGATGTCCCTTCTCCAGTGTAAGTTTGTGCCTATTCCAAATTTATTTCCTAATGAAAGTTGAAATAATTCTGATGCTAAAACACACATTTATCCTCTACTAACTAGATGACATTAGGAGTTTGCTGTTTCTTCCTTACTGCTGAAGACATTAGTAAGACCAAAGCGTTTTCCTCCATATTGCTTTTGGTTCTTAGGAATCTTCGCAGTGGTAGGAAACCCTGACCCCTTGAACCATAGCAGCAGCAGGTGAGCAGAAAAGGAACTAGATTTCAAAATATTTTAAGATGTGTTTTGTTGTATTGAAGTCATCATACAACATCTGATATTGATTTTGAGATTCTTAATTCATTCTTTTTAAAGATTGGGATTAAAAAACCTAAACACATTTCCATGCAGTTTTCCCATAAATCCCATCCATTAACTCAATTCAAAACATCCTGATCCTGCAGTGTTGTGCTGTGTTTCTGTCCTTGCTGAATTAGGAGTGCTCTTGGGTGTCTCGTGGGGTATGTGCAGTGCTGTCTTCCAGAAAAGAGAAAATGACACTGTATTATAAGTTCAATGTATACTCTAGCTAAGGGCAAAACTAGTCAAAAATCAAACTGAATTTATATTGAATTTCCCTATATACTTGTGAATGCCTCTTTCACAGAACATTGTTAAAATAAATATCAGGGCCGGGCATGGTGGCTCACACCTGTAATCTCAGCACTTTGGGAGGCTGAGGTGGGTGGATCACCTGAGGTCAGGACTTCAAGACCAGCCTGGCAAACATGGTGAAACCACGTTTCTACTAAAAATACAAAAATTAGCCGGGCATGGTGGCATGCATCTGTAATCCCAACTACTCGGAAGGCTGAGGCAGGAGAATCACTTGTATCCAGGAGGTGGAGGTTGCAGTGAGCTGAGATCACGCCATTGCACTCCAGCCTGGGTGACAGAGCGAGACTCTGTCTTAAAAAATAATAATAAAGCCCGGGCATGGTGGCTCACGCCTGTAATCCCAGCACTTTGGAAGGCCAAGGCAGGTGGATCACCTGAGGTCAGGAGTTCGAGACTAGTCTGGCCAACATGGGAAAACCTCGTCTCTACTAAAAATAACAAAAATTAGCTGCGCGTGATGGCGGGCGCCTGTAATGCTAGCGACTCGGGAGGCTGAGGCAGGAGAATCGCTTGAACCCAGGGGGCAGAGGTTGCAGTGAGCCGAGATCGTGCCATTGCACTCCAGCCTGGGCAACAAGAGCTAAACTCTGTCTCAAAAGAAAAATAGTAATAAAATAAAATAAATATCAGGAAATTATCACATAACATCTACTCTGAACTTTAAAGTGAGATTACTTGCACTCTAAGGAGAGTTGAGGAACTTTATAAAGAGTTTATGAGGTAGCTTTTAAGCACTTATTATTCTAAGAGTATTTTATTAAATTTAATGTATTAGGGGTTGTTTTGTTTTGTTTTGTTTTGAGACGGTGTCTCGCTCTGCTGCCCTGGTTGGAGTGCAGTGGCACGATCTTGGCTCACTGCAACCTCCACCTCCTGGGTTCAAGCGATTCTTCTGCCTCAGCCTCCCAAGTAGCTGGGACTACAGGTCTGTGCCACCATGCTCGGCTAATTTTTGTATTTTTAGTAGAGACGGGGTTTCACCATATTGGCCAGGCTGGTCTCGAACTCCTGACCTTGTGATATGCCCGCCTCAGCCTCCCAAAGTGCTGAGATTACTGTTCTGATAGTTGTAGGTATTGTTACCTGAAAGATGGCCAGCTGGGATAGGCAGTCTGAGAAGGGATAATTTGAAAATTTTCCCTACTCATCTTGGGAAATGGCCTGCCTCTATCTTCATCCATCATGGGGACTCTGAGTGTCATGGGATTTAAGACGAGACTTCAGCTCCTGCATTCTATAAGCCTCATGTAGTATTCATTTCTACTTCATTGACATGCATATATTGAATCTCCGCTCTGTTGGTGTTAGGGATAACAGCATGGTTCTTTCCCTCGAGGATTTCACTGGCTGGCGAGGGTAGTGGACATGTAGGAAAAGTAAGTTACAGTACAACTATGTGCTATAATAGAGGGAGGACAAAGCATTGTAGTTGCTTACAGGAGCAAGTGACTCATCTTGTCCTGGGGATTTGGAGAGTGCTCCACAAATGTGGTAACAGCTGCACCAGGTCTTAAAAGATATATTGAAATTTGTTAGGTCAAGAAAGGGATTCCAGGCAGAGAGAATTGCAAGTGCAAAGTCTTGTAAGTTAGCAAGAGTATGGAAGTAAAAGAAGTATACAATTCATGGAGGGGAATGGTAGAAGAAAAAGGCTGAAAAAGTAGACTTGATTCTTATTAACCCAGTAGTGCCGGTGGGGTGGGAGGTCAGGAAAAAGTTAAAATTGTCAGAAATATGAGAGAACTTGAAAAATACTTTGTTATATAAAACATCTGATCGGTAATTGGGCTATTTTTTCTGCTACAGTATTTTTAAAAATCACACATTTCTCATCAAGATAGAAAATAAACAAAGAAAATCACTTCATTATAACTCGACTGATGACATTTCAATAGCATTGTTTTTACCCAGCTGGGGTTCCACCTGTCCACACAAAACAGCTCTGTTCCACTTGGTACATACATTTCTCACTGTCCTTTACTGTTTGATGGTCCAGACATGAGCATTTACAGTTACCTTATAATTATTTGATAGTAACAGCAAAACAAAAGTCTGTGTTATTTTTCCCAAAAATGTCCAGGAGTTTACCAGTTGAGGCAAGCAATGGTATCACGTGTGGTACCAGGTATTTTATCATTAATAACTTTTCATGGTACAGTAATTTGTCATCTAAGTAGATGAAAAGTAATGCACTTTGAAGATACATTTTCAAACCACGTGTTTGAAATTGTCAAAAATGAGAGCGCTATTTGATTTTTTAAATGGAAACATTGTAATTGTACATATTTATGGGGTACAATTTAATATTTCAATACATATGTATATAGTATAAAAAGCCATATTCTATTCATGCTAATTATTTTATCTACTAAAATGTAGTATAGAGAATAATTATGTACAACATTTAAAAATTTCCAGTTGGGGAAGGAGGAGTCTCAAAAACTCATAAGTAAATTGCATTTAAAATTATTACAGTTTGAGTGTGAGTGTTGATTTTATGGTGAAGCTATTGAAAAATTATAATTTATTGACTTAAAGCATATTTGCAAAAGTAGAATATACCCATCTAAAGATATAAAATATATAAAAATAAAATCAGAATTGAAAGTGTATTGTTTACTGCAAAAGGGATATGGTAAATATTTCGCTGGTGAATAAAGTCAACTTGTTAGAGTTGTTAGAAAAGCAAAATAAAATATTAAGGAGAACATTATTTTGACCTTTACATTTACAATTGATTACTACAAGAATGCTCATATTCCAAATGATATAATTGACATTAGAGAAACAAAACTTTGTTGCTGCATTACTTTACAATTGAAATACATGTTTCCTCAGTGTATTAAACAATACATTATAAGCTAACTTAATAACAATTTTTAAATTGTCATCATTTATGTAAGCAATCAGGAAAGGAAAGGCTCTCTTAATTAAAGAAATGTCCTTGAATTTTATTAGGCACAATAAGACAACTGACTAGGAGTGTAGTTATTTTATAAACATACACAGACACATAGACACACACAGAGCAAGTGCAAATTAGAACCATGATGGTGCCACTAAACATGAGTGGAAGATTCAATGTGATGGTAAAAATTTAGAGGAAGAACTAAGTACTCGATTGTGTCAAATTCTAAGGTTTACCAGTGAGTTTGAGAAACTAAAAACTCTTCAGTGTCCCCCAATACTGACACTTCCTTGGTAACATCCTCTCTGCATCTCTATATAGATTGCCAGTTTCTTTACAACTTGTATAAGAGGCTCAAAGATATGACATACAGGAAGCTATGTGGTATGTCAGAAATATATTGGACTACTGGCTGGGTGCAGTGGCTTGCTCCTGTAATCCCAGCACTTTGGGAGGCCGAGGCAGGTGGATCACGAGGTCAGGAGTTCAAGACCAGCCTGGCCAAGATGGTGAAACCCTGTCTGTACTAAAAATACAAAAATTAGCCGGGCGCGGTGGCAGGCGCCTGTAATCCCAGCTACTTGGGAGGCTGAGGCAGGAGAATCCCTTGAACCCAGGGGTGGCAGGCAGTGTGGAGGTTGCAGTGAGCCGAGATCGCCACTGCACTCCAGCATGGGTGACAGAGTGAGACTCCATCTCAAAAAAAAAGAAGTCTTTTGTTCACAGTGAAAGGAATGTTGACTTTGAAATTATGGATTTATATTAATGTTACTATAAACCAATGGGAATGGTAATTTTTAAACAAACTTGCTAAATATTGAGAGACTAAACTACTAAGTTAATAAATTATATATAGCAGTGTAGCTTTCTCTCTAGATGGTGTCTCACAATGGATTTCTGTTGCTTGACTATTTTCTTAGTGAATATTTAAACTAAGGTAGTGACTGAGATTTGGTGATCTGGTTAAGTATTTTGAAACACATTTTGAATAATATAGCTTAGTGTTAACAGGGAATTAAATATGATTTTTTTCTTACTCATTTCACCTTCCCTATACTGTATATTTGGAATCGATCATAAAAAAAACCTCCAAAAGAAAATTAATCTGTATAGGACTATTTGTTCCCCAACCTTATAGGCTGTCATTCAGAGCTTCCAGAGATTATTGAGATAATCTTTTAAACATAAAGAGGGATGGTGAATTAATGATTGGCTGATGATACTGGTTTGCAAATTTGAATTTTTCTCTCTTTTTTTTTCCTAAAGTTATTTATTACGTACAAGAATTCTTTGTAAAGGAGGAAATGGAGAGATGTAGGTCAGAGGATGCAAAGTAGCAGATATGTAGGATGAACAAGTCTAGAGATCTAAATACAACATGAGGACTATAGGTAATAAAATTGTACTGTATTTGGGATTGATATTAAATCAGAATTTAGCTGCTTTTGACATAAAAACAAAAGAAATTGATAACTATGTGGGATGATGGATATATTAATTTACTTTACTATAGTAACCTTTTTGGTATCTGTATATATCCCATAACATCATGCTGTATACCTTAAATATATACAATAACATTTATTTTTTAGAAGTTTTTATAAAGAGCTTCAAAGAAAATTTAAAGACATATTTACTTGTTTTTTTAAAGTAAAAGAAATAGTTTACTGCTTATTTAAAAAAAAAACAAACACATATCTCAAAACCGTTTGGGCTGGGGTAATTATGCCAAAAAACAATCTCAAGATTTCAAAGGGGGAAAAAAAAGTCCTTTTGGAGAGCAATAATTGATCATGGAAGTTGAAATAGCGCATGCCATCCATACTGCTTCATCTGGAAAATGGTATACAATCAATATTTTTTTTTACCAAAGGAAATAAATATTTGCTAAGTTTAAATTTACATTTTTCTGAGAGATTACAGCATAATGAAAATTTCAGAGCTACTGTTTAAATGGAAGAAATAAATGGAGCAAAGTCAACTATGTGCAGTAATTTTATGGAATCAATGCAAATGTGATCCTAGAACTTTGATCCCAGAACAAAGTAACAGCAACTTCATCTATGATTATAGCCCCTTAGTTGATGGCTGTTTGTTTATTTGACATGGTCTATGTAATAATGCTTCCTGCCTCTCAGCACTACTACCTACATACAGTTGTGGTTTGGTCAGTCACCACAACCCGTGCAGAATACTTTTATTCTACTCTGCATTGCCCCAGGTCTTGCACAGTCTTGGAAGAGAAGGCCAGTGTCCTGGATGTGAATTTCTGACAGAAATAGTAACCAGATTACAGATCCTGAACAACTGACCTTACTTACCTTATCAGTTTAAGACATTAGTCAAGTGTGCTATTAATAGTTTTCTAAGGCTGCCATAACCAAGTACCACAAACTGGGTGGCCTAAAAGAACAGAAATGTATTCTTTCACAGTTCTGGAGGCTAGCAGTCTGACACTGAGGTGTTGGCAGGGCATGCTTCTTAAGACTCTAAGGAAGAACCCTTCCTTGTCTCTTCCTAGCCGCTGGTGGCTCTTCGCAATCCTTGGGATTTTCTTGAATTGTAGCTGTATCACTCCAATCTCTGCCTCCATTGTCATGTGGCCCTTTTCCCTCTATGTGTCTGTGTGTCTTCTCTTCTTTTAAGGACACAAGTCATTGTATTTATGACTTCATCTTAACTGATTATATCTGCGAAGATCCTATTTACAAATAAAGTTACATTCTGAAGTTCTAGGTAGACATGAATTTTGGAGGGACATAATTCAACCTACTACACCAAGCAATGGAAGTACACTAGAAAAATGGCATGTAATTTTTTTTATGTTTTAGGCTTTAAATTATAGATCCTAAAGATTACTCAGTGGTTTTTCAGTGAATATGATACTTACTCTAGTGTTAGGATAATCAATGAAAAATAGCATGTTATAAAATGTTAAATGTAAAACTTGAACCCTATATTTCTCATAAGACTTCTCACTTGCTTAATTAATGTTGATTCATGGGGATAATTGCCCTTACTATGTCTAAGTAATCTACATATATTTGAAGTCAGATTATGAAGGATTTTATACACTAAATTAAGGGTTTGGATTTGACTCTGTGAAAAAGGAAGAATCAGTGGAGATTCATTACTTTTAAATGCTGGTTCAGGTAATAGTGTAGAAGATTAAAAAACTCAGAAAAAAGCTATTGAAACAGCACAGGTGAGATGATTGTGGTTTAGACTACATTGATGGAGATGGAGAAATGAAATTGTATTGAGAAACATCCCTGATGATTTAGTAATTGATTAGATGATGAAGATAGCTAATATTTATTAAGCATTTTCTATGTGCCAGGCACCAATCTAAACACTTTTTATGTATCAATTTGTTTAATTCTTGCAATTCTCCTATAAATCAGTACTATTAAAATTTTTATTTCAGGTGATGAAACTGAGGCACAAATACTTGCCAAAGATCACATAGCTAGTAATTGGAGGAGGCAGGATTTGAACCAACAGAATCTGGTAAGGGAAAGGAAGGAGTTGGGGATGAATCTTAAGGTTAGGAGACTAGGTAGATGGTTGTATCATTAGCCAGAATTGAGAATACAGTGCAGAATCGGGGAGAGTTGACCTGAAGGTCATGAGTCAATAGATTTAGTTTGGGATATAGTATTAAGTTTAAGAGCTGCTCGTGGGAAGTAAGACAGGTGATAGTAAGTACTAAAATAATATTTGATGTTAATTAATTTTTACATTAATTTCCTTAATAAAGATAATGTCATTTTAAATGTATACATTATGCAGCTATGGTAAAACATGAAGAATTGGTGACGCTGGCTACTAGTCTTGAAAAGCAAGAGTGCTTTAACAGGGTGCAATTCCTTGTGATAACGTATTCTCATATCATCCCTACATTAAGTTAGGTAGGCAAACAACTATCTTACTTGGAACTTTGTGAATGTTTTGGTCAGTCAGAGAAAGTAGAGGAATTCCTAAGTTTGTACCCAGCCGGTCATTAGTGAATTTACTTCATTACAAACTCTCTTTATATTCTCACTCTTTGATCCACGCATCCCACCAAATATACCCCTGTGTTGCTCTAACCACGGGGAATTCTAGATTCTAGTTCAAACCGGGCAGTTTATGGGAACTGCTTTTGTTGAAATGATTAAATAAAGAAATGCCTGTGAATTATCCTTCCGAAGCACTGCCTGTTTTCTGTGTCATTTTGGTCTCATTAATCAGTGTTGCAGCCAGGCAGACACTGTGCTGTGTATTTTACTGTCCTCAGCACAGCGGCTTCTACGTCTCTGCTCCCAGGCCGACACATTGGGGAAAAAGAGAGAGGGAAACCATCAATCTTCCCAGTTGCACATGTCAGCAGTGATTCCTTCCCCCTTCCTGTTGGCTGTCTCTCTCACCACCTGTGTTTAGAATTAGCACTGAAGCTGCTGCCCAGATGAATAAGAACCACTGTCCTTGTCACCTGCCCTGGTATGGGCCACCACTTCTCAATGAAACAAGTATATCAAGCAGTCAGTTATCTTTAGCGTGAGCAGTGTAAGAGAATCACACACCCCTTAGAAGTTTATTATAACATAAAATTAAAATTTTAGGCCATACATTCTAGTGAATCAAAGGGGTAAAACAAATAATTTCTTGAGTGCCTTGCTATCTTCTCATAATCTCCCTCTGAAGTACATATGGCTGAAGTTAATCGACCTGGGTTCAAGTCATGGCTCCACTATTTACTAGGTATGGACCACTCATTTAACCCTTCTGTGCCTCAGTTCCTTCATCCTTGTGAAACAAGTACCTCAGAGTTTTTATGAGGATCAAATGAGATAATACATTTATAGCTCTTGCTATAATGCTTCCCATTTAGTAAGCACTCAATAAATGTTAGCTATTATTACCATTAACCTCAATGTCCAAATAATAAAACTGAGTTTCAGAGAGGTTACATAATTTGCAAAAGGCGCTAGGAGGCATAGAAGGATTTTGAACCTAGCACTGTCTGATCCTCAAAACTCAAGTCCTTTAGATTACACTACATTGTTTCTATTTTAGTTTCATTTTACAAATTACTTAATATCTGAACTTAATAAATCATTTAACATTGTCTGTCTTAATTTCCCATTATTTAAAATGAAAATGGTAATAACCAACATTCCTGTTAGTATGAGACTCTTTTAGTTACATATCAACTAATTCAATCAGACCACCATATGCCGAAAAACTAGGCCGATTTTTCTTTTGAGACAGGATCTTGCTCTGTTGCCCAGGCTGGAGTATGGTGGCACAATCATTGCTCACTGCAGCCTCGATGTCCAGGCTCAAGCAGTTCTCCCACCTCAGCCTCTTGAGTAGCTGGTACTACAGGCATGTGCTACCATGCCTGGCTAATTTTCCTGTATTTATTTGTGTATTTTTATTTTTTTCTGGTAGAGACAGGATCTCCCTACGTTGACCAGGCTGATTTCAAACTCCTGGCTCAAGTGATCCTCCCACATCGGCCTCCCAAAGTATTGGCATTACAGGTGTGAGCCACTGCATCTGGCCCAGGCTTATTTTTAAAATTTGGTGACAGAAAAATGACATGCGTTTTTTAAAAAGTTAAACAATACAAAAAGTCAAAAAGGAAATCATTACTCCCATTTCCTTGTATAACCACTAGTAAGTTAGGTATGTAGGCTGTCTTCCTTGTCAGCATTTATCTATTTAACAAATGTCTATATAGAACCTTCAGGGGAGTACTGTCATTCCTCCCATTTTACAGCTAAGGAAGTTCCGTGATTTGTACAAGGAAGCACAGCCAGTGCACAAGAAGGCTGGCACTGGACTCACATGTCTGACTCTAGATTTGGGCTCCTCACCTCCACCCTGTGCCAATTCTCAGTACTTAACAGGACCTACCTTCGTATCTATTCCATAGTATTTCATTATATAAAAAGAAAACTATAACTTATTTAGTATTTCCCCTAGTGATGGACATTAGTTGCTTATAATTCTTTTTTTTTTTTCAACTTTAAAGTTCAAGGCTACATGTGCAGGATATACAGAGTTGTTACATAGATAAATGTGTGCCATGGTGGTTTGCTACACAGATCATCCTGTCACTTAAGTATTAAGCCCAGCATCCATTAGCTATTCTTCCTGATGCTCTCCCTCTCCAACCTGACAGGCCTCAGTGTGTGGTGTTCCCCACCATGTGTCCATGTGTTCTCATCATTCAGCTCCCACTTATAAGTGAGAACATGTGGTATTTGGTTTTCTGTTCCTGGGTTAGTTTGCTGAGAATCATGTCTTCCAACTCCATCTATGTCCCTGCAAAGGATATGATCTCATTCCTTTCTATGGCTGCATAGAATTTCATGGTGTATATGTACCAGTATAATTCTTTTGTAATTAAATGATCAGGGGGAACACCAGATCTTCTTACATTCTTGTGTGAGTATTTCTATAGGACAGATTTCCATACATTGAATGGTTGGGTCAAAATAAAATAAAATTTTGATCTCCAGATATGGTTAGATTACTGAGAGCTTATTCTGTGCCAGGGTTATACTAATAAACTTGTCACAGTCCTCCGAACCACCCTCTGAGATAGGTACTATTATTATCCCTATTTTGTACATGTTCAACGCCACATAAGTAACTGGGCAAAGTCTTGAATCCCGGCAGTGTGGCACTAGATTCTGCTTCTCAGCCATGGTTTATAACCAAGCTAGTTATCACAATCATATTTTAGTGCTTGGTTTTGTCATTCTTCGAACTTACTATAAGGCTGAGTTAACAACCTGAGCTGACAGAAGGGTCTGATGATGCAAATGTGGTTGGAACACCCTGTAGTCTTATATCAGTCTACAGGTTGGATGAGAAAGGGAGCCATGATTAGCTGGAACATGAGACTTATTTGCTCTTGGAAGAGGTGAAATAACAGTCAAAAAAATTCCCTTTTTTGTAAACTATTTTATGCCAGGAAACTAACTTTAGAAATGTGTTTTCCTGTTTGGATTGTGAGTACTTTGTAAGAAATTCACACTGTCTCTCAAAGGTTCAGAACACTTGAGATAGGGAATTATATCATACATTATATATAAGAATTACTGGCATCTCAGCTTCACTTAGCCAAGGCCACATGATATTAGTCCAGGTCTTGGCCAACCAACTGAGCTAACCATGAGACCCACTTACAGTGCTCGAGTGTTGAATCCAGACTTTCTGGTAGGAAAGATCAGAAGGAAGTAGGGAGTTTGCCAAGCAGGGACATGGGTAAAAACAGTATCTCTATGCAGAGATAATTTTGTCTCCAATCCATTACTGATGTTGAACACTCCTCAGTGGTGTTACTTCCTTGGTGATGTCCAGGCTATATATGCTTTCTGAATCCCTGAGCCATAGAGATTTATGGAATTGGACTTTGCCAAGTAAGTCTACCTAGCCATCGAAGATAGCATGCCTACTTGTTGTCATAGATGTCTTCTCTCACCAGCATAGAGGCTACGACCACAGCGTCATAATCTTCTGTCCTTCGTGGCTGCCGCATGTAATATCCAAACTGCTGGGAGCCAAAGGGGCCTCTGCCTATACATGATTAAATCATTGCATTAGAGATTTCATTACCTTGAAATGTAAATTACTAGCAAGTGAACTTACTCTTCACATTTTTAGTCCTTTTATTTGTGTGTGTGTGTGTGTGTGTGTGTGTGTGTGTTTCAGTGTTTCCTAGCAGGTTGGCAGCTTTGGAAGATAATTATGTAGCAGTTGGCTTAGAACAGTGGTTTCTCATTCATGGCTTCATGTTAGAATCACCTGGGGAGCTTTTAAAACTCCCATTGCTCATGCCAAATCCCAGACTGATTAAATCAGAATCTCTGGGGGTGGTGCCCAGGCATCAGTATTTTTTAAAGCTCCCAAGTGATTGCAGTGCAGCCAAGATTGAGAACTGTTGGCTTAGAAGGGACCTTCTCTTTTTCATTCATAATGTTTTTATCTGTACCTCATTTTCTGCAGTTGAAGTGAATTTTAAGACTAGATTATTGTTGCCCAAAAACCTCGCTCAAACTTTAGCATACATCAGAATCACTGAAGAGGCTTGTTAAAGCCCGGGCCGCATAAATTTTCTCATTTCTTCTTCTGGGATAAGCCCCGCTCTTAGAATTCCTGATTTAGTAGGTCTGGGTTGGAACCCAAGACTGCATTTTTAACAAGTTCCCAAGCCATGATGCTACTGCTGGTACTGGAAACACACTTTGAGAGCCTCTGCTGTAATCCCTTCCTCTCACCTTCTTTCTGCTCTTTACTTTTCCACCAGCAGTGGCCAGGGCTGCTGCCTCTGACAGTCCATACAATATCAATAAGAAAGGCAATTAATGCATGAGGATGTTTAACCTGTTACTCCACCTCAAAGTAATCATACAATCTAACTAAAAACAATTTACTGTATATGCAAATACAACCTCCTCTGCATGCATAATTGCTCCCCTTAAGTCCTTTCTAATACAAAATCAAAGCCACCACTGAATAGATTTCTGGTGTCCAAAATGGACCTCGGATTCCACTTTCCCACAGAAACAATTTTATGGATGCTGGTTAGGTACAGCTGAAATCATGCTGTTAAAACCATTCTTCAAGAATATTGTAGGCTCAGAGAGACTTTGATGGTCTGCTTCCCATTTAAAGAACCCAATTTCTGAGTTTCAAAGAACCAATTTTTAAACAAACTCTTAGAACGTAACTTGTTTAACAATTGCCTGCAACTGAAACATATGACTTATTTTCTTTATAGTTATTTTACCCTTTACATTTGGAACTAAAGTATGGGAGAAAGGATTTGTCATGATTCAGTTAACATTTATAAGGGGACCACAACATACCTGGCACTGTGCTATTTACTGGGTATATAAAGAAGGAAAAGATAGTCCCTGCCCTAGAAGAGCTCATATTCTAGGCGGGAAAATATATCTATGGAGCAAATAAAAAAATATTTACCAAGTTATCAATGTGATATGTGCAATAATGAAGAATTGATGAAGGAGGCATCTGTTCTTCTGAGTGAGAGAGAGAAAAAGAGACATTGGTGGTGTGTGTGGTGGAGCATGGAACAGGTGTGGGTGTGTTTGGTAGGAGGAAGAAGCATGTTTAAGAGTCTCAGAATCAGTGAGAGATTGTTAGGGCTTAATGACCAAGGAGAGTTCCCCACGCAGAAAAGAGGTGAAAGGGCATTCTAGGATGGTGGAAGAGTGTGAATGCAGAGAGGAGTACTCTACAGAAGAAAGGCAAGTAGTCAGCTGAGTTCCCCAGGTGGTGTGATTGGAGAATGACTGGGAAGGGCATTGACCACCCCACAAAGTCAGAGTCTTGTCTCAGAGGAAGAAATGAGAAGAGTTATGCTAAGTCAGTATATGTGATATTTGCACCTCTATCCCATATTTTAGTATCTTTCTTCTCCTGTATATTCCCCAATACCCTGAGGAAGACAGTTTCAATTTCAACAAAATATTAATACTTTGAAAATGTCTGAAAGCGGTTTTCAGACTGTGCTCTGAGAAGCCCCCTTTGTGCTTGACTGGGGTGAGGTCAAAAGAGCAGTCAGGGACCCACCAGAGCTCCCCCACTGACTCTGCTATTATCCATCCACCTCTCAAGCTTTTCTTTGGACAATTCCACTTATTAGGCACATCTAAGAATATTATATTTGAAAAAGGGTACACAGTTAGAAAAGTATTAAAACTAGTGTAATTAATCCTCGCATGTTTAGTAACAGTCTGACGACTTGGTGTGGATAGCCACATATCTCAGCTGCTGGCCAAAGGATGAATGTTCTCAGATAATCAGCTGAAGAGGGGAATCAGGCAGGTGTCAATGTGGATGTGTGAGCAGTGATAATTGTTGGTATGATAAGCCTTTAGTTGGCCACAAGAGATAATGAAAATATCATATACCCCCAGAATGAACACTTGAAAATCAATGTTAGAATTTTCTTATGAAGGCTGGGTGCAATTGCTCACACCTGTCATCCCAGAACTTTGGGAGGCCAAGGCAAGAGGATCACTTAAGGCTAGGAGTTTGAGACCAATCTGGGCAAGATAGCAAGACCTTGCCTCTACGAGAAATTTAAAAAATTAGCCAGGGTATGTGCCACACTGCCTTGCCTGGGCACTGATACCTGAACGCTGAGTTTGGGCCCGTGGAGATGAACCCTTTAACTAAGGTGAAGCTGATCAATGAGCTGAATGAGCGAGAGGTCCAGCTTGGGGTGGCCGATAAGGTGTCCTGGCACTCCGAGTACAAGGACAGTGCCTGGATCTTCCTGGGAGGGCTTCCTTATGAGCTGACTGAAGGGGACATCATCTGTGTGTTCTCACAGTATGGGGAGATTGTTAACATTAATCTCATGTGGGACAAGAAGACTGGGAAATCCAAAGGATTCTGTTTCCTCTGCTATGAAGACCAGAGGAGCACAATTCTGGCCATTGACAATTTTAATGGGATCAAGATCAAAGGAAGAACTATCCGAGTGGATCATGTGTCTAACTATTGCGTTCCTAAGGACTCAGAAGAAATGGATGATGTGACCAAAGAGCTCCAGGAGAAGGGCTGTGGGGCTCGTACCCCCTCACCAAGTTTGTCTGAGAGCTCTGAAGATGAAAAACCAACAAAAAAGCGCAAAAAAAGACAAAAAGGAAAAAAAGAAAAAGAGACAACTGACTGGGAGGTACAGGCAGAGCAACCATCCTCTTCGTCACCCAGAAGCAAGACAGTAAAGGAAGAGGACAACCCTGGCCCTAAGAAGCACAGCAGCAAGAACTAGGAGAGAGCTCAGAAGTCAGTGCCCAGGGAGGGGCGGAAGCTCCCCAAGGCCAGGACTGCCTACTCTGGTTGGGCAGAGAACCGAGAGAGGGAGCTGAAGAAGGGGAAACCCAAGCACGAGCACAGGTCCTCAAGCAGGAGGGAGGCAAGAGAAGAAAAGACCAGGGATAAGGACAGAGGGCGGAGCTCAGGCACACTTTCTAGCCCGTACAACGGGCGTTCTGAAGGGCGTAGTCATAGAAGTAGAGGTAGGAGCTGAGATAAATCCCATAGGCATAAAAGGACCCAGCGCTGCCGGGAGCAGGAGTCTTTGAATTCCAGTGACTGTAGGCGTCACTGAAGACTGTTCAGCTGCTCGGTAGATTTGGAAATAATTATGTTTTTTAAATGCAGTCAAATTCAGTTGGATTGTTACTATTTTTGTATCTAAAACTCCTGGGGCTGGATTCTTTTAACTCCTTGAGTATTAGAGTCATTGAGAGGGCTGCAGTTTCAACAGCTACATATCCTAGATATTCTTCGTACCATTCATTGTCCCTGAACCAGAGTACGTGCCCTGAATGTTGATTCATAAATATGGCTCTTGAACCCGTAGAACCAATTGAAGATGGAATTTTCAGGAAAGGGAAAATACCAGATAATTCCAGAATTCTAGTTTTGTGTTTGATGTTTAGAGCTCAGCATCGTGGGACCTTTCCAGTTACTCGGTTTGGACAGCTTGATGTGAATGAATGGGATAGGATTTTTAAGATCAACCAGCTCCATGCCCAAAACCTCCTGTTTAAAAAAATGTTTAATGTCTTTTCTTTTTCATTACAACTTTTTTGTTTGATTGGCCTCTTTCCAAGTTTTTTCCTTGCAACGTATTTATTATTTATTTGTATTGAGGTGAAATTCACATAACATAAAGTTAACCATTTTAAAGGGAACAATTCAGTGACATTTGGTACTAAACATCCACAATGTTGTGTAACCATCGCCTCTGTCTATTTCCAAAACATTTTTTATCATCCCAAAATGAAACCCTGTACCCATTAAACAAGAACTCTCCATTTCCTCCCTCCTCCCCATCCCTAGCAACCACCAACTGACTTCCTGTTTATGGGTTTGCCTATTCTGGATATTTCATATAAATAGAATTATACCAAAAAAAAAATTAGCCGACGTAGTTGTGTGTGCGTCTAGTCCCAGCTACTTGGGAGGGTGGGTGGACTGCTTGAGCCTAGGAGTTTGAGGCTGCAGTGAGCTCTGATCGTCCACAGTACTCCAGCCTGGGCAACAGAGAGACACTCTGTCTCAAAAAAAAAAAAAACATCGTATGAGGAAAAACTAAATTTTTAAAACATTTTATATCATTTTTTGTACTTTTAAAATTGTAGTGCTTCTTGATCGATTACCTGTACTTACTGTCCTGTTCAAGATAATAATATGCTGTGTTAGTTAGTATGTTATGGCAAGAATATGACACTTGCTGATTTGGTTTAGCAAGTAGTGTTATTAGGAATTAAAATATTTTGCACTACATTTAATTTTCTAATTATTTATGTCATGTTTAGATAATTGTTAATTTAGTTTTAAGCATCTAAGACAAAAAAAGACTTGCCTCCTTATTCTTTACTTACGTATAACCTTTGCATTTAAATATAGATTAGCTGCCCTGAGGTGATGATGTAATCCTTCCTGGGAGCCAAAGTGTCATGACTCTATATTTTATCATTTCTTCCTGCTGGGGAGACAGAAAAAAAGACCTGAAGAAAATAGCCCAAAGAGATGTTTAGGTACAAAAGAAATAACTACAGAAGAAAAGAACAGTATAAAATTAAAAACCTGGTGTCTTAGTTCATTTGTGCTGCTATAACAAAATACTACAGACTGGGTAATTTATGAAGAACAGATACTTATTTCTTACAGTTCTGGAGGCTAGGAAGTTCAAGAGCGAGGCACCAGCCTTGGTGTGTGGTGAGGGCCGCTCTCTGTTTTCAAGATGGTGCCTTGTTGCTGCATCCTCCAGCAAGGAGGAATGCTGTGTCCTTACATGGTAGAGGGGGTGGAAGGACAAAACAGTGTATACTTTCTCTAAATCTTTCCTTTCTTTTCTTTTCTTTTTTGGAGATGGAGTAGCGCTCTGTCACCCAGGCTGGAGTGCAATGGCGCTATCTCATCTCACTGCAACCTCTGCCTCCCGGGTTCAAGTGATTCTCCTGCCTCAGCCTCCCAAGTAGCTGGGATTACAGACATCCACCACTGCGCCTGGCTAATTTTTGTATTTTTAGTAGAGACGGGGTTTCACCGTTTTGGCCAGGTTGGTCTCAAACTCCTGACCTCAAGTGATCCACCTGCCTTGGCCTCCCAAAGTGCTGGGATTGCAGGTGTGAGCCACCACACCCAGCCTGAAGCCTCTTTTATAAGGGCATTAATCCATCCATGAGACAGAACCCTCATGACTTAATCACTTTCTAAAAGGCCCTGCCTTTTAATACTACCACAGTGGGGATTTTCAATTTGAATTTTGAGGGGGTCACACCTTCAAAACATGGCACCTGGGGAAGAACATTATGTGGTGTGGTGGCCAGAGCACTGGAGTTCTGAATTGTGGCTCCAGCTGTGCCACTAGTTGTATGCCCTTGGCCTTTTCATTAACATCTCCATGGTACACTTTCCCCTTCTGAGAAGTGTGTTGGGGAGAGGGGTTGGGTGGGAGTGGGATGCTTGAAGCCAAGAAGTTCTAAATTGCATTCAGTTCAGTGTGATGGAAGGAATATAGAATTTGGAGTCCAGTGGCAAGAGCTCAGATCCAGATCTGACTCACCTGCCTGTGACTTTATGCAGGTTATTTAACTTAGCAGTGTCCTTCCCTAGAAAATGATGCCTATGATTCCTACCTTCACTACATGAGATGAAGTACATGAAAGGGCCAGGGCATGTTTCTGATAGCTAAATTTCATCACAAGAAGGAAAATACATGTGCAAAAGCATTCCATCACATGATAGAAGGATGGTAGGTACAGCACGTGTAAGGAAAATAGATGTGTAACTCTTGAAATTTGAAAATGGCCTAAATAAGCCTGTGGGGGAATATTTTTAAGAATTAAGTTGATTCCTTTTAAACTCTTTTACTGAACTAACAATACATATTAAGTGCTTATCATTTATGCCCTTAAGGAGCTCACAGTCTAATTGGTTAGTCACTCCTTTTTCTTTCTTTTTAAAAATATTTTTCCTTCAGTTTTAATTGTTGGCCTCCATATTTTTTCTTATTTGGAGGTGATGTAGGACCTTCTTTCTCTTATACTGAATTAATATTTACTCTATTGATTCCTAGGTCTGAGCATCTGGTTTTATTTCTAAGCAGATGCTTAGAAATGATGAACCCATTTTTCTTGGTGCTGAGTGAGCATTTCTTAACAGACCTGGACTCTCCAGTGCTTTCCGGAGGAAAGAGCTGACTGTAGCAGAACAATGCTGAGGCATGGCCAAACCTTCAGAGGAGCACCAGTGTCACGCCGGGTCTTCTCTGTTTCAGCTCTTCAATCCTTAATTGCCAATAGAGGCATTTTCAAGAAAATGTTGAAGATAATTTCAGGAATGTAGGATTGAAATAGTAGGGCAATGTAGATGATAGAATTGAGAAACACTAACAGAGCTAAGGAGTGACAGCTTTAAACAATATTTTAAAATTTATATACAATGAGAAGAATAAATAGACTTATAGAAAGAGATTTTCATCCCAATTACCTGGTAATGTTATTGAATACTTTTTTATTACAATCTGTGATAAAATGCCATTTATGTAACCAATAAGACATAGTGTGGCCATTGAGCCAAGTTTGTGGTTTACCTTTGACTGTAGTTAAAACAAGTGTGATGAATGAACAATTGCTGTTACAGCTGGATACAAGCAGGACTTTGTAAGAAGAGTCTTGAAATCTTTAGTTGAAGTCTGTTTCTCACCACTGTACTGAAGCTGAAAGTGTTTCAAAGCTAGTAGGCAGCCTTCTTTTGATGGATCTTATTCACTTGAAATTAAAGACAGAAGCTCTCCTAATCACAAAAATTCTTTTGCCATAATTAATAACTTGGGAATTTTCAATTGCTTTTGAGTACAGTAAGAAAATTAAGGAAATTACACATTTTGGATGTGCTCAGTACCTTACAACAGGAATAGTTTCAGCTATGTCTGTCAAAATGATAAGTATGCTCTACCTTTGATTTGAATACCCACCCTCTCTTCTAGTATATGTCAAATCCTAGAGCTGAAGCTCCCCAGGGATTTGGTACTGCTGGTTCTGTTATAAAAATGAGCCAATAAATGTATAGGCTGGAAGTGGCATTTACCAGGGAAATATGCCTGAAATGAAATGAAGACCTACTTTCTAACATGCTTCTTTTTTAATCCTCTGCATACTGTGATGGAATTGTAGGTTGATGCTCCAGGCTTCCCCTTGAATGAATGCCTGTGGGCTAGGCTAGAAGCTGTTTTCTTTGTGGTTTGTCTCTTGTCCAAACCCATGGGAAGCCCAAGCTCCTTTCGTTTTCATTCTTTTCTAACTCTAGTGCTTTTGAACACAGAACCCCCATCCTCCCACCACCCAAACTCCACATTCCAACCCCATGATTTCATGGTACCTGGCATGTCTCCCCTGCCATGCCGTCAGGCCGCCTGCTGACTCCTGCAGAGGGAACAGACGGGAACATAAACTCACTGCAGAAGAGCAGGATGCTCTCTGTATATTTTTAAGACCAGGTATCCAGTTCCCATTTAGAGGCTGTATTTTTTTAACAGCGCCTTGAAAATTGAACAAAACACTTCTCGTTGGTCTCATTGCTTGATAATATCATTCCCTCTGCACTAATGTATAGAATCCCAGGAACTAGAGAATGGAAAAGATGTATTAGATCATTTCTAGCCCATTCCCACTGGTCACAATACTTTTTTCCCACAGTCTCTTCTCTGGTGCTTTTCTCTTCTAGTTTTCTCAAGAATTTGTTTTCTCCATTTCTCCTGGGGAATAATTTCTGAGTTTGAAGATGGAGGAATATATGTGAAAATATTCCTATTATTTTCAACTTAAAATTCCTGGTCTTTATAACCCTTTACATTACCATAAACAGTCCCTTATCTTCCTAGGTCAAGTATTTCAGGATGGTATTTTTTTCCTTTCCATTTATTAACTTCAGAGTTTGTTTTTCTGCTTTGCTTTCTCTCTTCATCAATCAGTCCCTAAAGCCCATTAATCATTTCTTACTGCACTGAAAATTCCTTTGCTTATTCCCATATCAGGAATCCAGAGCTGGTTAGGGTTCCTAGGTCCTGGAGGAAGCCTCGCTAATAGGTACTCATTCTATGCTAACTTCTCTCTCTCTCTCAATTCTCAAGTAGGAATTATTTTAAAAATATTGTTTCTAGATTATGATTTGGGGATTTCATCACTTGAAAGCCTTTTATGTGTGTGTTTGTGATTTTGAGTGTAAGATTATATTTGTTCTCAATTACCTGAAAGATATTTTTCATATCCTCAGAGCCACAGATCATTTGGGTTTCCTCCTCAGTTCCTGGATCAAGCACAATTCTGGACCATGGAACTATGATGTAGCATTCTATTTTAGGGCTATCATCTTAGGAGTTGAGAGGAAAATAGACTATATTTGTAGGATTTGGAATACTTGGGGAAAAGGAAGTGCCAAATTTAAGTAACCTTGGCACTCACATATCAAAAGTAGATTAGCTCTCAGGAGCTAGCATTAGGTATAAAAAAGACTTAACATGGCTTGTGGCTTCCTGGATTGGAGGACTCAATATTATAAAGATGTCAGTTCTCCCCGAAACAATCTATAGATGCAGTGTGATCTCAGTCAGCAACCCCAACCAGCAATTGCAGCTTCTAATCTGATCTAAAAAGAAGCAGCAAAAAATGAACAGGGTTTTTTTTTCTCTTGAGACTTGACAAGATGATTCTAAAATATATTGATACGTATAAAGGGCCAAGGATGGATAAAGTACTCTTGAAGAAAAAGAAGGTTGAAAGCCTCACTTTAGCAGGTTCCAAGACATATTTTTAAAAATCAATGTTATACTGACACAGTGACAGACAGATAGACTAATGAGTCAGAATTGAAAGACCAGACCCTTACCAGATTCTTCATAGAGGGATCCTTGATTTATGATGGCGATGGAATTTCAAAGCAGTGGGAAGAGACAGTCTTTTCAATAAATGGTGCTAGAATAATCAGATATTCATATAGGAAAAAAAGAAGAAATTAGATGCTTACCTCACACCATATGCAAAAAAACTCCAGATGGATACAGACCTAAATGTGAAGAGTAAAGATAAAACTTCAAAGTGCACACACACACACATTTTGTATATGCATATGTGTGTGTGTGTGTGTCTAGCTATATGTATGTATCCATATATGCACACACACACACACACACACACGTGCACCTTCATAACTGCAGGGTATTGAAAGATTTCTTCTATGATACAATAATCTGTTATCAGAAGTTATATATCTGATTCATAAAATTAAGTACTTATCTTTGTCAAAAGATAATATAAATAGAAGACAGCCATACAATAAGACAATATATGCCCTACATGTAATTGACAAAATATTAGCATCTAGAATATGTACAGATTCTGAAATCAATACAAGACAATCCAATCTGAGAAAAACAGGCAAAATAATTTAAATAGGCTCTTCATAGAATAGGAGGTAAAAATAGGTAGTAATCATAAAAAGAGTTCCCAACTTCTTTAATAATCAAAGAGAGTTAAACCATAATGAGATTCTACCTCATTTCCATCAGATTAGCTAAAAATAAAAAGACTGCTAATACCAAGTGTTGATGAGGATATGGAACAACAGGAACTTGGTAGAAAGTGTATAATGTTACATACTTAGGAATAGTTCACTATATTGAAGTACTACAATTGAAGATACGTATACATACCTTATGACTCGGCAATTCTACTCCTAGATATATACACTAGAGAAACTTGGCTCATAATACATTAAGATACCTGTATAATAATGGTCTTTTTTGTCCCTGTAATTTTTTATTTTGCAAATTTTTAAACTGACTGAAAAGTTGCAAAATTAATACAATGAATATAATAAAGTCTTAATAGATGGTAGCTAAGCAAAGCATAGTAGCTAGTAGAGAGAGCATACATGGGCTTTGAAGTCAGTGATATCTGGCCTGAAACCTCAACTCCACCACTTACTAGCTGTGTGACCATGGGCAATCTAGTTAAATCTGTGAGCCTCACGTCTCTCATCTATAAACTGGAGGTAATAATATGCCTACCATATTAGGTATTAAAATGATTAAATGCATTAATATATGTAAAGCACTGGGCATAAATGCTTGCAACATAGTTGTTCAGTAAATTATTGCTGCTATTGTTTTGCTGTGGTGGTGGTTAAAAATGATAATGATGCATTATATTTTCTCAGGGCCTTTTAGTTACAGTATATTTATTGATACATACTCATTTTTGGTTTTTCACTATGGAATGTATTATAAAATAATTCAGGGGAAAAATAGCAATTTTTTTTACTTTGTATTGCATTTTTTTTCTTTTCATTTTCCTATTATGACTTCAGTATTAGAAAGTACAAACCAAAGGGAAAATATGACCAGAGTAAAAATGCTTTTTATAATTTAAATAATTATGTAGAATTAAAATTTCCTTTTGAAGAATTGAAAACCCAAATATGATTTTATTAAAAGTAAAAGGAAACCAAGGCATAGAAAATGTAAATAACCTTATTAAGAAGTAATATTAGAAATAGAGTGTATGTTTTCTAATTTCTAGCCCAAGATCTCATACACCAAATTATAATATCAACAATATAAAAAAATCTTAAGGCAATAGTAGTAGCCTTTAGCACTAATGCTAAGGCCTTCATTTCCTTAACTGCAAAATAAATTAAATGACATGAAAAACCCTTGAGGCCCCTTTAATCTCCAGTGAAATTTCATTCTATGTCTGAAGGCTTCCTCGTTGACCACCAAACCTCAGTTATCTTTTCCTCTTGGGAATTCCTCTCTGAACCCTATTCTGTATCATTCCAAACTGGTCATGATCATGTTACCATGTTATACCTTTACTTATCTTTTCATAAACAATACCCTCTATCTCCAATTAGATCACATGCTCTTGGGGATGCAGATCTTTTCCTTTTTTTTTTTGAGACGGGGTCTCGCTCTGTTGCCTAGGCTAGAGTGCAGTGGTGCAATCTTGGCTCACTGCAGCCTCCACCTCCCAGGTTCAAGCAATTCTCCCACCTCAGCCTCCGGAGTAGCTGGCATTAAAGGTGTACCACCACGCCCAGGTGATTTTTGTATTTTTAGTAGAGACGGGGTTTCACCATGTTGGCCAGGCTGGTCCCAAACTCCTGATCTCAGGTGATCCACCCTCTTCAGCCTCCCAAAGTGTCGGGATTACAGGCACGAGCCACCACGCCCGGCTGCAGATCTTTTCTTATATGTCTTTGCATTTGTCCATGTTTGAGTGCAAAAACATTTTTAATATCATTTTTTTGTGCCTAGTAGCACCTAGCATAGTGATTTACAGTGTAGGCACAAAATAAATGGATGATGATGACTGTCAGATTGTAGTTTACAAAAATATAACTAGCTCCCATAGCTATGATAACATGGGCATAGGATTCATGGGATTCTGCCTCAAAAGCAAATATGCTTGTTTTCCTTTGTTCCAGAAAGACAGCAAGAAGCGAGTATTTTCCGGCATTCAACCTACAGGAATCCTCCACCTGGGCAATTACCTGGGAGCCATTGAGAGCTGGGTGAGGTTACAGGATGAATATGACTCTGTATTATACAGCATTGTTGACCTCCACTCCATTACTGTCCCCCAAGACCCAGCTGTCCTTCGGCAGAGCATCCTGGACATGACTGCTGTTCTTCTTGCCTGTGGCATAAACCCGGAAAAAAGCATCCTTTTCCAACAATCTCAGGTCAGCTTCTCAGATTAGAACTGAGAAAACTCTTATGTGTAGATTATTTGAGGAAAAAATGTTG
The DNA here is from genome assembly GCF_000001405.40 of Homo sapiens. NCBI lineage: Eukaryota > Metazoa > Chordata > Mammalia > Primates > Hominidae > Homo > Homo sapiens. The sequence continues at coordinate 119,076,285 of NC_000001.11, read as the reverse complement.
AATGGTTCATACAGCCCCTGCTCGTGATTTTTAAAAAGTGTTTGAAGGTGACTTTTTCAAATGTGATTTTTTTCAGCTTAATGTTTTACTTGTATTTATATCATTAAGTATCATTATATTGCAAGAGTATTTTTCAGCTTTTCCTCCACTGTATTCGGTAAGTTTATGATGCTTCATATACCAAGAATTGTGTTTCATTAGTACTTCTAGCCCTGGAATTGTTTTGCTATGCTGGGTTGCTTTCAAACTGATTACTTTGTGTTGTTGACTAATCTCCTTGTGATCAAGGATAGAAGTTAGTGACCAATAGTTTTATGTAATTCCAATGTTGCTTTATTAGATGTTCTATTTAGAAGGTCTGTTGGATGATTCCCATTGTTCATTCTTTTTATAATAGTTTTTGAGAAGATTTGATAGCACAAGTTGGGAAATTGGAAGACAAAGTCCCAGTGTGTTGTGTCTAAGCCAAGAAAGGCTTCATAGTAAAGCCAAAATATTTGACTCATATCTTCACTATGGATGAATCAGTTTATTCTTGGACAGGCCGATAGTCTGGCCTAGAGACAAGGCAATCAAGATACACCCTAGAAAAAGATGAAAATTCTAACTAGATCATGCCTTCATTATGTATCTGCTTTAACCTTAGGACAAAGCCCAGCCAAGGAATGGTATGTTATACATGCTATGGTACATGTTAACATGCATGTATATATGCAACCTTCCTTGATTGTACATTTCTATCATTATTTTTATATATGTTTTGTTATACATAAAACTTAATGTAATGATTCTTACAGAGCAGACAGTTAAAAAATATGTGATAAACGAAAAGAGTATAATGATCCCTTGGCATCCAAAGAGTGTTGGCTCCAGGACCACCAAAGCTACCAAAATCTGCAGATGCTCAAGTTCCTTATATAAAATGGAATCATATTTGCATATAACCTACACATACTCTCTCGTATACTTTAAACCATCTCTACATTACTTATAATAACCTAATACAATATAAATGCTATGCAAATAGTTGTTATACTGTATTGTTTTTTAATTTGTATTATTTTTCTATCGTGGTATTGTTATTTTTTGATGCCTAAATACACACTGATTTCATATATATGTATATATATACACTAATTTTTTAAATTTTTAGAGATTAGGAAGGTGTATGTGCAGTTTTGTCACATGGATATGTTGTGTAGTGGTGAAGTCTGAGCTTTTAGTGTACCTGTCACCCAAATAGTGAACATTGTACTCAATAGGTGATTTTTCAACCAACATCCTCTTCCTGGCTTTTGGAGTCTCTAGTGTCTGCCATTTCTCTCTATATGTCCATGTGTACCTATTGTTTAGTTCCCACTTATAAGTGAGAACATGCAATATTTGATTTTCTGTTTCTGAATGATTTCACTTAGGGTAATGGCCTGTATTTCATGTTGGCCTCCATGTTGCTGCAAAAGACATGATTTCATTCCTTGTTATGACTGTGTAGTATTCCATAGTGTATATATAGTGGCGGTGTTATTTTTATTAGTTGTTTTTTCCTAATATTTTCAATCTGCTGTTTGGTTGAGTCCATGGATGCAGAACACACAAATTCAGAGGGCCAACTGTATGTTTAAAAAATAAATGCAGTTATCAACTTTGTTGCCAGCTTGTAGATAATTTGATAAAATAATAGAATCTGATCTTTAAAAGGACCATAAAGTCAATTTACCTCAACTTCATTCCTTATAGTTGGTCAGGAAGGCTTTGCTTACACATGACTTTTCAAATTCAGCGTTGGACAGATCCAGTTACTATAAAATACTTGCTTTTACTGACCAAATATCTACCTCCATATAGTTTCCATTCATTCATTTAATTTCTGCTCTGTAAAAAACAATAAATCAACTCTGTTTCCACACAACTGCTCTTCAAATACTTGGAAAGACATTTATTATGTACCATTTGTATCTTACCCCGTAGGTCCTTACTGTATAGGTCTTGCCTTCTACAAACTAGCTGTCCCTGGGTCTCTCGCCTTCTTGGTCATCCTATCTCAAAAGCACTCTCACCTTCTTTCTGAAAAGAATGTGCCTGGAGCTTCACATCCATTGCCAATGTTGGAGAGCTGTTCATCATTAGAGCCACTTTTTGAGTCACCTAATGCATTTTGCAAAGCACATCATCTTCACTTCATCTAAGCTGTTTTTAATACAAGCTGGCTTTTGATCCTTAGCTGATACTATTTCTAAAAATTGTATTCCCAGCCACGAGTACCTATTTCCATACTTCTTGTAGATGAATGTCTAATCTCCACAAAGTAACCACTTGCCAGATTGCTTTTTAAAGTGATCTTTAATATTAAAGGCTTATTTACAACTACATCCTATACTTGCACTTTGAGCTCAATCTCTCAGGAATGATTACCATAGTATAATTTTTTTTCACTTTGTAAAGGATTTTTAGCAGTGATCTTCATAAGCATCTAAAATTTGCAATAATTGAGATATGTTCTTCCATGTGGAACTTTGTTGTTCAAAATAGCAATTGAAGAAGTAACCCACAATATGGGAGACTTTGTAAAGACTTCCCCATTAAGGAGGGACAAAATTCACCTTCTCTTAAAATGGAACCTAATGAGCTCATTGGGTCTAGGTCAGAGAGTGGAAGGGACAGACTTGACTGGTATGTGCCCGTCTTCTCCTCATAGCCTTAATGCAGTTGTAAAGCTGTTTTATAATTCACCTCCTGCCATCCCTCACTTCAGCTCCATTGTGGAGAATTTTGATAGTTTGCCAGCAAAATTTAAGGGAGGTACTCATCTTGCCTACATTATACAATTTGTCTCACAAAGGCAATATGAAAAATTTCCTCAGGTGTCTTTGTAACCTAAGATAAACTTGGTCTTAGCCATTTCGTCCTTTGGCTCAGGCAACCAACCTTACTACAACTCTATGGATGGATGGATGGATGGGATATTTTATCAGGCTTTCTTTCCCCCTTTTTAAAAAATGTAATTTTATTTAAAAATATTTAAAAAAATTTATAACAATAGAGAGAGTAGTATACTATACCCCATCACTTGTTAACATTTCATTATTTGTCTCACTGATGTTACTTTCTTTTCTTTTTTTTTTTTTCTTTTTTGAACTAGAGATATGGTCTTGCTCTGTTGCCCAGGCTGGAGTGCAGTAGTGTGATCATAGCTCACTGCAACTTCGAATTCCTGGGCTCAGGATCCTCCTACCTTAGCCACCTGAGTAATAGCTAGGACTACAGGTGTATTCTACCACACCTGGCTTTTTTTTTGGAGAGATGGGGTCTCACAACGTTGTCCAGGCTGGTATCAAATTCCTGAGCTCAAGTGATTCTCCCAACTTGGCCTTCCAAAGTGTTGGGATTATAGGAATGAGCCACTGTGCCTGGTTGATGTTATTTTCTTTGTTGAAGTATTTCAAAGCAGATACCACACATCATGGCATTCCAATCCCTAAATATTTTAGCATGCCACTATAAATTCAGGAAATTTTCTTACATAACCATAATACTGTAATGACGCCTAACAATGACAATTCCATATTATCATCTAATACCCAAATTACCCTGACTCTCCCAAAAATGACTTTTATAGTAGGCTTGTTTGAGTGAAGATCTACCAAGGTTCACATATTACATTTGATTATGGATCTTAAGTCTCTTTTTTTTATGCCTTTTGATTTGTTCATCAAATTTTAATTTATTTCCTGTAAAGTTAGTCCTGGGCTTAAAAAGAATTAAAACTTTGATTTTTTATGCTTCTACTTTTTTTCACACCTTTGATGTATTGATCAAGTTTTCTGTTTGCTATAAAGTTAATTATTTTGAACTTAAAAATAAACCTTAGTTTTTTAGTTGCTTTCTCTTTACACTAATCTGTGTTAACTGATGGTTAGTGACTATAAACTGCTGTCCCACATAGTTGCTCATCACCATTTTCATTAATTTGAGTAGAAGCTGTGCTTACCTACTGCCCGTGGATTGCCTGGAAATGAACATTAGACATCAGCTTCTTTAGAATGGCCATAATGCTTCAGTTTGTTCATGGGTGATGATGGAAAGGTCCTCCTCATGCCTTATCTTAGAGCCATGAAGGCATGTATTGGCTTTTGCTTCTTAGAACCATTTTCAAGTAGAAGTATAAGTGAATAAACTAGTCTTCTGGAAACAGTTATTATCTTAGCCACATGACCCCATTATATACAGAGTTCTAGTAGGTGAAAGATCATCATGGTGATGACTTATGTTTTGTAATACAAAAATCAAGAAAAAAAGTCTTTTTTTCTTTTTCTTCTTTTTAACAGGCAATGCTAGGAAGAATTCTTTTTTCTTTATTTTAAATTGACAAATAAAAATTGCATATATTTATGGTGTACAACATGATGCTTTGAAATATGTATACATTGTAAAATGGCTAAATCAAGCTATATAACATATATATTACCTCACATACTTAGCTATCTTTAAGTGATTTTCAGGTATACAATACATTATTATTAACTATGGTCACCATATTGTACCATAGATCTCTTGAACTTATTCCTCTCGTCTAACTTTTTTTGTGTCCTTTGACCAACATCTTCCCATTTCCTCTTGCCCCATTCTACTGTGCTTCTATGAGCTCGATTTTTTAGATTTCACATGTACGTGAGCTTATGCTGTATTTGTCTTTCTGTGCCTGGCTTATTTCACTTAACAAAATGTCCTCTGGGTTCATCCATGTTGTCATAACTGACAGGATTTCCTTTTTCAAGGCTGAATAGTATTCCATTGTGTGTATATACTGTATTTTCTTTATCTGTTCATCTGTTGATAGACACTTAGGTTGATTCCATATTTTGGCTATTATGAATAGTGCTGCAATAAACATGAGAGTACAGATGTGTCTTTGACATACTGATTTTCTTTCCTTTGTATATATACCCATTAGAGGGATTGCTGGCTTACATGATAGTCCTGTTTTTAATTTTTTTGAGGAACCACCATACTGTTTTCCATAATGGCTGTACTAACTTACTTTCTCACCAACAGTGTGCATGGGTTCCCTTTTCTCCACATCTTTGCCAACACATATTATCTTGTTTTTGTTTTTTTAGACGGAATCTCGCTTTGTCAGTGCAGTGGCACAATCTTGGTTCACTGCAACCTCTGCCTCCCGGGTTCAAACAATTCTCCTGCCTCAGCCTCCCAAGTAGTTGGGATTACAGGCGCCTGCCACCAAGCTTGGCCAATTTTTGTATTTTTAGTAGAGACAGGGTTTCACCATGTTGGCCAGGCTGGTCTCGAACTCCTGACCTCAAATGATCTGTCCACCTTAGCCTCCCAAAGCGCTGGGATTACAGGCATGAGCCACCACACCTGGCTTGTTATCTTTTTAATAATAGTCATTTTAACAAGTGTGAGGTGATCAATCTGTATAGTCTTCAGTAGTGGGGGAGCTGAAAAGAAAATAATCATATCATTTTCAGATTTATAAAAAAATGCTTATTAGGAAACTATTTTATTTATTTATTTATTTATTTATGACAGGGTCTCACTCTGTCACCCAGGTTGGAGTGCAGTGGTGGAGTGATAGCTCACTGCAGCCCCAAACTCCTGGGCTCAAGCAGTCCTCTTGTCACAGCCTCCCAAAGTGCTGGGAGTACAGGTGTGAGCCACCTGTGCCTGGCCAGAAAACTATTTTTAAATGTGTAAGGCTGGCTGGACATGGTGGCTCACACCTGTAATACCAGCACTTTGGGAGGCTGAGGCAGGTAGATCCCTTGAGCTCAGGAGCTCCAGATCAGCCTGGGTAACAAGGTGAAACCCTGTCTCTACAAAAAAATTAAAAAATTAGCCAGGCGTGGTGTCGCACGCCTGTGGTCCCAGCTACTTGGGAGGGAGGCTGAGGCAGGAGAATCGGGTGAACCCAGGAGGCAGAGGTGGAAGTGAGCAGAGACCACGCCCCTGCACTCCAGCCTGGGTGACAGAGTGACACCTTATCTCAAAAAAGAAAAACACAATGTGTTAGGTTTACCAAGCTATTTCATGTATATGACTTCTCTCTTAATCATCAAAACAGCCACAGGAATTAAATATTACTGTTATCTTTCACTAATGAATAAATTAAGGTATGAAGAGATTAAGTAAATTGAAAATGTACTTAAAATTATCTTTGAGCAGTACCTGGTACTTAGTAAATACTCAGCATATAGAACTTTTTCATTAGCTGCCTAAGGTCACCCAGTTTGTAGGTGGCAAAGCCAGGGCTTTTACGGTTTTCCCCTAAAGCACCACTTACGGAAGATGTACTCATGAGGCGGGAACCTTGTTCTGTCCCCTGCCTACATACCCTTCTCCAGCCCTCACGTCTCTGCTTCTGGAGATGCTTGTGGAGGGGAAGTGGGGAGTTGGGGCTGACCTCAAGGCCCTCATTATTTCTCACCTGAACAATTAAATTACTCTTTCACTCCTGCCCTAGCCTCACAGTTTGGCAGTTCATTCCCCACAAGGCAGCCACAGTCACCTTTCTACTAAAAACACATCAGCGTCTCTCTCCTGCCCTCATGTAAAAATCTAAACTCAGCTTAGCTAGAAATCCCTTAAAAAATGAAGCCCAAGAGTACACTAGGCCAGTGTTTCTTCTACTACACCACTCAGTTATGCAGACCTTTTATTATCAGTTTGTGTTTGGATGATCTGATTACCTTCTACCAATGACTCTTTAAAGCTGAAGAAAAAATAATTTCTTCTGGTTTAATTTTGAGAAGATTTGATAAATCAGTCCTTAACTTACAAAACAGATAAATTAGAGATTATTTATCTACATTTTTAAAAGGCTTTTTGCTATTTCCTTTATACTGGTAGGTTTATAGTGTATTTAAGCATTTAATTGATCATTAAATATGTAACAGAAAGGATAAGAATTTAGAAAACAATTTTATTTAATGTTTTGGGAGCCAATTCCAGTTAACATTAGTTATACCCACCTCCCCATCACACAATTATTTACAAGTAAAATTAAGAATTTTTGAAATTATGAGTTAGAGAAAAATATTATTTTATAATGTGATTTTTTCAGCTATATTCGTTGTGTTAAGCAAATTACTTACAGCTAAATTATAAAGGCTATTTTTCTGTGTGCTATTGTTGAACATTAGAAAATGTTCTAATGATGGCTTGAAATAGGGAAAGGATTTAGCTATGTTACAATGTTGACTTTTACCAGTAATTTTCATCTCCAATCCTTTGCATTCTTTCTCAGCAGTCTGACTGGAACAATTCAGACTTACTGAAGATTTTTCTCATTATTTTCTTTTTCTTTCTCTCCCACTGGCCTCTAGTCATGTGCTTCCCCTAAAATATGTTCACCATATGTGGGGAATTTTATAGACCCTCTCCTCTCAAAGGTGTGTGTGTGTGTGTGTGTGTATGTGTGTGTGTGTGAGAGAGAGAGAGAGTAAGAGAGAGAGGGACACGTCGTGGGAAGGGGGTCATGCCTATGTGTGTATTTAGCAGAGGTTTCCATCCCCACACCATAGTTAATGGTCTTTTATTTCTAGCAAGCCAGCAGGCCTGAGTGCAGATCCAGTCTGAGTCGTACAGCTGCCTGGGGTACAGGCCTCTACATCTTTCACTGTTACTCTGCAGATGGAAGATAAAAAGTGGAGGACATAGCTCTAGGCACTGGATTTCTGCCAAGGCAAGGAGAAAAGGACAGTTGGGGCCACCAGATATTGTGTTACGAGGGTCCAAAGAGACCAAGGAAAAGTTGAGGGAGGAAAGGGGGATTTGCATCTCTGGAATGTGGGCTCATTCTCTAATTAGAGTTATGTTGTTTCCCAGGAAACAAAAATCAGTAATGATGAAGAGAGGCAATGGAGGAATTGGTTTCTGAATGACAGCCAAAGTAACTGACTACATAAATCTTGGCTTACTATACATAAATAAAAGTTATACCTCACCAACTGTCCCTTGTCTCAGAGGTATAAAACCAAGGCCTTAAACTGGACAGAGAGTCTAGTGCTTCCATTATTCTGGTAATTTAGGAAACATATTTGAGTGTATTTATATTTGTTAAACTCTCAAAGTTGTTCGCTACCAACAATAGGTGCTCTTTCAGCTCACAATGGAAAGGGAGCAAACGTCTGCGTAGATTAGTGGACTTGGAGAATATATTTGTAAAATTGGCATCACCTCCAAAGTTCCTAGGAGGAGATAAGAATCTAAATGGCCCATGGCATAAATAATAAGTTTGGAAAATTATTATATCATCAAACTCTGCATGTATTTCCTTCTCCACAGTTTCCAATAATACCACTTCCTTGCCTGGATCTATGCTCCTGTGTGACATGATGAACAAGCTGCAGTACTTGTGTTACTTCTATCCTGGACATAGGAACAGGTGATAGGTTAATTATACCTTCAAGAAGAATTCTTTTCTTGCTGTCAAAACAGTAGTGAAAAAAAAAAAATAGAGGCTTTGAAGCCAGACATACTCAGCTTGAATCTTACTGTCACTTCTTTTTGGTTGTGAGACTATGGGCAAGTGGCTCAAGCTCTCTGAATCCCATTTTTAATGTCTTTAATAGCAATTTAAATAAGATAATATATTTTGTCTAGCAAATGTTAACTTTCTATCACCCTCCTCCACTATATACAATGCTCCCACCCTAGGCTCCTTGATATTGAGAAGGATTTATATAAGGGTAGAGTGGGATTAGAAGATGGAGATAAAGTTAATGACAATGCCTCTTTTTATCTTCAATAATAAAGTATTTTCAGAAGAGTTTGTTGTCTAAGGTTTTTTGAGGACTTTTTAAGAAATATTTGAAACATTCATAAAAGGATGAAGATGAATGGCTGCCTTTTGAATTGCTTGCCTTTTGGCATACTTGCTTCATGTGATTTTTGTTTTTTACATATTAAACATTACAAGTATAATAGAAACTTTTCTGCTTAGTTGTAACGCCATTTTCCTCTGTGCCTTCCCAGAGGTAACCACTATTATATTGATTTGATACTCATCATTCCTACAAATGTGTTTATATTTGTATTGCATATAATATAGCCATTAACAATCTATATTATTTGTTTTGCATGTTTTAAAACTGTGAATGGCATCATGCTGCCCATATTCTCTTGCATCTATTTTTTGTGTACAATGTTACATGCTTGGGATTTATTTAGTTTGACTGCTAAATACAGTCAAACTAACTAAATGGAAACTGCTAGTACAGTGTTCCATTGTCTGCCTCCTTAACAGTTTATCCATTTTCCTGGCAAAGGATATTTGGATTTTTTTCCAGCTTTTTATTACTGCAAACAATATTACAGAGGGCATACTTTTGTCTGCCTTTTGTGCACATGTGAAAGACTTTCTTTAGCTGTATTAATATATGCCTAAGAGTACATTCAGGAGGATATATGATATATACATCATTGGCCTCAGTGAATGTTGTCAGTTTGTTCTCCAAAATGGTATTCTAACTTACATTACCACCAACAGGAACTCTCCTCGGCAACATTTGGTGTTATTAGACATATTACTTTTGGCACTGTAATGCATGAAATGTGCCATCTTATTGTTTGAATTTCCCTGACTACTGGTAAGATTAAGCATTTATTTCTTATGTTTTAACTCCTTTGTTTTCTTTTGTGAATTGTTTGCTCATATCTTTTGACTATTTTTTAATTGTATTTTCCTATTGATTTGTAGAGGTTCTTTACATATTCTGAGTACCAATCCTTTGTTATACATTATCATTTTTCAGTTTGTAGCTTGTCTTTTTTTTTTTTTTTTTTTTTTGAGACAGAGCCTCTCTCTGTCACCCATGCTGGAGTGCAATGGCATGATCTCAGCTCACTGCAAGCTCTGCCTCCCAGGTTCACGCCATTCTCCTGCCTCGGCCTCCCGAGTAGCTGGGACTACAGGCGCCCACCACCACACCCGGCTAATTTTTTGTATTTTTAGTAAAGACGGGGTTTCACCGTATTAGCCAGGATGGTTCTCGATCTCCTGACCTTGTGATCCGCCCACCTTAGCCTCCCAAAGTGCTGGGATTACAGGCGTGAGCCACCGCACCCAGCCTTGTAGCTTGTCTTTTAATTTTTAAATGCTGTCTGTTGTTGTACAGAGTTTTGTTTTTTGTTTTTTTTTAATATAGCCAATTCAGTATTTTCCTTTATGGTTGTATGCTTCTGGAGTATGTTTTTAAGTTATTCTATACTGGCCTAGTGTGATAAAGCTGTTCTTTTATATTATCTCTTGAATGTGGTAAGTTTTGCTTTTCACATTTAAGACTGAGTTATGTAGATCTTACAAATTCTGTCACATTTTATTTACAGTATTTTTAAAAATCACATTGGTTAATACCACAGCTCTCATCAGGAATGTCTCGACATATTGGAAGCTGTCTAACGCATAATGATGGATATATGTTTTCTAAAATTCTAATTTATTCTAGAAAGCTGAAATGTTTATAACCAATACCATCTGTGGGTTGTTTTCCTTGAAATGCCTTTGTTCCTTTGTTTCCTCTTGATAAATTTTGTTAGAGACTACTCTATTAATCATTTAGAGGATATACTTTTGATTTTGTGAGGCTGTTATTGTATCTTTTTTATTTATTTCCTTTTTTTTTTTTTTTTTGAGACAGAGTCTCACTCTGTCACCCAGGCTGGAGTGCAGTGGCATGATCTTGGCTCACTGCAACCTCTGCCTTCTGGATTCAAGCTATTCTCATGCCTCAGCCTCCCAGATAGCTGGGATTACTGGCGCCCACCACCATGCCAGCTAATTTTTGTATTCTTATCTAGTAGAGACGGGGTTTCGTCATGTTGGCCAGGCTAGTCTCAAACTCCTGACCTCAAGTGATCTGCCTGCCTCCTTTGTTTTTTATTTCATTAGTTTCATTCCCTCCTCCATTTTATTTTCTTGGAAATTATGTGGTTGTGCTTTTACTAACTTCTTGAGTGGACCTCATTAATTTTCAGCCATTCTTCTTTCTAATATAAACATTTAAGCAGTATAAATTTCCTTCTAAGTTCTGTTTTGTCAGCATTGACAAAGTTGTGATATGTTATAGTATTTTCACTATAAATCAGTTCTGAATAATTTCTAATTTTCACTATTATTTCTTATTTGATCTATCATTTATTTAGAAGTATGTGTTTAGATTTCCAAGTACAGGGCTCTTTTTTTAACTTAACTTTTTTAAAAAATTGATTTCTAATGTCATTACATATTAATCAAAGAATATAGCAATGCTTTCAGATCTTTTGTATTTTTAAAGCTTGAATTTAGCAAATGGCGAATTTTTACAAATGTTCTATTTGTGCTTGAAAATACTTTCTATTTTCTGATTCAGTGAATTTCAAATTTTTTATTGTTTATGACTATCAGTAAAAGATTTTTGAGACTTTCCTTTAAGATAGGTATATACTGTACATCATTGTATTAGTCTGTTTTCATGCTGCTGTTAAAGATATACCCGAGACTGGGAAGAAAAAGAGTTTTAATTGGACTTAGAGTTTTACATGGGGAGGCCTCAGAATCACGGCGGGAGGTTAAAGGCACTTCTTACACACCAGCGGCAAGAGAAAAATGAGGAAGAAGCAAAAGTGGAAACCCCTGATAAACCTATCAGATCTGGTGAGACTTATTCACTATCAATAGCATGGGAAAGACCGGCCCCCATGATTCAATTACCTCCCACTGGGTCCCTCCCACAACATGTGGGAATTCTGGGAGATATAATTGAAGTTGAGATTATGTGGGGACATAGCCAAACCATATCATTCTGCCCCTGGCCCCTCCAAATCTCATGTCCTTACATTTCAAAACCAATCATGCCATCCCAACAGTCCCCCAAAGTCTTAACTCATTTCAGCATTAACCCAAAATCCACAGTCCAAAGTCTCGTCTGAGACAAGGCAAGTACCTTCTGCCTATGAGCCTGTAAAATCAAAAGCAAACTAGTTACTTCCCAGATACAATGGAGGTACAGGTACTGGGTAAATACAGCCATTCCAAATGGGAGAAATTGGTCAAAGCAAAGGGGTTACAGGGCTCATACAAGTCCAAGATCAGTGGGGCAGTCAAATCTTAAAGCTCCAAAATGATCTCCTTTGACTCCAGGTCTCACACTCAGGTCACGCTGATGCAAGAGGTGGATTCCCATGGTCTTGAGCAGCTCCACTCCTGTGGCTTTGCAGGGTACAGCCTCCCTCCTGGCTGCTTTCACAGGCCGGCATTAAGTGTCTGTGGCTTTTCCAGGCTCACGGTGCAAGCTGTCGGTGGGTCTACCATTCTGGGATCTGGAGGATGGTGGCCTCTTCTCACAGCTCCACTAGGCAGTGCCCCAGTAGGTACACTGTGTGGGGGCTCCAACCCCACATTTCCTTTCCACACTACCCTAGCAGAGGTTCTCCATAAGGGCCTCGCTCCTGCAGCAAACTTTTGTCTGGGCATCCAAGGCATTTCCATACATTTTCTGAAATCTAGGCGGAGGTTCCCAAACCTCAGTTCTTGACTTCTGTGCACCTGCAGGCTCAACACCACATGGAAGCTGCCAAGGCTTGGGGCTTCCACCCTCTAAAGCCACTGCCCGAGCTCTGTCTTGGCCCCTTTCAGCCACAGCTGGAGTGGCTAGGACACAGTGCGCCAAGTCCCTAGGCTGCACACAGCACCAGTACCCTGAGCCTGGCCCACAAAACCACTTTTTCCTCCTGGGCCTCTGGACCTGTGATGGGAGGGGCTGCTGTGAAGGTCTCTGACATGGCCTGGAGACATTTTCCCCATGGTCTTGAGGATTAACATTAGGCTCCTTGCTACTTATGCAAATTTCTGCAGCGGGCTTGAATTTCTCCCCAGAAAATTGGTTTCTCTTTTCTCCCCAGAAAATTGGTTTTGCATAGTCAGGCTGCAAATTTTCCAAACTTTTAGCTCTGCTTCCCTTATAAAACTGAATGCCTTTAACAGTATCTAAGTCACCTTTTGAATGCTTTGCTGCTTAGAAATTTCTTCTGCCAGATACCCTAAATCATCTTTCTCAAGTTCAAAGTTCCACAAATCTCTAGGGCAGGGGCAAAATGCTGCCAGTCTCTTTGCTAAAACATAACAAGTCACCTTTGCTCCAGGTCCCAACAAGTTCCTCATCTCCATCTGAGACCACCTCAGTCTGTACATTATTGTCCATATCACTATCAGCATTTTGAGCAAAGCCATTCAACAAGTCTCTAGGAAGTTTCAAACTCTCCCTTATCTTCCTATCTTCTTCTGAGCCCTCCAAACTGTTCCAATCTCTGCCTGTTACCCAGTTCCAAAGTCACTTCCACATTTTCAGGTATCTTTTCGGCAATGCCCCACTGTACTGGTATCAACTTACTGTATTAGTCTGTTTTCATGATGCTGATAAAGACATACCTGAGACTGGGAAGAAAAGAGGTTTAATTGGACTTACAGTTCCGCATGGCTGGGGAGGCCTCAGAATCATGGCAGGAGGCAGAAGTCACTTCTTACATGGAGGTGGCAAGAGAAAAATGAGGAAGAAGCAAAAGTGGAAACTCTTATAAACCCATCAGATCTAGTGAGACTTATTCACGATCATGAGAATAGCATGGGAAACACGGGTCCCCATGACTCAATTACCTCCCTTTGGGTCCCTCCCACAACACGTGGAAATTCTGCGAGATACAATTCAAGTTGAGATTATGTGGGGACACAGCCAAACCATATCAATCATACAACTTTTGTATAAAGCAAAAATTTAAAATATGGGATTAAAAAATGAATATAAGTAAAAGTCCTTTTTTTTTTATTTGCTGTGCTTCAGGAGATAGTCTTGCACAGCCTCTGAGAATCACAAATCTCATTTTGGAAACCACTGTTTTAATTGCTCATCTCCAGTGGCCACCATGCTATCTTTGTAGGTTCAAGTAAATATTCAGAATCATGAGACCACCACAGGTTATGTTTGGTACTAGTCTACTTAAAAAGGCATAGAACAAGAACCTTAGCTTGCCAGCAAGGTAGCTTCTCTAAACAAGAGTCCTTACTAGAGCAGTCCCTGTAGCAGTAGGCAGCTAGCTCCAGGAGGTATTTTCTCTCCAGGTGTACTCATAGGTGTAGGAACTATTTTTTCTCCAGCTCAAATGCAAGGAGATGAGATCTACATCAGTGGGTGGTACAATCTCCCTTACCAAAGAAGCCTCAGTTTTCCACAAGAGCCAATATCTATTTTTACATTTCATATATAGACCTTGGGGTCACTGAAAGAGATGTACCAGTTACAAGGGTCACTATACTCAGGAAAGCCTAAACTATTACTTTCTCTCAGGTATTTATAGTTCTCTAAGCCTAGATGTACTTTACCAGCTGGGGATTATTTTTATCATAAGCAATGTTGCCTAGCAGTGTTGTTAACACATACTGTTTTATCTGGTAAATACAGACCTAGGTTGTTGATCCAGAGTCAGAGTCTCATGGAGCAGGTGAAAATGTTTTGTTAACCTGCTTACTCAGTTGGCTACTAGATTCCATTAACTAATAGAATCCATTAGATCAGTCATGTTGCTGCTCTTTTGATTCTCTACTACCATTTCTGTACTTACAGACAGAGCAATAACCTGTGAACACTTTAATGCTGTAAAAATAACTATGAGGAATTAGTTTCTCCCTAAGGGAGAAGGTAGCATCCAACTTCCTGATCCTAAATATGTAGTTTCATGAGACTATGTTCCTTTATTTTCTCAATCTTCTAACTCTATCTTCCTTAAGTGGGTTAATTTCTACTGATCTATCTTTTCATTCAGTGACTCTTCTGCCCTCCCAATCTGTGTTTAAGACTTTATAATGATATTATTTCAGATATTGTATGTTTTTATTCTAGTATCTTTATTGGCCCTTTTTTATTGGTTTAAAAAATTTATCTGCTGAGATTTTCTATCTGTTTATTCATCTCAGGAATATTTTCTTTTGTATCTTTAAGCATAGTTGTAATAATCGCTTCAAAATTTTTGCTAATTAAATACAACATATGGAACATCTCGGGTTTGGTCTCCATTGACTGCCTCTTTTCTTAAGAATGGTTTTTGTTTACCTATTTTTTAATATGTCTAATAATTTTGGCTAGTATCTTGAATATTTTAAATGACAAATTGAAGAGATTTTAAATTATGTTGTATTCCTCTGAAGAATATCTTTAAATAAAAATCTGTTGTTTTTTTAGCAGGCTCAAGCCCCAAATTGTCTTTCCAGTAGTAAGCAATAATTGAAATATTTTGCCAGTTGTTTTAGCCATTGTTGGACAGCTTGGAGGTGGCCCCGTGCATGTGGAATTCAGGGGTTGGCCAGATACTTGGGTAGAGTTAATACATAGAATATAAGGCTATACCACTCTGACTCTTTATTTAGAAATTTCACTGCTTATTTTCCAGGCATTATGGTGACCCAAACTTTGTTTTTTCATTCTTCAAGCCAGTAAGAATGCAGGTTTCTATCATATTTAGATGCTTTTTATGTCTGCAACTGAGGACTGCCCTCAGACAGAAAGTCACAAAACAGGACACTTACTCCGTGTTATCCATTTTTTAAAAGAGTAAACCACACCCCTAGTTTCTGCCTGCTTTCGATTGTTCTCCAATGCCTTCAGGCCGTTGATTTTTATATTTTGCTCAGAGTTGAAACTTGCTATCTGTGTTAGAATTTATCCAATAGGAGCTTGCTATCAACTGAGTTGTATCCCTCAAAATTCATATGTTGCTCCCTTAACCCCCAGTATGACTGTATATAGAGATAGGGTCTTTAGGAAGTAATTAAGGTTAAATGATGTCCTAAGGAGGGAGCCCTAATCTGATAGGCCTGTGGCCTTATGAGAAGAGGGAAAGATCTGTCTGTTTTTCTCTTTTTCTGCCTGCCATGTGGGGTTATAGCATGAAGGCAGCCATCAGTAAGCCAGGAAGACAGGAAGGGAGCACTCACTAGAACACAACCATGCAGGCCCCTTCATCTCAGACTTCCAGCCATCAGAACTGTGAGAAAATTAATTCCTGTTATTTCAGCAGCCCAGTCTATGGTACTTTGTTATGGCAGCCCAAGAAGACTGATACCAAGCTAAGTAGCCATTACTAGAAGTGAAAGCCTTGTTTTTAGATTGGATTGGAAAACTCAATATTGTTAATATGTTATCTTTTAAACTTTTAAGTTCAGGAGTACAAGTGCAGGTTTGTTACATAGGTAAACTTGTGTCTTGGGGGTTTGGTGTACAGATTATTTCATCACCCAGGTATTAAGTCTAGTATCCATTAGTTATTTTTCCTGATCCTCTTCCTCTTCCTACCCTCCACCCTTTGAAAGGCCCCACTGTGTGTGCTTCTCCTCAATGTGTCCATGTGTTTTTATCATTTAGTCCCCACCTATAAGTAAGAACGTGCAGCATTTGGCTTTCTGTTCCTGTGTTAGTTTGCTAAGGATAATGGCCTCCAGCTCATCCATGTTCCTGCAAAGGACATGATCTCTACTTTTTTTAAATATTGATCTATAGACTTCTCACAATCGCAATGAAAATTTCAACATACATTTTTATATAAACTGACACACTGAATCTGAAATGTATAAGGCCATGCAAAGTGTTTAGAATACTCAAAACAGCTTTGAAAAAGAAAACACAACTAGAGGACTTATACTGCCTTTTGAAGCTTATTATACAGCTATAATAATTGAGAGTGTGGTATGGACATAGACTTACAGGTCACTGAAAAGAAATGTAGAAAGCTGAAACTGGATCCCTTCCTTACACCTTATACAAAAATCAATTCAAGATGGATTAAAGACTTAAACGTTAGACCTAAAACCATAAAAACCCTAGAAGAAAACCTAGGCATTACCATTCAGGACATAGGAATGGGCAAGGACTTCATGTCTAAAACACCAAAAGCAATGGCAACAAAAGCCAAAATTGACAAATGGGATCTAATTAAACTAAAGAGCTTCTGCACAGCAAAAGAAACTACCATCAGAGTGAACAGGCAACCTACAAAATGGGAGAAAATTTTCACAACCTACTCATCTGACAAAGGGCTAATATCTAGAATCTACAATGAACTCAAACAAATTTACAAGAAAAAAACAACCCCATCAAAAAGTGGGCGAAGGACATGAACAGACACTTCTCAAAAGAAGACATTTATGCAGCCAAAAAACACATGAAAAAATGCTCATCATCACTGGCCATCAGAGAAATGCAAATCAAAACCACAATGAGATACTATCTCACACCAGTTAGAATGGCAATCATTAAAAATTCAGGAAACAACAGGTCCTGGAGAGGATGTGGAGAAATAGGAACACTTTTACACTGTTGGTGGGACTGTAAACTAGTTCAACCATTGTGGAAGTCAGTGTGGCGATTCCTCAGGGATCTAGAACTGGAAATACCATTTGACCCAGCCATCCCATTACTGGGTATATACCCAAAAGACTATAAATCATGCTGCTATAAAGACACATGTACACGTATGTTTATTGCGGCACTATTCACAATAGCAAAGACTTGGAACCAACCCAAATGTCCAACAATGATAGACTGGATTAAGAAAATGTGGCACATATACACCATGGAATCCTATGCAGCCATAAAAAATGATGAGTTCATGTCCTTTGTAGGGACATGGATGAAATTGGAAATCATCATTCTCAGTAAACTATCGCAAGAACAAAAAACCAAACACCGCATATTCTCACTCATAGGTGGGAATTGAACAATGAGATCACATGGACACAGGAAGGGGAATATCACACTCTGGGGACTGTGGTGGGGTTGGGGGAGGGGGGAGGGATAGCATTGGGAGATATACCTAATGCTAGATGACGAGTTTAGTGGGTGCAGCGCACCAGCATGGCACATGTATACATATGTAACTAACCTGCACATTGTGCACATGTACCCTAAAACTTAAAGTATAAAAAAAAAAAAAAAGAAATAGGGAATCAAGAAGTAGACCCACATATATATGGTCAAATATTTTCAATGAAGGGTTCAAAGCAGTTCAGTGGGGGAAAAAATAGTCTTTTCAGCAGAGGGTGTTAGGTCTCCAGCTAGATGTCCATGTGAGGGAGAACATGAACCTTGACTCTCACCTCATACCATTCACAAAAAAGATCAACTTAAAACCACCACAGACTTAAATGTAAAATCTGAAGCTATGAAACTTCTGAAAGAAAATATGGGGAAAATTTTCCAGGCCTTTAGGATAGGCCAAGATTTCTTAATAGTACACAAAATCACTTAATATAAGAGAAACTATTGATACATTTGATTTCATCAAAAGATAAAGCCTCTGTTCTTCAAAAACACCATTAAGAAAATGAAAAGGTAACCCATAAAGTGGGAGCAAATATTCACAGTACATATATCTGGCAAGGCTTTTATCCAGCTGTATAAAAAACTCTTAATAATAAGGAGACAACCTAATTTTTTTTCTTTTTTTTTTCTTCTCAGATGGAGTCTTGCTCTGCATCCAGGCTGGAGTGCAGTGGTGGGATCTCGGCTCACTGAAACCTCTGCCTCCCGGGTTCAAACAATCCTCCTGCCTCAGCCTCTAGAGTAGCTAGGATTACAGGCACCTGCAACCATGCCTGGCTAATGATTATATTGTTAGTAGAGACGGGGTTTCACCACATTGGCCAGGCTGGTCTTGAACTCCTGACCTCAAGTGATCCTCCCGCCTCAGCCTCCCAAACTGCTGGGATTACAGGCATGAGCCACTGTGCTCGGCCATGCTAATATTTTAAATGGCCACTTTATTTGAGTAGACATTTCACAAACAAAGGTAACAAATGGGGCCAGGCGCAGTGACTCACGCCTGTAATCCCAGCACTTTGGAAGGCCGAGGAGGGAGGATCACGAGATCAGGAGTTCAACACCAGCCTGGCCAATGTGGTGAAACCCTGTCTCTACTAAAAACACAAAATTTAGCCGGGCTTGGTGGTGTGCACTTGTAGTCCCAGCTACTCAGGAGGCTGAGGCAGGAGAATCACTTGAACCCAGGAGGCAGAGGTTTCAGTCAGCCGAGATCGTGCCACTGACTCCAGCCTGGGCGACAGTGCAAGACTCCATCTCAAAAATGATAATAATAATAACAAATGGCTAATAAGCACATGAAAAGTTCAACATCATAGTCGTCAGAAAAAAAACCATAGTAAGATACCAGTTCACCCACTTGGATGACCAAACTTAAAGATACTGAGAATACTATGCTTTGGTAAGTATGTTGAGAAACTGGGATTATTTTACATTGCTAGTAACACTGTAAAATGATAAATCTACCTTAGAGAACAGTTTGTCAAAGTTAAACGTATACTTACCACGTGACCCAGCAATTCTACTCCTAGGTATTTACCCAAAAGACTTTACCAATAATCTACAAAAAGAGTTGTATAAAACATGCTGAGTATTAAAGCCAAGCATAAGAGTTTATATTATATAATTTCATTTAAATGATATAGAATAAGCCAAACAAATCCACAGTAACAAAACTGATCAGTGGTTTCAAGAGCAAGGGGTACAAAGGGACATGAGAGAACTTCTTTTGGGAGAATCAAAATTTTCTGTATCTTGATTGGTGTATAGATTTGTCAGAATTCATTGAACTGAACAGCTAAAATGAGTGCATCTTATTGTTTATAAAGTATGCCTCACTGGGCTTGATTTACTATATATAATATATATATTTAGTATATATATATATTATATATTTAGTCTATAGTCTAAGTCTACAAATATATAGAATGTATATGGACTAAATATATACTATAAAAATATATAATGTTTAAATGAATAGGCTCGTAGGATGTTGTTATATGAACCAAAAGAAAGAAGGAAAGCCCATGGAATTGTGTAGTGTAGGGAACACTGCAGGTAGTTTACTGCAGCTAAAAAATTGGTATGGGCCAGGCGTGATGGCTCATGCCTGTAATCCCAGCACTTTGGGAGGCCATGGCAGGCAGATCGCTTGAGCTCAGGAGTTTGAGACCAGCCTGGGCTACATGGCAAAACCTCGTCTGTACTAAAATTACAAAAAAAAAAAAAAAAAAAAAATTAGCCAGGCATGGTGGCACTTGCCTGTAATCCCAGCTACTTGGTGGGGCTAAGGCAGGAGAATCGCTTGAGCCTGGGAGGTCGAGGCTGCAGTGAGCCAAGGTCACACCACTGCACTCCAGCCTGGACAGCAGAGAAACAGAGAGAGACCCGTCTCAAAAAAAAAAAAAAAAAAGTTATGGTATGAAATTTTCATCTGATCTTTGAATCATGTATTCACAATGCAACCAAGAAACAGCCTGCTCAGAGTTTTATTCCGTAAACTAATAATTTGATTTGTTGATGTATCATGTTCCCTATACTGATAGTTTGTTTCTTTTATCAACTGCTTTTCTTTAATCCCCCAAAATTGTCCTCCAATCCATAACTTTTGACTATTTCCCTTCAGATTTTCTTTCTTTCTCCTTTCAGATATTCTTTCTTTCCTTCCTTCCTTCCTCCCTCCCTCCCTCTTCTCCTCCTCCTCCTTCTCTCTCTCTTCTTTCTTTCTTTTCTTTCTTTCTTGCCTTTCTTCTCTGTTTTTTGTTTGTTTGTTTTTTCTTTTTGGGACAGACTATCCCTCTATTGCTGAGGCTGGAGTGCAGTGGCATGGTCTCGACTCACTATAACCTCTGCCTCCTGGGTTCAAGTGAATCTTGTGCCTCAGCCTCCCAAGTAGCTGGGACTATAGGTGCGCACCATCATGTCCAGCTAACCTTTTTGTACCACCATGCCTGGCTAACTTTTTTGTATTTTTAGTAGAGATGGGGTTTTGCCATGTTGGCCAGGCTGGCCTTGAACTCCTGACCTCAGATAATCCACCTTCCTCAGCCTCCCAAAGTGCTGGGATTACAGGCATGAGCCACCATGCCTGACCACTTCTCAGATTTTTTTCTAGCCATTTCGTTTCTCTCTAATTCTAGACTTGTATTACCAGCTATCTTCTAGACATCTCTGTGAATATCTTCAAAGTCTCAAGTTCAGCATATCTGAAACCAGACCTTTCCTTTTTGCCTCAAACCAGCCCTTCCATGTGACTTTTAAAAACAATTTATTGAAACAAAACTCACATAACATAAAATTTACCATTTTTTCCAACTTGAGAAATACGTTTCATCTATATTTTTATATACCTTTTTAAAAATTTTTGAAATTTGTAAAACACATTAAATTTATCATCTTAACCATTTATAAGTATAAAGTTCTGTAATGTATATTCACATTGTTGAACAACCAATCTCTAGAACTTTTTCATCTTGCAAAACTGAAAATTCTATACCCATTAAACAATAACTCATTCCCCTCTCCCCCACAGTTCCTGGCAACTCCCACTTTACCTTTTGTCTCTATGAGTTTGACTACTCAAATGTATACCTCATACAGATAAATCATACAATATTGGTCTTTTTGTGGCTGGTTTATTTCATTTAGTATAATGTCCTCCAAGTTCATTCATATTGTAGCATGTGTCAGAATTTTCTTAATTTTTAAGGCTGAATAATGTTACATCATATGTTTGTACATTTCATTTATCTAGTCATCTTATAATGGACATTTGGGCTGCTTCCATCTTTCAGCTATTGTGAATGATGCTGTTTTGGGCATGAGTGTACAAATATTCTTTGAGACCCTGCTTTTGATTCTTATGTATATATATGAGAAATGGAACTGCTGAATCATATGGTAATTCTATTTTTAATTTTCTGAGGGATCGCTATGCTATTTTCCATAGCAGCTGCACCATTTTACATTCCTATCAACAGTATACAAGAGTTCTAGTTACTCCATATCCTCACCACACTTACTATTTTCTGGGAGATATATATATATATGGCAGCCATCCTAGTGGATATAAGGTGATATCACATTATGGTTTTGATTTGCATTTCCCTAATTATTAGTAAGATTGGGCATCTCTTTCATATGTTTGTTGGCCATTTGTATATGTTCTTTGGAGAAATGCCTATTCAAATCCTTTGCCCATTTTTCAATCGAGTTGATGTTTAGTTTTGTTTTTGCTGTTGATTTGTAGGAGTCCTTTATTTAAAATGTTTTATTTAATAATAATAGTTATTGTTTTATTTAACAATAATTTATAATTAAATAAATTATAATTTATTAAATAGTATTATTTAATTATTATTATTATTTGATAGGGGGTATCTCTCTGTTGCTCAGGCTGGAGTGCAGTGGTGTTATCATAGCTCACTGCAGCCTTGACCACCTGGGCTCAAGCCATCCTTCTGCCTCAGCCTCCTGAGTAGCTGGGACTACAGGTACATACCTCTATGCCTAGCTAATTTAAAAAAAAATTGGTTGGGGGATGATAGAGATGGGGCCTTCTTGTGTTGCCTAGGCTAGTCTTGAATTCCTGGGCTGAAACAATCCTCCTGCCTTGGCCTCCCAAGTGCTGGCATTAGTGGGGTGAGCCACCGCACCTGGCCTTAAGAGTTCTTTGTATAATCTGGATGTTAACTGCTTGCCAGACATATGATTTGCAAATATTTTTCTCCCATTTTATAGGTTGCCTTTTTACTCTGCTGATTGGGTCCCTTGATGGAGAGAAGTTTTAAATTTCGATGTAGTTCAAAAAACCTTTATTATTTTGTTGGACCTAAGTTCCTGGGGCTATCAAATATATCAACATAGAAATTTTAAATACAATCTTACTGAAAAGATAGGTTTGAAAAAAATCAGCTGTCTGCCATCAATTTCTCTACAGGTCAATTCTCTTATTTTTTGTCATGGTAGCTAATTTGGGGGATGTACTAGTGGTAGATTATTATTGTTCCCAGTTATTCATTTTTATTTATTGTAAGAGCAGAGATTATCAAACTTTCTGTGAAAGGATAGATAGTAAACATGTTAGACTTTGCAGGCAGCACGTAGTCTCTATCGCCACTGCCATTGCTACTATCTCTTCCTTGTCTTCTTTTTCTCTTTCTTCCTCTCCTCTTTCTCCTCCTCCTTCTCCATTTTTCCTCTTCTTTTTTAAAAAAAAATTTGATTACTCTTATGAAATGCAAAAACCATTCTTAGCCCATGGGTGGAACAGAAAGAGTCCACAGGCCAGATTTGGCCTGGGAGCAGTAGTTTGCTGACCCCTGCTTCGGAGGATTATATGTCCTCACCCATTGCCTTGTGACTTCTCCTGTGGGAGAGGCATCTCTTTCTGTCCCACTGATGTTGGACTTGTCCATGTGGTTTACTTTAGCCAGTGGAAAGTGAGTGGGCATGATGTACACCATGTTCAGGAAGAATCTTTAAGAGCCATTGCATGTTTGCTCTAGCTCTCTTGCTCTTTTTCCTTCTGACATGAGAACAGAATGTTCAGATAGGGGCTATTTGTTCAACTTGGATCCTGGAATGAAAAGATCTATAAAGCAGAATTATAGCCAAGCTATAGGTACCAATATGTCATGTGAAAGAGGAAGAAACAATTCCTGTAAGCCACTTAAATTTGGGGGCTGTCTGTTACCCTGTATAGCCTAGCATAATCTGATGAATATATTGTTACAGGTAAACACACACACAAGCACAATAAGCAATAGAATTTACATAGAGGTGACTTTTAAATCAAGAACAGCCTGACAGAAGCTACTTATTTAACTTTGGAAGTATTAGACTAAGAAAAAGTATAGAGAACTCCAGATGTGTACAGACAGATGTTTATTGGCAAACAAGAGTACTGAGTGGGGGAAGACCAGTTGAAGAGAGTGAGCTTATATTGATACAGAGATTCCTTAATTAAAATCAGAACCCCAGAGTTCCTGTTAAGGGGATTTGTCATGGGGATAGTAAGAGTCTAATAAAAACAACTCAGCATAAATTGCTAGTTTCCAAGAGGAAGCAATAAATGAGAATTTCTGAGTCTAAATAGTCTTCCAAGTGTCCTAACTAAAACTTACAGGACCCAATTCCTAGGAAGATAACATTTACATGCGAAAAAATAAAATCTTAAGGGACACAGAGATTTGATCCAGGATTTACTGAGCCAGCTAATTGCTTGAATCAATTGATTGATACCTAGCAGCTATATCTTTCAGAATCATGCTGTCTATCCTGCACTCTTTCTGTTAATTAAATATTTTTGAAATTAAAAAAATATTAAAAATTAGCCCATCTCAAATCTTTAAAAATACAGCAAGGGCCGGGTGCGGTGACTTACGCCTTTAATCCCAGCACTTTGGGAGGCTGAGGCAGGTGGATCATTTGAGGTCAGGAGTTCAAGACCAGCCTGGCCGATATGGTGAAACCCCGTCTCTACTAAAAATACAAAAATTAGCCGGGCGGTAGTTGCATGCATCTGTAATCCCAGCTACTTGGGAGGGTAAGGCAGGAGAATGCTTGAGCCTGGGAAGGTGGAGGTTGCCGATCGCGCCACTACACTCCAGCCTGGGCAACAGAGTGAGACCTTGTCTCAAAAAAAAAAAAAAAAAAAAAAATTACAGCGAGATACCAACTCATATCAGTCTGAATGGCTATTGTTAAAATATCAAAAAATAACAGATGCTGGCCAGGTTATGGAGTAAAGGGAACACTTATACACTGTTGACGGGAGTATAAATTAGTTCAACCATTGTGGAAAGTAGTGTGGCAGTTCCTCAAAGAGCTAAAAACAGGACTACCATTCGACCCAGTAATCCCATTACTGGGTATATACCCAAAGGAATGTAAATCGTTCTACCGTAAAGATACATGCACACATATGTTCATTGCAACACTATTCACAGTAGCAAAGACGGAATCAACCTAAATACCCATCAATGGCAGATTGAATAAAGAAAATGTACATATACCACATTTTACCATGGATTACTGTGCAGCCATAAAAATAAAAAATAAGATCATTTTCTTTGCAGGAACATGGACGGAGCTGGAGGCCATTATCCTTAGCAAACTAACACAGGAATGGAAAAACAAATGCCACATATTCTCACTTATAAGTGGGAGCTAAATGATGAGAACACATGGACACATAGAGGGGAACAACAGACACTGGGGCCTACTTAAGGGTGTCGAATGGGAGGAGGGAGAAGGGCAGAAAAATAACTAATAGGTACTAGGCTTAGTACCTGGGTGATAAAATAATCTGTACACCAAACCCCTGTGACATGAGTTTACCTCTATAACAAACCTGCACATGTACTCCTGAACCTAAAATAAAATTTAAAAAAAAAGCAAAATGCAGAAAATGGTAAAACTTTCATATTCCCAACACCAAAAATGAATATTAATATTTTGTCATATTTGTTTCAACTTTTTTATATTAAAAACATTATTGATGAAGTTGAGGGTTCCTTCAATTCTTTCCCTTCCTATTCCCTTTACCCCTCCTGATTGCATCTCTTTCCTCTATTCCCAGGCAACCAAAATCTTGGATTTGGTGTCAATCTAGCCTATTTTTTATAATTGTTTTCATGTGTAATTCGATGAACAGTATATAATATTTTTGTTTGTATGGTTTAAAATTTTTTTCGTAGTTGGTATAATAGTACAGTACTTTTTTGCAGTTTTTTTTCACACACTAGTATGTTTTTGTTATTCATGTTTATTCATTTAAATCTACCTCACTTATTTGTATACAGTATGCAACTATATACATATGCCACATGTTTAGACATTGTCTATAAATGTCTAATGTTTACTTTTATGCATGCATTCATTAAATATTTATTGAGTACTTACCATGCCCTAGGTACTATAGCATGATATATTAGTGAATATATCAGAGAAAAATCTTTGCTACCATGCTACTTATGTTCTATTAGAGTAATATAAAATAATAAATAAATAAGCCAAACATAAAGTATATTAGAAGGTGATGAGTGATATGGAAAAAGATTAAGGAGAACTGGGAGTGGGATTGAGGGGAACAGACTCAATCAGTGTAGTTTGGGTAAGCCTCCTTGGTAAGATGATATTAGAGCAAAGACAAGGTGAGGGCGTTAGTCAGTGAATATCTAGGGAAGACAATTCCTATCAGAGAAAAGCCAGTGCAAGCCCTTAATGTAAGAGTGTACTTGGTGTTTTCTGAGAACACCAGAAGGCCAGCATGGCTGGAGAAGAGGGACAAAGGGGATAGGAGTAGGACTTGAATCACAGAGGTTACAGAGTTGAAACGGAGGAGATGACTTTGCCTCATCTTACAGGCTGTTATGAGGACTCTGGCTTTTACGCTGAAAAAATGAAAAGTACATGAAAGATTTTGAGCGGAGGAGTGATGTGATCTATGTTGTAAAGGCGTCACTTAGGCTGGTATGGTAAGAATAGACTGTAGGGAGCTAGAGTGGAAGCAGGGAGACCAGTTGGGAAGTTATCACAGTGTTCTGGGGGAGGATTGATGGTGTCTCACACTGGAGTGCTAGCAGTAGATGTGGTGAAAAGTGGTGAGACTTTGAATATATTTTGAAGGTAGAGGCAACAAGATTTGCCAATGGATTAGATACAGAGTGTGAGAGAGTACGAGGAGTGAAGAATGATGCCAAGGTTTTTGCCTAAGCAACTGCAGAGTTGGAGTTACCATCCAAGAGATGGGACAGCTGTGGATAGAGCAGATTTGGAACGGAGGATCAGGAGTTACGTTTTGGATGTGTTGAGCTTGAGAACCTGTTAGATATCCAGATAGAGAGGCTGAATAGGTAGCTGGATATATGAGTCTGGAGGTCATCAGCAAGGTCTGACTGGAGTTATAAATTCAAAAGGCATCAACTATACATATTTTACTTAAAGCAGTGAGATGATGTGATATTGCAAAGGGAGTGGGTATAAAAAACAATAGAAGAAACAAAGACTGAAACCTGGGTGTCAGCAATTAAGAAGTCAGGTTAAAGGGGAGGAACCAGCAAAAGGAGACTGAAAAGAGAAACTATTGAAATACGGAGAAAACAGCAGATGGGGGAGCCAGAAGGGAGATGGTTTTCCCCTGGAGTTGGGCCGCTTGGTGGCCCAGGTTGTCCTCCGACTGCCCCAGACAAACCCCATGTCGTTCCGCCCGTCAGTGGCCCGCTGGTGTGCTGCCCGTGTTTCATGTGTTCCTCCGCTGATGTGCTCCCCTCGATGTCCAGCCGCCTGTGTGTCTGCCTGCTAAGGTCTCAGTATTTTATTTTATTTTATTTTTTACTTTTTATATTTTTGGGACAGAGTCTCGCTCCGTTGCCCACGCTAGAGTGCAATGGCTTGGTCTCCGCGATCTCAGCTCACTGCAGCCTTTGCCTCCCGGATTCAAGAGATTCCCCCGCCTCAGCCTCCCGAGTAGCTGGGATTACAGGCACCCGCCATCATACCCAGCTAATATTTGTATTTTTAGTAGAGACGGGTTTCGCCATATTGGCCAGGCTGGTCTTGAACTCCTGACGTCAGGTAATCCGCCCACCTCGGCCTCCCAAAGTGATGATTACAGGCGTGAGCCACCGCGCCTGGCCGGGTCTTGGGGTTTTTATAGGCACAGGACGAGGGTGTGGCCGACCAAGGTGATCTTGGAAAATGCAACATTTGGGCAGGAAAACAAAAATTTTTCTCCTCGTCTAGGTCCATGGGCACATGTCCGCGTGTGGAGCCCTAGCCATAGACCATGCCTTGCCCCTCTTTGATATCATTTAAAGGGACCACACCCTTCTTTCCCCACTTCTGTATCATTGTGATATTAAGCTGTAGTTATGCATGATGTTGCCATTGAGGGAAACTGGGTTAAGGGCGTACGGGATCACTCTGTATTATTTCTTACAACTGTATGTGAATGTACAATTATCTTAAAAGTTAAAACAGAAGTATTTCTAAAAATTGTAATAATAAAAGCCACCATTTATTGAGTAGTTACTATATGCTAGGTTCTGTTTACATACTATCAAGTGGATATTATTGTTAACCTCATTTTATAGAGGGGAAAACTGAGACACAAAGAGATTAAATCACTTACACAGAGTCACTCAGCGACTAAGTGGCAGAACTTGCATTCAGATCCAGGCAACCTCACTCCAAAGACAGGGCTCTTAACTACTTTGCAATGCTTATTGTGTATCTGCCTTTATATCCTGCCTTCTAGTCTCACTCGTCAGCCCACTGCAATTTACCTTTCATCCCAATCACTCCCCTGAAACTGCTTTTGCCTCAATCACCAAGTCTGTTGCCAAACCTAATGGTCCCATTCTTTTTACAGCCTTTGCTATTGCCCACGCATTCAACAAATATTTCCTGAGGTACATTGTATGTCTCAGGACATGCAATGTACCAAGTTACTTTCTACAGCTGTGAAAAAGATAGGCAAAACTGCTGCAACTGAAGAATGCACCTTTTAGAATTAGAGGTCTGAAATCTTCAGTTCTTTCTTTCTACTCATCACTGCTGACTTGTTTGTGGATGGTCAATAGGCCACTTTATTGTCCATGCCTTTGTTTTTCTGTGGCTAATCGGGTTATACAGCTAGTTTGTTTTTGGTTTCACAGCATAAATGATAAAATATTATATTTAGATACCATTTTTCCTTTTTCTCCCAAGTGGAACTCTGAACCTTTCCATGCAATTGTCATGAATATGAATGAAGTAAGACAACCAAATCCTGAAGTATCCTACCCTTCTTATATAATTATTAAAAATGAATTGTAAAAAATTAATTGCCATTGACCTTTTACCTACTTTTTCTGTATGAAGATAATTTGAATTAATTTTATGCTCACCATTTTGGAAACACCAGGAAGATCTCTGCAGAATATTAAGTAAGTTTCATTCCATATGTCCAAATAAAAAGCTACTCCAAGGAAAATACTCAGCTTCGTGGAGACATAGTGGTAGCTTTTTGCGTATCACCAAAGCTAAGCATTTGAATCAGAGTTAAAGAGGCGTCATCTTGTCTCCTTCCACATATCCATGGTTATTATCTGTGTTTTCATTCCTTTCTTCCAATTCAGTAAAGAAGAAAAAAAAAATTCTCTCCTACTTCTTCATGCCAGAAAAACAGCTCTTGTTTTATTACTTCTAATGGGAATGTATTTTCCTTGGTGATTGGAAGCAACTCTAGTCCTCTTGCCTACATCCAGGGTTAGTTTCTGTTTTTGTCTGATAGCTATTTGTTTACAGCAGCAGTTAGCAATTTGCATGGACAGTGTGTCAATGTCACTGCCCTGAATGAAACCCAAATGCCTCTTGGAAGAAAGATGACAGATTCAGCCCAGGGACTTGCAAAACTTTAAAAGTGATTCCTTATCAAACACGTGAAAAACAACTCTTCCCTCTCTATAACTTGAGGAAAAAAATGAGAAACTATCTTACAACAGATGGCGATTCCTTGTTAGTAGAACAGGCCTGGGCTGATTCAGCTCCACTCCTTTATGTTCTTTTTGCAAAACCCACAAAGAACACATTTGGGGCCACTTTTCAGAGTTGGCAGCAGTCTCTGCTTTTTAAGGAAATCATGTGGATGAAAAAAAAAAAAAAAGCCACAGTTGATGAAGGGCTTGTAATCCCCAGAGTAAAGAAACGGGATGCATAGGCCTTAAATTCTAGGTCATCAGGTTTGGTAGCTTGATTAAATTTGGTTGAAACAAACAAATTTGGGGCTGGGCGCAGTGGCTCACGCCTGTAACTCCAGCACTTTGGGACGCTGGGGTGGGTGGATCACGAGGTCAGGAGTTCAAGACAAGTCTGGTCAAGATGGTGAAACCCTGTCTTTCCTAAAAAGACAAAAAAAAAAAAAAATTAGCCGGATGTGGTGACAGGTACTTGTAATCCCAGCTACTCAGGAGGCTGAGGCAGAGAATTGCTTGAACCTGGGAGTCGGAGGTTGCTGTGAACTGAGATCACACCACTGCACTGCAGCCTGGGCGACAGAGTGAGACTCTGTCTCAAAAAAAAAAAAAAATTGGGGAAAGTTTATATTTTCTTGCTGATTAGACTTCTTCTTAAAAAAAAAAAAAAAAAAAAAAAACAGAAAAGGAGGAGAGGAAGATGAAAAAGAGGAGGGAGAGGAGGAAGTAGAAACTATAAAAATACCTTTTGGGGTGATGGAATGATAAAGTGATCTCTAACTTTCAAGTTACCCTATATCTAAAGAATTCAATCTTTAATGTTAAGTCCAGTACCTTTTTCCACCACTTATATGTAAAGTACTATAGCTGCTTTGATGTATTTAGAAGTTATTTAGAGAGGCTTGGAACCAGTGTGTGAGTGTGTGTGAGTATGTGAGTGTGTGATAGAGAGAGAGAGAGTGTGTGTGTGCCTTCTTAATAAGCTTGGCTTTTTACAGATAGAACAGATGCCTCAGGACATCATGAAACTTTCTCACTGAAGATGTTGAAGCAGAATCTGGTGGGGTATTGTGGAGTAGACTTAAACACTAGATTAATAACCAAATCAGTTAGCTTGTATGATTTTTTTCTTCACCTAAGAGTCTATGCTTCATGAATCAGAACTAAGCCCCCTTCACCTGTTCTTATAATAACCTTAATTTGGGGTATTTTCAGACATTTAGGGTAATACTTACTACTTAGTTCTTCTTATATGCAAGAAAACACTGGCCACCTTTACTAATGTTCTATTTTATTTCTTTAGGTGTCTGAACACACACAATTAAGTTGGATCCTTTCCTGCATGGTCAGACTACCTCGATTACAACATTTACATCAGTGGAAGGTAAATGCCAGTAATCTGATTAATAAACAGACAAGAAGCTATTTTTCCCTTCCTGTTAGGCTCTGGGAATCCTGAGTTTACTCTCCTCCCTGGTCTGCCACTCACTAATGGTTGGAACATCATCTTTAACCTCCCTGCTTCAGGGTATTAAAAGGAAAATAAAAGGATTTTCCAAGATTCCTCCTGACTTAAAAATTAGGTTCATTGTTTTTATCTGTGTACAGTTGAATCAGAGTTACCTTTGGATAGACTTGGTAATGACTTTGAACAACCACATTATAGTTAATAAACAATCACAGATTGTAGATTACTAGACTCTGAGGTTGCCTCCCATTTCCACTGGAATTAACTGGCAGTAAGGAAAGAATGTTTTCATTGTGGAGAGAAGAGACAACATATTTTATTTAACATTTAAACAAGTTGAGTCCAGGCAACAGTTCAAACTCACAGAATAATTAGGGCTATACTTTTTGTAAGAAGTTCAACCAAGAAAGATAAATTGGATAATTCATAGTACTTTACTTCCATTTATTTTTGCAGTCGGATAACCCCAGGGTAGGTAGCCCCCAACTACGTCAACACTAATTTCAATTTCAAGCTTCTTTTGAGGTATTTTCAGGGCCATTGGTTTCCTCAAAAGCTGGTCTTCAGAAGCCTTCACACATGCTACAGAAAGAAATAGATAAAGCTTTAAAGTGACAGTGCCTAAATGATATGGTCTGAATGTGTTCCCTCAGAATTCATATGTTGAAACCTAACTCCCAAGATGATGGTATTAGGAGGTAGGGCCTTTGTGAGGTGATTAGATCTTGAGGGTGGGACCCTCATGAGTGAGATTAGTGCTCTTGTTAAAGAGGCCCTAGAGACACCGCTTGCTCCTGACAGCATCTGTGGACAGAGCTAGAAGTCACTATCCATGAACAAGGTTCCTCACCAGACACTGACTTTGCCTTAATCTTGGACTTCCCAGCCTCCAGAACTATGAGACATAAATTTCTGTTGTTTATAAGCCACCTAGCTGGGTATTTTGTTATAGCAGCCTGAGTGGACTAAGACACTTAATACATAAGATGGTACTAGTAATGCTGCAGATTCATTACTTGCCACAAATTAGAAACAAAGTTTCATAATGTTATCTGCCATATTTTGGTTTTAGGCAATACTTTCCCATTGTACCATAGTATTCTACCATTAAGTGTAATGTTGAAATCCTTTTTATAGGAACTGAATACTAATCTAATAGGAACTATTCCCACTTTAAAACAGCATCTAAAGATCTCCTGCTAGTATATTACTAGTGCATGTACTGATATTCTGGAAAAGCCTTTCCATTAGTATATAATTGCTTGTTTGTAGGAAATACATGAATTTCAAATCCCAGTCTTATCCTCAGATATGTTACTGTCTTCTGTGGTGATTCCTTCATTAATACTAATTAAATACTAGTGATATCTTCTGTGAGTCTTATGTCATAATAGGTGCTAGAGATATAGCAGTCAATAAGAAGTAACCCCCTTCGTGAGACTTATAGTCTGTTTGGGAAAAGACAATTAAACAAGTAATAAGAAAGTGTAAGAAGTGCTCTGAGTACAGGATTCCAGTGCTATAGGAGGATCTGATAAAGGCATCTAGCCTGGTTTCCATTGGGACAGCAAAAGGTGGAATAGTGGCACAGAAGGGTGGGGTGAGGGTTGCTGAGGTCAGGGTTATTTAGAGGATTAATGAGTAACATATATGTAAAACATCTGGAGCACATAATAGGCACTCAATAAATATTAATGCTCTCCACATTTTCCCTCTCCCTTGTAATTTCAAGGTCCATTATGCTAATACGAAAAGGCTATAAATTGAATGTGATGGCAACTTTTAAAAATTGGGTTCTTCTTCAATTTGCACGTTTCCAAATTAAACTTTCATTATCTTTACCTGGTGATAATTGTGAACTAGCCTTTATCATGAACTTTGTAATTAGGGGATGTAGTGAAGAAATTGTATGTTCAAACATTGAAATTTCCTTTGAATGGCCTAGAGCATTGGTTGCTATAAGCCAGAAACCACTTGAAGTATACTCAGAAAAGTTAAGTTTGTAACTAAATTATGAAACACCAAAATTAAGATGGCTAAGGAGAGAAGCTGTTGTATTTTCAGACTGAGCCTTAAAAAATATGTCTGCACCTTGGTAGGGGTATCCCAAGTTTGTAAGCTCATGAGCTTGGTCCCTGGAATAAAACAAGTTTATAAATTCAGTTGCCCAGTTCATTTGGAAATAATCAGACTTGAGGGAAATGATTCAGATTAACTCAATGAGTAAGATTTGTCTACACACCAAAGTATCCATTTATTTTACAAGAGATGCTATACCTTAGGCCTTGAAACTGCACAGAATATTGCCATCTAATAAGTAGCTCTACTCAGAGAATCAAACGACATGTCAGCAATGTGCAGCCACAGCAAGGGAGTTAGCATCATTAGGATCATGTTTAGTGAGTACACAGTAGTAGTTTATAATCAGCATCTATTGCCCCCCCCAGTTATTAAATGTTTCTAACATCATCTCAGGTGTTTCCATCAACTTCTCCATTAAGGAACTGTTTTGGTCTATACAACCTGTACTGCTCATTGGGTCACTTGACCCTCACTGCTTCAGCATGCTTAATCACCTAAGAATCAAGACAGGTCATTAGGATTGGTTAGATGAATATTTCTCTCACTTACTTTTATTTTTTAAATGCCATGACTTTTTTGTTTTTTGTTATTTAAATGTGATTTTAAGGGAACATTCCAGTTTTCTCAGTGGCATGCTGTGAGACTTTTTGGAAAGTCTCCATGTATAAACAATAGGGCTTTTGATATTAACTCATGTTAATTTGTAGAGATTTAATTTCATGACGGTTTGTGGCCTTGTCTGTGAAATCTGGAATTTATCCGATTTGGAACCAATAAATGCCTGTATCCTTACTTTAATAAAATAAATAAAAAATAGTAGCAGTGCAGGATCCCTTAAAGGGGCAGTGATGAAATGCACTCACCTTATTCCTGCCTCAGCCTGGAGCATGAAGACAAGCCAGCCAGAAGATGGCTAGAGTTGCTAAAAAGGAACCGATGTATAATGTTATTACAGGTGGCTTCAGATCACAATTTGCTTGTTTTAAAATTTTCTTAATCTAGCAGTATAATTAGGTTCAAGTCAGATTTCAGATTTCTTCCCCTCCTCTCTTTTCACCTCTCACAGGCAAAGACTACCAAGCAGAAGCACGATGGCACGGTGGGCCTGCTCACATACCCAGTACTCCAGGCAGCCGACATTCTGTTGTACAAGTAAGAAGAGAGTTCAGCCCAGTCTTATACATACTCATGGTGACAAGAGAGTGTTTTAACCTATTCAATACAGACTTGGTTCATGGGCAAGGGGAAGTGCAGAAAGCGTCAGACATCTGAATCAGTTTATATCTATTCCCCAGAAATACTACATTATAGAAGTATGTTTCTACATGTATAATGTACTACATTATAGAAGTATGTTTCTGTGAGAAACTAATAATATTAAGAGCTGACATTTAAATAGCACTTACAATGTGTTGGAAACCATTGTAAGTACTTTATATACATCAACCCTTACAACAACCTTCTAAAATTTGCACTCTTATTGTCCCGATTTTACAGATGGAGAAATTGAGGGACAGAGTGGTTAATAGCATGCCCAAAGTCATGTAATTAGCAAGGCTTGGAGCCAGGATTTGAGTCCAGGAAGTTTGGATACAGAGTCTGTGCTCATAACCAGTAGCTATATATATTTCCCCAGTAATGCCTGATTAAACTTCAAGCATTTTACATGTTGATTTTTTATATATTCTAGACTCTAAAGCAATGCTGTCCAATAGAATGCTCTGTGTTTATGGAAATCTTCTATGTCTGTGCTAGATCCTGTAGCCAGTAGCCACATGTGTGGCTATTGAGCACCTGAAGTGTTGCTAGTGCCACAGAGGAACTGAACTTTAAATTCTATTTAATTTGAATTAAATTTAAATAACCACTGTATTAGACCTACAGGTTGAGAGCAAGTTTTTAAAATATGATGTAGGGTACCTGTACTTTTCCTGGACCCCTAATCCATCCAGTCAGCTACTGCTGCCACTTAAAGTCCTCAAAAATATACACCTGAGGATGCTGATCCCTGCACTCGCTGTACTACTGGCCAGGGCTTCTGATTTCATCCCCCTCTCAATTCTTCCGTGCAAACCCCTCATCAGCCTCCCTTGACCCCCATTTGGCCTTCTAGAGATAAAGCCTCCCAATTGGCATGTGCTTAGGGCCATGCTACTGTGAAAGCTTCTGGGAAAAGAAGACACTGCACCAGTGTTTTTGCATCCCTTTCCCCTAAAGCTGTGAATTGCAATTCTTTGCATGGAAGTCTGATAATAGCATGAAGATGACAGTATCTGTACCTCGTGGCATGACTCCAGAGCCCTTGTGCAATTATGATGGAAACGGCCAAAAGAGCAGCTGCTTAGCTCTACAAACAGGGAATGTCCATGAGTACATGCAGCCTATCTTCAATTCTGATGAAAACTTGCAAGGCTTATTTGTCTGTTTGTTGTATTAACTTGTATGCTGGACTCTTGATAACATTTATTATTTGTAATAAGTAGCTTTTGACTTATTTAAAAGGCTAGAACAATATTCTCCAATAAGTAACAAATGAAAGTATAATGAAAGTCTTAATAATACATTTTCTAGAGAGGTAGGATATTTGCTTGTAAAGGTTCTGTGAAGAAACTTGACTTTCTCACCTGTAAAACGGGAATAATTATTAAGCACAGGATTATTAAAGGATTAAAATGAAATATAGGCCAGGCAGTACTGTGACTAGGAGCTGTTACTTGGTTATGACTAATGATGACTATGTCTTTGATAATTACAATGTTGTCTAATTTTGTTTCAAGGCCTACTTCTTTATAGAACCAAAGGCTAGCCAGGTGTGATGTTGCATGCCTGAAGTTCCAACTACTTGGAAGGCTGAGGCGGGAGGATCACTTGAGCCCAGCCTGGGCAAAATAGTGAAACCTTGGCTCCAAAAACAAAAACAAAAAACAAAACCTGAGAATTGTCAGCACTAGAATAAGAAAACACATGAGCGTGGTAGGTTTCCTTAATAGTTCAAGAGCTGTAATGGAAGAGTCCTCTGAGTTTAGGGCTATGGAAAAGCATAAACTTTAACAAGAATGACTACATTCTTAATGATACCATGAAGCAAAGGATGGGAAGGAGCTTTAAGGAGCCTCTTCTTTAATTCCATTGCTTTACAGCTTCAGTCCAGTGTGGTTTAACAACTTGCCTGAAGCTAAGTAGCCAGTCAGTTGACTTTGGAACATCTGGGCAAGACTATGGGTCTACAGCACTTTTTCTGCTAATGTACATTTTGTATTTGTCTCATTATGTTTTCTCTCAAGTTTAGAAGTTCCTAATTGCTCAATAATAAGTAGCAGAGTCAGGATTTAAACTCAGGTTTGATTTTTAAGCTATATCATTGTTTTCCCTATAACAGAGATGAAGCACTTGAAGGTATTTTTATTTGTTTTTGTTTTGCTTTGTTCCACACATTTCTGGATTTTGAAAAAGGTCATTGCCAGAATGTCTATGAATATTTGTATTATAAATGTAGACAGGTAGAATGGTAGATTGAAGGGTGGATAAAACATCTGTGTTTTTTTTTTCCTATCAGCAAATCTATGTGTGACCTCTTCATAAAATTTTGACGCAAGCCAAATATTAGTGTTTCCTTTTGTCAAAATCATCATTAGAATGAGTGGCATGGTGGGTCAGAAAACAAACATAATAGAAAGGAATGGAAGAGGAGCCTTTCAGATAAGTTTATAAAAGATTTATGTAACTATTTTGGCAGAACTTGGTAAGGAACCCTGGAATGGACAGCTGAGACCATCTTCAGCTTGAGAGTATGATAAGTACAAGAAATTTGAATACAGACAAAATATTCCAATGCTCAAAAATAGCAAGTGTTCATAGTTTTTATTTTGCATCTGTATTATTTCTCCAAATGCCTAATTTCAAATAGCTGGCTATGTATTAAGTAAATGTTTATTTCTCCCCTTTCTCTCTCTGTGTATATGTCTCTCTCTCTCTCTTTTTCTCTCTCTCTGTTTGTGTGTATGTATATGTGTTATATATATGTGTTGTATACATATATATATACACACACACATACACATAAAGGCACACACATACATATATAATTTTTATTAAACAACAACAAATAGTTGCTAAGTACCTACAATGCCACTGATCCGGAAAAAGGGCACTATACATGGCCTTGAGGGAAAGGAAAGGAAGGACTTGACATGTGTTGAGAATTATTTGCCAGGCATCTACTAACTGCTACACACTCATTATCTATTCAGTTCTCACAATAGGGCTATGAAATAAGTGGGTGGCATTATCCCCATTTTACAGATGGGGAAATGAAGTTTCAGAGAGATTCCACTAAATTCATTCAGATAGAGATGAAAGTGAGTATCTGGGCTAATCAGATTATCTTTCTCAAGAATCTGAAAAATTTGGGAAGAGGATAAGAAGACTGGAAACTGACGGGCACAGTGGCTCACGCCTGTAATCCCAGCACTTTGGGAGGCCGAGGCAGGCAGATCACCTGAGCTCAGGAGTTCAAGACCAGCCTGGCCAAAATGGTGAAACCTTGTCTCTACTTAAAATACAAAAAATTAGCCGGGCGTGGTGGTGTGTGCCTGTAGTCCCAGCTACTCGGGAGGCTGAGGCACAAGAATTGCCTGAATCCGGGAGGAGGAGGCCGCAGTGAGCTGAGAGTGCACCACTGCACTCTAGCCTGGGTGACGGAGTGAGACTCTATCTCAAAAAATAAAAACAAAAAGAAGACTGAAAACAAAAGCAAAAATGATATAGAAAAATGAGAAAACAGAGGCCTCAAGAAACTGCAGGCAGAAACCAAACCAAACCAAAACCCAGAAAGTATAGAGAGTAAAATGATTGCTCAGAAACTTCAGACTGGTAGAGTCAGAGAAGAGGTGTCATCATAATGTCTAAGAATCAGGCTACTGCCATTGAGGACCATTGAAAATAAGCTTTTTGAGAGCTTTGTATTATTATTATTTCTCTTTCTTTGAGACTGTCATAAAACAGCATTTGAGAGCTTTTTCTAAGAATGCTGGATTTCCTATAGCTGCCTTGGAAACTTCCAGTTCTTGAAGTGCTTCATTCTTTGTGAGGCCGGTTGAGCCTGGATTTTTCCGAGATGCAGGAAGCTACTCATTTCTGTAGTCTGCTCATATCCACATATTCACCCACTCTACCTAAGCAATAATTTTTTATCTTTCTCTTTCCACTTTACCTCTATTAGGCAAATGCCTACACCAAACCAGAACCCTACTGAAAGGCAGTATGAAAAATGTAGTTTCCAGGCTGCAGCCCCTGAAAATCAAGAGGTAGCATAGAAGGGAGAGAATGGTGCTGAGATGTCAACAGATAATCCAGTACACTCTCTAAAAAGTAACAGGAAGCTATTTGTACATTTTAAGGATACAGCAAATTTGATATGACTTATACTTTTAAAAGAGAATTGATTAAAATACAGAGAATGAGTTTTAGGAAGAGAAGAATATCTGGGGCCATCTATTTAGAGGCTATTTCACTAGTCTAATATGGGCCATGATGATGACAGTGAAGATGCAGAAAAGTAGACAAATATAAGAAACATTTAGGAAGTAAAACTGATAGGACTGGATGTGTATGAGAGGGAGGTGTCAGGGATGACCCGATATTTCTGACTTACCCAACTGGATTGATAGCATTGCCATTCACTGAGATAGGGGATGCTGAAGGAGGACTGGCCAGAAGAATTTAAAGCTTCATTGGGTATTATCTCTCCTCCTGGTGGCCTTAAATCTTTAGAAAGTAAACCCTTCATTATATCTTTCACAGTACCCAGCACCAGGACTTTCACATCGTGGGTCTTCAATAAGTAATTGCTGAATTAGAGAGTCATTATTGCATATCCTACAAGCAACTAGTCATGAGGAATTAATCCTTTATGACAAGAAAACACCACCAAACTCCTGTCCCAGCCGGGCTGGTTAAAGGCAGCAGCACTGAAAACTTACAAACACAGCCAAAAAAGTAGAAAAAGAAATAATAAGAGAACAAATCTCTGTGAGCAGATATATGTAGGCAACGTTTATTCATCTGGACACTAATTCTGCCAGAAGGGTGGGGTGATCTCAAGTATCATAGATGCAAAAAGGAACTAAGCAAAAGAAAAATGGTTTAGTCACCAAAGGAGAAGATCAGAGGCATTATTATATGACAGAAGTTATAACAATCAAAATTATGAAAGGCTTTTGTTTTATGTTGTGTCTAAGAAAGCACAGTCAGAGTAACTTAAAAAAAAGGAAAACAGAAAAAAAGAGAAGACACATTAAAAGGGATATCATTATGCAGGGTATAAATTTTTAAAGAACAGCACTAAATTATTTGAAGTGAAAGAAAGACTGAGGAGAAAGGCTGAAAATATGAAGAGAATAAGGCACATAAGTGAGTAGAATCAAAGACAAGATGAATTAATGTAAAGTGTAAACTCAATGGATGAGAAGTAAAGGCTAAGATAAATTATAGGAGGTGAAAGGAGCAGCAGGAGCACAGGGAGGGAAGGCTAGAAACAAACACACTAAAATCAGATGAAAAAGCCAAGTGGAGCAATGGGGCAGATGAAAAAGATTAAAATTTTTTAAATCCTTTTTGTTTTTAAAAAGCAAAACCCCACAGAATTGTTAAAAAAGAGGCAAGGATCCGACATCAGGCAAAGATGCATGCAGAGTCATTATGAAAACTAAATGTGTTTTCTGTTTAGTTTGGTTGCTTTGTGAATCTGGAACCATTTTGACATGTGGAAATATTCATTTTGATGTGCTTAAAGTGTATTGATTATGGTAATTGTTTTTTCTGTGTTGGTTGCAGTCCATTGTGATTTCCTATGGGCTACTGTAATTGCTTTCTAATCTGCTCTGTTGGCTAATTTGGCTTGGGGGCGTCAAGGTGACCTCTGCATGTCAGCCTCACTATAATTACAAGACAGGTATAGCGAAGTCCACTCAAAGAAGAGAAAGTTACAAAGGTGGGGTGTCTGCATGTACATCCCAGAGAGGAGTATCATGTAGGACCATGAGTGCTGAGGAAAACATAAAAAGGAATATTTTTGTTTTTGCCACTCACTGATCCAGTGGCTTTCTACTCCAGGCTGCGTGGAAGAGAGCAATGGCTATGGCCCTAATAGTTATTCTGTAGAATTTCCCACATTAACTTATTTATTTTTATTTTTATTTTTATTTTTCGAGGCAGAGTTTCACTCATTTCCCAGGCTGGAGTGCAATGGCGCAATCTTGGCTCACCGCAGCCTCCACCTCCGCCTCCGGGTTCAAGAGATTCTTCTGCCTCAGCCTCCGGAGTACCTGGGATTACAGGCATGCACCACCACACCCAGCTAATTATGTATTTTTAACAGGGACCGGGTTTCGCCTTGTTGGTCAGGCTAGTCTCGAACTCCCGACCTCAGGTGACCCGCCCACCTTGGCCTCCCAAAGTGCTGCATTACAAGCGTGAGCCAATGCACCTGGCCAACATTCACTTATTGACCTTAGAAGAAGAGAAACCACTCTGGGTCTGCTGTCATGGTCCTTACATTTTGCCTTTCCATTGATTGTTCTGTTCTTGTTTTCCTTAAATTAAAAGAGCTCTCAGAATTCCTGTAACATACCATTTATATTTTGGGATTACCTGATCAGATATGTGAACTGTCAGTTTCAAGTAAGTTTTCTATGCATATCAGGATCACTGCCCAGGTCTGTGACTATCTCT
This sequence comes from Homo sapiens, assembly GCF_000001405.40. Taxonomy (NCBI): domain Eukaryota; kingdom Metazoa; phylum Chordata; class Mammalia; order Primates; family Hominidae; genus Homo; species Homo sapiens. Next base: position 119,035,684 of record NC_000001.11, on the reverse strand, counting down.
GGGATTATGCATTACTATTTGTGGTATGTCAGCTCTGAAAAAGGAAAATGATCTGGTGTGAAAAAAGTCAGTGTACCCCTCATCAAGGTTCTCTATAGTATCTTTATTTTACCATTTGTCCTTCATTTTACCTTTATTTGTCCTTCATCATGTCAGATATTAATGAATATATAGTTATATATTATATCAATAGCAACCATTTATTGAGCTCTTACTATCAATTAGTATACGTGTTATCCATGAAAGAGCTATATGAGGTAAGCTCCATGATGAACCTCACTTTACAGAGGAAACGAAGGCTTAGAAAGGGTAAGAAACTTGCCTATGATGGCTCGCTGCTTTTTTCACAGGAGCAATATTGTTTCTTTGATTAAAAAAACCTCAGCGCACTGTATTACTTGTATTATCAGGTATAAACTCCCAGCCAAGCATTGCATGTATAAAATTGCCTGTTTTTTAATCCCGCCATATTGCTTCAGTATAAAATTTTCCTCATCAAGACTTCTCTATAATGGTTCATTCTTCCCTTATTTGATGTACTATGTCATGATCTGACACTGCAAACTTTACATATGGGATTAAACTCATGATGAAGTCATTCCCTATATTCTGATATTTTTGGTTTCACATCTTCATTTCTTCATAATATGAAATATTACAGATAAAATTCAAGTCTCCTTTGTTCTTTTCTTCAGATCTATTTCCTTTCCACCTTCTCTAGAAGCAGCTACAATTACAAATTTGGGGAGGAGCTTCCAGTATGTTTTTTTACTTATTATTACAGATATATTTCCATAGGCACTTGTAAAATTTACGTAAATGTCAGTGTATTTCATGTTTTCTCCAACTTGCTTTTTTCATCCCACATAGTTTTTGATAGCCATCTACATTGTACTTATAGATTTTAAGTTCTCTGCAACATATTAATTGTCCTGTGATTGCAATGTACTTGAAAATGAAGCTTACTCCAAAGAATATTGAATTACTCCCTATGTGACAGGGAGGAAAAACTCTTGCCTGAAGAACTTTCTGCTGCCTTTGATTTGAAGAGTGGGGTGGGGTGTCTTTCAAGTATGAGCTGTAGTTCTGAGGTAAAGAGCATCTGGTCAGGGCTGGGAATAATATGTGCTGACTGGGTGAGGGAATGAGGAGTAGTTTTAAAACACAATTGTGCCTAGAGCATATGCTATTTAAAATCCCATTCCTCCCTCCCAGCAAGATCCTGTCATGCTGGTGTTGATGGCTGTATTCCCCTGCTGTGGAAAAAACACAACTAGAGTAGAGAAACATCTCTTTGGCTTTTGTCTGATCCATAGATAAAGACTTAGGTCTAAACATTCCCTCTATAGTTGGTGAACATTTGTTGAATACCAACAGTGAAATATTCACAGGAAATGCAGCTGCTTGCAATATCATTTCTGTCTCTAAGAAAGAGCCTTGCTGTTGTTTTTCTGTCTGTCTTTTATTAAAGGTCCACACACGTTCCTGTTGGGGAGGATCAAGTCCAGCACATGGAACTAGTTCAGGATCTAGCACAAGGTTTCAACAAGAAGTATGGGGAGTTCTTTCCAGTGCCCGAGTCCATTCTCAGTAAGTAAGAAACTTATAATTGTTACATCAGGGTATATTCTAAAGAGAGGATTGGACAATAGATAGGCTTGGAACTTTCTTGGGACTAACCTCAGCTTTCTTGTAGACAGGCTTCAGGATCTGTAACTAGAGTCCTCATTGTTTTCTCTAGTGTAGGACTAGAAAGTAGACTACGTTGGATTCCTGAAAAAGATGTTGGATTATTGAAAAGGATAACTAAAAATATTTTAAAAGTATGGAAGAGACCAAAAATTTAAAATAATATTTATAAAGTAGTATATAATTTATGAAGTATGAACAGATGCTTCTTGACTTATAATTGGGTTACATCCTGATAAAGCCATTGTAAGTTGGAAACACTGTTAATCAAAAATGCATTTAACACACATAACCTACTGAACATCACAGCTTAGCCTAGCCCACCTTCAGCGTGCTCAGAACACTTACATTAGTCTATAATTGGGCAGAATCATCTAACACAAAGCCTATTTTATAATAAAGTATTGAATATCTCATGTAATTTATTGAATACTATACTGAAAGTGAAAAACAGAATGGTTGTGTGGGTATTTCAAGTACAGTTTCTACTGAATGGATATCACATTTGCACCACTGTAAAGTTGAAAAATCATAATTCAAACCATTGCAAGTTGGGAACTGTCTGTGTGTACATCTTGGTGATCTGTTTGTTTTGTTTTTGTTTTGGGTATGTGTGTGTTGGTGTTTTTAACCTAGCATCCATGAAGAAGGTAAAATCCCTACGTGATCCTTCTGCCAAAATGTCGAAATCAGACCCTGACAAACTGGCCACCGTCCGAATAACAGACAGCCCAGAGGAGATAGTGCAGAAATTCCGCAAGGCTGTGACAGACTTCACCTCGGAGGTCACCTATGACCCGGCTGGCCGCGCTGGCGTGTCCAACATAGTGGCGGTGCATGCCGCGGTGACGGGGCTCTCCGTGGAGGAAGTGGTGCGCCGCAGCGCGGGCATGAACACTGCTCGCTACAAGCTGGCCGTGGCAGATGCTGTGATTGAGAAGTTTGCCCCAATTAAGCGTGAAATTGAAAAACTGAAGCTGGACAAGGACCATTTAGAGAAGGTTTTACAAATTGGATCAGCAAAAGCCAAAGAATTAGCATACACTGTGTGCCAGGAGGTGAAGAAATTGGTGGGTTTTCTATAGGAAGTTTCAACGAATCACAGCAAGGCTTTTGTGCCTTGCACTCCATGCATTCTGATAACGGCAGCTTTCCTAAAAAGAAAAAGTTATAGTTTTGGGACATTTAATTTGGTATAGCTGATTATTGGCTTTATTTGATGAATATTGCTTTGTAGCTTTGAAATACGACAGTGTTCCAAATCCCATCAACAAAATGCTGTGAACAACAACAACAAAAAATAAATCAAGAAGGCATAGCTGTCTGAATCCCCAATTATTGAGGCACACTCCTTGGCCTGCAGAAATGTGATTGAAGTAAGGAGTAATTTGGGAAATGGAGTATCATTTGTGCTTCTCTCTGGAGTACTTACTGTAACAGATGCACACGTTATCTACTTCAACCCTTTTATAAAGCAATATATAGAGGTCTTAGATGTATAATCCTTGAGATGCCATTTGATCAGATGCCAATTTGTATTCAGAGCTCATAAAAACAAGTCCATTCTTATAGTTTGTTTGTCACTGAGACGGTGCCTGATTTAATATATTTAAGCTGCTTAACTTGTTTTCCAAGAGATAACACCAACTGTTCCAGCAATAATTTGTTTTTTAATTCAGAGATATGGGATATGATCTTCTAAGGAGGTTGCATTATTTTGACCTGATTTATTTATTGTACAAGAGCCCAAGTCCCTGAATTATATTCTTAATAAGTGCTTTCTTGCATTCATTTCAGTTTAGTCTCACCAACCCCCTATGAATTAGGAGAATTATTGTCATTTTACACATGAGGAAAGTGAGGCTGAGAGAATCCAATTAGCTTGTACGATATCACTCCATAAGAGAAGCAAATCTGAGAGTAAAACCCTTACCCCTTATTCTTAAGAATAGTGCTTGTTTATTCAGTACAAAAAAAATGCTGAAAGGCAGCGTTTTTTAGACTCTAAACATTCTGATTTTGAAGGTGGGTGTTGGAACGACTGATGATGTTTTTTATATCATCAATTCAGCCAATGGATGCGAACTTAAAATCTGGATTCACAGAACCGTGGTCACATTTCCCCATCAAAATCCCCAAGGCGGGTCCCAAGTTCTCTCCTCTACGCTCATTGCAGAAATACTTTGAAATAGGTTCTGCCAGTCTACAATAGCAGTGAAGACTGACAAATCAGATATTCCCAATGACTGACAGCTTCTCATCTTGCCTCTACCTCAGTTAAGTAATGTCACCCTGAAACCTAGCTTTTCTGCACTTCCATTTCTGACACCTGAAAATGAAAATGATAATCCTAACTTATACACCAAGACCTGTTAGCAAGATCGATTTTGTAACAGAAATTGCTTATAAGTTTTTTATCAGTAAGGACCATGATCACCATTTGTACATACATAACTAGGTTGTTGAGCAAAGCATTTTTGCTCATGTTTCTTAAGGAAGTAGAGTAGTCCTTGTGTCAGAACACATGTTAATCCACAAAACGCCCCATCCCAGATTCCAAATTAAAACATCGTTTTTAGGATTCTTGGAGCTAGCCTGGATCATGGGTAAAGGAAACATTTTGCCTTTTGTATCTTATACTGGAATGGGATGTCTGTAAGTCCTAGAACCTCTTTGAGCATATTTCTTACAAGCCTCTGTTTTTTCCCCTTTAAAGGAAACTTTGAAAGGATTGTGAATACTGGAAAATGACAAAACTAAAGGTAGATCTATCAAGCCAATTGTCTGTTTATCTGTTTGTGTGGTTTTTACCCCCTTGCAATACCTTTCCTCCAAAAAATTAAGGCACTATGGAAAGAATCTCAGAGGAGAAAAACAGATAACTTGTGATAACTTCCAGGGACCGAAGTCTATGCATTGGTGAGGGTGGACTTGTTTGCAACCTGTTGTTATTTTTTTTAAGTGACCCAACTGTTCAAGTCCAAACTTGGCCCATAATTATTAAGAGAATCTTATCCGGTTAATCAGTATTAATCAGGATTCTTCAGAGAAACAAAACCAATAGGATATATATCTATATATTAGAGAATTTATTATGGGGATTAGCTCACCCAATTATGAAGGCTGAGAAGTTCCATGATAGGCTATGTGCAAGCTGGACCCAAGAGAGATGATGGTGTGATACAGTCCAAGTCCTTAGGCTGGAGAACCAGGGGAACCAATGATGTAACTGTCAGTCCAAGGCTGAAGGCTTGAGAACCTGGGGGCCACTGTAAGTCCCAGAGTCTAAAGGCCTGAGAACCAGGAGCTGTGATGTCCTAGGGCAGGAGAGGTGAAGTTCCAGCTCAAGAAGACAGCAAATTTGCCCTTCCTCTGTCTTTTTCTTCTAGTCAGTCCCTCAACTGATTGGATGTCAGCCCACATCGATGAGGGCGTATCTCCTTTATTGAGTCTACTGATTCAAAGGCCAATCTCTTCCAGAAACACCCTCACACACGCGCTCAGAGTAATGCTTTACCAGCTATCTGGATATCCCTTAACTCAGTCAAGTTGACACATAAAATTATCCATCACGGCCGGGCACGGTGGCTCACGCCTGTAATCCCAGCACTTTGGGAGACCGAGGCGGGCGGATCACGAGGTCAGGAGATGGAGACCATCCTGGCTAACATGGTGAAAACCCCGTCTCTACTTAAAATACAAAAAAAAAAAATTAGCTGAGTGTGGTGGGGGGCGCCTGTAGTCCCAGCTACTAGGGAGGCTGAGGCAGAAGAATGGTGTGAACCCAGGAGGTGGAGCTTGCAGTGAGCCGAGATCAAACCACTACACCCCAGCCTGGGCAACAGAGCGAGACTCCGTCTCAAAAAAAAAAAAAAAAAATCCATCACACCCAGTGATCTCAGGAAGTTGATAAAAGAGCCAACAAGTATGGAATCTAGATCTATTTTCACATCCCTTCCACTTATTGTTTATAGGCCCTTCACAATCTTTCTAATGGAGATGACACATTGGAGAGAAACCTAATTTTTTTTTTTCTGTATGTTTTGTGGGAAGTTGAAATGGTGAAAAATATTTCAGGTGGTAATAATAATGGTCCTGTAACTGGTGCTCTGAAACCCTGCTTCAAACCGACTTTGACAGCTGGTCACTCAACACAGTGGGGGTGTCTTGCCCTTTGTAGGTGACCCATAAACATTTATCAAAAGTATGTGTCAAAAAATGGGCTAGAGATTTCTAATAAAGTGTGAATTTTTTTTTGCAAAAGCCCTACTGATGTACACCATCAAGATGCTTATCATAATAACACTATTGAGTTCTCATTGTGTATCAGGCACCATACTGAATGGCTTATAACAGTGTTTTTCCAAGTGTGGTCCCCAGACCGGCAACATGAGCATCACCTGGGAACTCATTAGGAATGCAAATTATCTGACTCCCTCAGACCTGTTGAGTAAAAAACCTAGAGGATGAACCCAGCAATTGGTGTCTTCGCCTTCCAGGTGATACTGATGGCATGCTGAACTTTGAGAACCATTGCTTTATTTGCATTCTCTAATTTAATTTACAAGCCAATAAAGTAGATACTGTTATCAACCTCAGATTGCAAAAGTTGAAACTGAGGCATGGGAGGCTGAGTTACTTGCTTAATGTAGTTCAGCTTCTAAAGGGAAGATTCTGGTTTCAAATCCAGGTCACCTAATCCAGAGCCCCACTAGGCCACAGTGACCTGTATAAGGTCTTTTGGTACGTATGGGGGGCAACACTGTCCAATATGGTATGTGTCCATTTAAATTGAAATAATTAAATTTTAAAAATTGCTTTCTTAGCAGCACATTCAAGTGCCCTGTGGCTTCATGTGGTTAATGCCTGTCATAGTGGATAAATATAGGTGGAGAACATTTCTGTCATAGAACCATCTATAGATACTGCTTCTTCAGTATTCAGTTTACTGGTTTTGCTTATAATAGATCAAATACGTAAAGTTCAAGACTCTTCCTGGAGAGTTCTTCAACTGGACAATTCTTGAATATAGTAAAAACATTACTTGAGAATGACCATATAGTTTGCCAAACAATGTTAAATAATAAGAGCTATTACAATATGTATTATATACTTGCCATATGCTGAGCACTTTGTAAGTGTGTTTATGTTCAATGTCTTATTTCATGTTTATATCAGCTCTATAAGATAGGAACTATTAATACCAGTTTTTAAAGTAACATTCAGCAACTTGCCAAAAGTCACATATTTATTATGAGTCTCTAGCTTCTCCCAATTAAGAACTAAGAAATATCCCTTAACTATTGTGCCTAAGGGAGTAGTCTGCCACTCTTCATTGAGTCTAGAATCTTCTCCAAGTACTTGTGATACTCTCTTGTGTGTCCTATGATATTCTTAGCCCTCACTTCTCCCTCCTTGCCTCCTTTTCCCCTCCCCTCTCCTTACTTTAATGCTGTTATAATTATTCCCCCAAAAGTTCTTCATTTGTACACAGAGCAGTCCTTAGTTTGCTCTCACATGCAGCCTTTGATTTCTTTCAGTTCACCCTATCAAGTGCTGTGTGCCCCTGTTACTAGTTAAAGGGAATAATTGTGCATGTGACAATTCTTGGTCTCTTTCTCTTCAACACAAGGACTCTGTCTGTGTTCTCTTTGTGTGTCCTCCCTATGTGATCGACATTCTCTTTTCAGTCTGTCAACTGGATGCATCTTTTGAAATGTTTTGGCTAGGAAGTCAATCCCTCCCTGAGATTGAGCTGAAAACAAATTGCCTATTAATAGCACTTAACATTTTCAAACCACCCCCTTTAAGAAGAACAACCTGGAGGCTTTACTGTTAATCATTTTAAGTCCTCATATGTTAACTCTCAACAGTTCTGTTATATTGGCCAGGCAGGGATTATCTTCTTTCTCTAGGAAGGAAACTGGGTTTCAGAGCTATAGTGACTTTATCCTTAGATAGGTAATTCAACATTATGACAAATGTTTGTGTAGGCACTGAGGAAATGCAATATGACTACAATTTAGAGGAGGACACACAGAGATACCAGCTAGCAAATGCTGGGTGTGCCTGGGAATGAGTAATTCACAAGAATGTTCAAGGAAGGAATATGATCGATATAGGACAGGAGAAAGGGCTTTTCAATTAAAAAGTAGGGCACAGAAACATGAGCACATTTAGGGAAAGGCAAATTCATACAATATGTGGACAAAATTAGATGGAAATATTATGTTGAGTCACATGAAATTGTAATATTTGATTACTATTTTTTACCAAAAACACTGGCAGTTCCATGTGGATTCACCTAATATACTCAGTGAACAAGCATTTGTGGAGTGCCTGTTTTGCAGGTACAATCCAAGTACGAAGAATTAGAAATGAGACACAGTCTCTACCCTCAGGCTCCTTGTCTATGTAGAGATGGACATGGAAAGCCAGTGAGAGGTCGAATAGGAATTATAACCAAAGTCTTCTGAGTCTTGTCCCTCTCCTGTGCATTAGCTATGGCATTTGCTCTTAATTACTGGGAATGTGGCCTCTAGATGTCACAATCACTTAGTAGTCCTTGAATAAATAAAATATTTAATATTTGATATAACCATGTTGGCTCAATGGAATGCAAATTCATTTTATAATATGCCCTCCTCACTTCTACCCACCTATGCACATAGTAAAGCAGGCCTACAGTCGTCCTTTTCTTCTAAGTGTTTCTGAAAATCAAATGATATGACTTTATATGACTCTAGGACAAAATGGTCTGGTTTTACAGATTTCCCTTTGTGGGAGTAATATAAACATACAGGCTCTTCCTGGGAAGAAAGCCATGTCCCATTTCCTATCTGTAAATGCAGTGCTGAAGAAGTGCTACGTGCTTGGCCTTTACCACCAGATCTCCCCACACCAGCCTGTCCTGTAGGGAAACCCATTGCGAACAATTGTCAGTTCCAATAAATAGGTTGTTCAGCGAGTTCCCTGAGTTTGCAGTAGCCTCCCCCAAAAAGAGGCTTCTGTAACGACTTTTTTTTGTTTTAATGAGAGACTGCGTGGCTTATTCAGACATGAGTGTGGGAACCAGCCCTGGGGAGAGAAGTGTTCCCACCATGAACCGGACGGCCAGTGAGCAGGAAAGGTGTTGATCCTCAGCAATATTCCAGAAGAAAGTTCCTGCACTGAAGGAGGAGGTGAGGACTCATGAGGATGAAGGCCACAATATTATTTTATTATAGTTTCCTCTCCTGGGCCCCTTATAGAAAAATTAACAAATAGAATTTCTGAGGTTGCTGATTCCTCAGTGAATTATTATGCTTTCATTTTTTCTGTGCCTTCCTTTTCTACTTGCTGTTTTCTTTTTTTTATTATTATTATTAATATACTTTAAGTTTTAGGGTACATATGCACAATGTGCAGGTTAGTTACATATGTGTACATGTGCCATGCTGGTGGGCTGCACCCACTAACTCGACATCTAGCATTAGGTATATCTCCCAATGCTATCCCTGCCCCCTCCCCCAACCCCACCACAGTCCCCAGAGTGTGATATTCCCCTTCCTGTGTCCATGTGTTCTCATTGTTCAATTCCCACCTATGAGTGAGAATATGTGGTGTTTGGTTTTTTGTTCTTGCGATAGTTTACTGAGAATGATGATTTCCAATTTCATCCATGTCCCTACAAAGGACATGAACTCATCATTTTTTATGGCTGCATAGTATTCCGTGGTGTATATGTGCCACATTTTCTTAATCCAGTCTATCATTGTTGAACATTTGGGTTGGTTCCAAGTCTTTGCTATTGTGAATAATGCCGCAATAAACATACGTGTGCATGTGTCTTTATAGCAGTATGATTTATAGTCCTTTGGGTATATACCCAGTAATGGGATGGCTGAGTCAAATGGTATTTCTAGTTCTAGATCTCTGAGGAATCGCCACACTGACTTCCACAATGGTTGAACTAGTTTACAGTCCCACCAACAGTGTAAAAGTGTTCCTATTTCTCCACATCCTCTCCAGCACCTGTTGTTTCCTGACTTTTTAATGATTGCCATTCTAACTGGTGTGAAATGGTATCTCATTGTGGTTTTGATTTGCATTTCTCTGATGGCCAGTGATGGTAAGCATTTTTTCATGTGGTTTTTGGCTGCATAAATGTCTTCTTTTGAGAAGTGTCTGTTCATGTCCTTTGCCCACTTTTTGATGGGGTTGTTTGTTTTTTTCTTGTAAATTTGTTTGAGTTCATTGTAGATTCTGGATATTAGCCCTTTGTCAGATGAGTAGGTTGCGAAAATTTTCTCCCATGTTGTAGGTTGCCTGTTCACTCTGATGGTAGTTTCTTTTGCTGTGCAGAAGCTCTTTAGTTTAATTAGATCCCATTTGTCAATTCTGGCTTTTGTTACCATTGCTTTTGGTGTTTTAGACATGAAGTCCTTGCCCATGTCCTGAATGGTAATGCCTAGGTTTTCTTCTAGGGCTTTTATGGTTTTAGGTCTAACGTTTAAGTCTTTAATCCATCTTGAAATGATTTTTGTATAAGGTGTAAGGAAGGGATCCAGTTTCAGCTTTCTACATATGGCTAGCCAGTTTTCCCAGCACCATTTATTCAATAGGGAATCCTTTCCCCATTGCTTGTTTTTCTCAGGTTTGTCAATGATCAGATAGTTGTAGATATGCGGCGTTATTTCTGAGGGCTCTGTTCTGTTCCATTGATCTATATCTCTGTTTTGGTACCAGTACCATGCTGTTTTGGTTACTGTAGCCTTGTAGTATAGTTTGAAGTCAGGTAGTGTGATGCCTCCAGGTTTGTTCTTTTGGCTTAGGATTGACTTGGCGATGCAGGCTCTTTTTTGGTTCCATATGAACTTTAAAGTAGTTTTTTCCAATTCTGTGAAGAAAGTCATTGGTAGCTTGATGGGGATGGCATTGAATCTGTAAATTACCTTGGGCAGTATGGCCATTTTCACAATATTGATTCTTCCTACCCATGAGCATGGAATGTTCTTCCATTTGTTTGTGTCCTCTTTTATTTCACTGAGCAGTGGTTGGTAGTTCTCCTTGAAGAGGTCCTTCACATCCCTTGGAAGTTGGATTCCTAGGTATTTTATTCTCTTTGAAGCAATTGTGAATGGGAGTTCACTCATGATTTGGCTCTCTGTTTGTCTGTTGTTGGTGTATAAGAATGCTTGTGATTTTTGTACATTGATTTTGTATCCTGAGACTTTGCTGAAGTTGCTCATCAGCTTAAGGAGATTTTGGGCTGAGACAATGGGGTTTTCTAGATATACAATCATGTTGTCTGCAAACAGGGAGAATTTGACTTCCTCTTTTCCTAATTGAATACCCTTTATTTCCTTCTCCTGCCTAATTGCCCTGGCCAGAACTTCCAACACTATGTTGAATAGGAGTGGTGAGAGAGGACATCCCTGTCTTGTGCCAGTTTTCAAAGGGAATGTTCCACTTTTTGCCCATTCAGTATGATATTGGCTGTGGGTTTGTCATAGATAGCTCTTATTATTTTGAGATACATCCCATCAATACCTAATTTATTGAGAGTTTTTAGCATGAAGGGTTGTTGAATTTTGTCAAAGGCCTTTTCTGCATCTATTTAGATAATCATGTGTTTTTTGTCTTTGGTTCTGTTTATATGCTGGATTACATTTATTGATTTGCGTATATTGAACCAGCCTTGCATCCCAGGGATGAAGCCCACTTGATCTTGGTGGATAAGCTTTTTGATGTGCTGCTGGATTCGGTTTGCCAGTATTTTATTGAGGATTTTTGCATCGATGTTCATCAAGGATATTGGTCTAAAATTCTCTTTTTTGGTTGTGTCTCTGCCCGGCTTTGGTATCAGGATGATGCTGGCCTCATAAAATGAGTTAGGGAGGATTCCCTCTTTTTCTATTGATTGGAATAGTTTCAGAAGGAATGGTACCAGTTCCTCCTTGTACCTCTGGTAGAATTCGGCTGTGAATCCATCTGGTCCTGGACTCTTTTTCATTGGTAAGCTATTGATTATTGCCACAATTTCAGCTCCTGTTATTAGTCTATTCAGAGATTCAACTTCTTCCTGGTTTAGTCTTGGGAGAGTGTATGTGTCGAGGAATTTATCCATTTCTTCTAGATTTTCTAGTTTATTTGCGTAGAGGTATTTGTAGTATTCTCTGATGGTAGTTTGTATTTCTGTGGGATCAGTGGTGATATCCCGTTTATCATTTTTTATTGCATCTATTTGATTCTTCTCTCTTTTTTTCTTTATTAGTCTTGCTAGCGGTCTATCAATTTTGTTGATCCTTTCAAAAAACCAGCTCCTGGATTCGTTAATTTTTTGAAGGGTTTTTTGTGTCTCTATTTCCTTCAGTTCTGCTCTGATTTTAGTTATTTCTTGCCTTCTGCTAGCTTTTGAATTTGTTTGCTCTTGCTTTTCTAGTTCTTTTAATTGCGATGTTAGGGTGTCAGTTTTGGATCTTTCCTGCTTTCTCTTGTGGGCACTTAGTGCTATCAGTTTCCCTCTACACATTGCTTTGAATGTGTCCCAGAGATTCTGGTATGTTGTGTCTTTGTTCTCATTGGTTTCAAAGAACATCTTTATTTCTGCCTTCATTTCATTATGTACCCAGTAGTCATTCAGGAGCAGGTTGTTCAGTTTCCATGTAGTTGAGCGGTTTTGAGTGAGATTCTTAATCCTGAGTTCTAGTTTGATTGCACTGTGGTCTGAGAGATAGTTTGTTATAATTTCTGTTCTTTTACATTTGCTGAGGAGAGCTTTACTTCCAAGCATGTGGTCAATTTTGGAATAGGTGTGGTGTGGTGCTGAAAAAAATGTATATTCTGTTGATTTGGGGTGGAGAGTTCTGTAGATGTCTATTAGGTCCGCTTGGTGCAGAGCTGAGTTCAATTCCTGGGTATCCTTGTTGACTCTCTGTCTCGTTGATCTGTCTAATGTTGACAGTGGGGTGTTAAAGTCTCCCATTATTATTGTGTGGGAGTCTAAGTCTCTTTGTAGGTCACTCAGGACTTGCTTTATGAATCTGGGTGCTCCTGTATTGGGTGCATATGTATTTAGGATAGTTAGGTCTTCTTGTTGAATTGATCCCTTTACCATTATGTAATGGCCTTCTTTGTCTCTTTTGATCTTTGTTGGTTTAAAGTCTGTTTTATCAGAGACTAGGATTGCAACCCCTGCCTTTTTGTGTTTTCCATTTGCTTGGTAGATCTTCATCCTTTTATTTTGAGCCTATGTGTGTCTCTGCCTGTGAGATGGGTTTCCTGAATACAGCACACTGATGGGTCTTGACTCTTTATCCAATTTGCCAGTCTGTGTCTTTTAATTGGAGCATTTAGTCCATTTACATTTAAAGTTAATATTGTTATGTGTGAATTTGATCCTGTCATTATGATGTTAGCTGGTTATTTTGCTCGTTAGTTGATGCAGTTTCTTCCTAGTCTCGATGGTCTTTACATTTTGGCATGATTTTGCAGTGGCTGGTACCAGTTGTTCCTTTCCATGTTTAGCACTTCCTTCAGGAGCTCTTTTAGGGCAGGCCTGGTGGTGACAAACTCTCTCAGCATTTGCTTGTCTGTAAAGTATTTTATTTCTCCTTCACTTATGAAGCTTAGTTTGGCTGGATATGAAATTCTGGTTTGAAAATTCTTTTCTTTAAGAATGTTGAATATTGGCCCCCCACTCTCTTCTGGCTTGTAGAGTTTCTGCTGAGAGATCTGCTGTTAGTCTGATGGGCTTCCCTTTGAGGGTAACCCGACCTTTCTCTCTGGCTGCCCTTAACATTTTTTCCTTCATTTCAACTTTGGTGAATCTCACAAATGTGTGTCTTCGTGTTGCTCTTCTCAAGGAGTATCTTTGTGGCGTTCTCTGTATTTCCTGAATCTGAATGTTGGCCTGCCTTGCTAGATTGGGGAAGTTCTCCTGGATAACATCCTGCAGAGTGTTTTCCAACTTGGTTCCATTCTCCCCGTCACTTTCAGGTACACCAATCAGACGTAGATTTGGTCTTTTCACATAGTCCCATATTTCTTGGAGGCTTTGCTCGTTTCTTTCTATTCTTTTTTCTCTAAACTTCCCTTCTCACTTCATTTCATTCATTTCATCTTCCATCGCTGATACCCTTTCTTCCAGTTGATCTCATCGGCTCCTGAGGCTTCTGCATTCTTCACGTAGTTCTCAAGCCTTGGTTTTCAGGTCCATCAGCTCCTTTAAGCACTTCTCTGTATTGGTTATTCTAGTTATACATTCTTCTAAAATTTTGTCAAAATTTTCAACTTCTTTGCCTTTGGTTTGAATGTCCTCCCATAGCTCGGAGTAATTTGATCGTCTGAAGCCTTCTTCTCTCAGCTCGTCAAAGTCATTCTCCGTCCAGCTTTGTTCCGTTGCTGGTGAGGAACTGCGTTCCTTTGGAGGAGGAGAGGCGCTCTGCTTTTTAGAGTTTCCAGTTTTTCTGCTCTGTTTTTTCCCCATCTTTGTGGTTTTATCTACTTTTGGTCTTTGATGATGGTGATGTACAGATGGGGTTTTGGTGTGGATGTCCTTTCCATTTTTTAGTTTTCCTTCTAACAGACAGGACCTTCAGCTGCAGGTCTTTTGGAGTACCCGGCCGTGTGAGGTGTCAGTGTGCCCCTGCTGGGGGATGCCTCCCAGTTAGGCTACTCAGGGGTCAGGGGTCAGGGACCCACTTGAGGAGGCAGTCTGCCTGTTCTCAGATCTCCAGCTGCGTGCTGGGAGAACCACTGCTCTCTTCAAAGCTGTCAGATGGGGACATTTAAGTCTGCAGAGGTTACTGCTGTCTTTTTGTTTGTCTGTGCCCTGCCCCCAGAGGTGGAGCCTACAGAGGAAGGCAGGCTTCCTTTGAGCTGTGGTGGGCTCCACCCAGTTTGAGCTTCCAGGCTGCTTTGTTTACCTAAGCAAGCCTGGGCAATGGTGGGCGCCCCTCCCCCAGCCTGGCTGCTGCCTTGCAGTTTGATCTCAGACCCCTGTGCTAGCAATCAGTGAGACTGACTGGTGGGCCACGTGTGGGATATAATCTCCTGGTGTGCCGTTTTTTAAGCCCGTTGGAAAATCGCAGTATTCGGGTGGGAGTGACCCGATTTTCCAGGTGCCGTCTGTCACCACTTTCTTTGACTAAGAAAGGGAACTCCATGACCCCTTGCGCTTCCTGAATGAGGCAATGCCTCGCCCTGCTTCGGCTTGCGCATGGGGCGCGCACCCACTGACCTGTGCCCACTGTCTGGCACTCCCTAGTGAGATGAACCCGGTACCTCAGATGGAAATGCAGAAATCACCCGTCTTCTGCGTCGCTCACGCTGGGAGCTGTAGACCAGAGCTGTTCCTATTCGGCCATCTTGGCTCCTCCCCCTTCTACTTGCTGTTTTCTAGTCATCTTTAAAGCTCCTCTAACTCAGCACAAAGACAAAGAATTCCCTGGTGATTAGTGTGCACCCACATTTATGCATAATGGTCATTTGCTTTTGCCTCTGGGGCATCCTGAATTCATCTCTTCCCCCTTCCCTGTATCGCGGTTGATGTCCAATTCAGCTACTGCTGTCATTTCTCTTATCTATTGCTTTTTCTGCTTTTTGCTAAAGAAACAAACCCCTTCCTGAGCCCTTTTCAACTTTGGCACTCTTCTAGCTTGGTGCTTCAGAACTCCCGCCCATGCTGTTGTTGCTGTTTGTAACGTGTAAAATGTTCCTGTCAAGCTTTTCCCTGCCTCCCATGTAGGTTACATTACTCTCTTCCATGGTCTCCCTTGATGTCTAACACTACACGCTTATATTGTAACTGAGTGTCTCTTGTGCTCTTCCTCTCCTCCCACTATTCTGCAACAACTACCACCATGTGTCTCACTCTTACCCACTGTCAGTCCCATTGTTCTTTCTGCCCCAGCTACTATCAAGGCTTCCATTCTGGACTTCCATGCATTTCTCACACCTACAACTTCATATTCACCAAACCATGTGTTCCTCCATGCTCCTCTAGTGAGTACAGGACATTCTCATGCTCCTTTGATACACTGGCGTATTGACATGTTGATATAAATGAAAGGGTCTTGCTTTTAGATCCATATTAATACCAAATTAACAACATCTGTATTAAGCGTAATTGCTTCCCTATCTCACTTTATTCCCCCCCAAAATATGTACAAATACATAGAGAACCCTAATTGTATCTATTGCTCAGATTTTTGTCACTGTACACGTATATTTGCCATAAAGTTTTTGTGACAGAAACTGCCAACTATCCGCCAGTATCCAGTCTCTTTTTCCTCCTTTTGAAGTGGGAGAGTTCCCTGATACCTCTCGCAGGATGTGTGACAGGGTTGTGGCTCACCTGTTCGGTCACCTCACTGCTCAAATCCCTAGCCAGAGGGGGAGCATACAGATGGGCATGTGCAGGGCCCAGGGAGAGCGCTTTTGGGTCTGGCCCCACAGTAGTATCTAGAGGTGGGTACCTGCAACCCCAGTGCTACAAAGTTCTTTCAGCTTTGCCATTGCAGACAGCTTGAGTGTTAATCAGCTCAGTGGACCCTCTGCCTTTTTGCAAAGGCAGAGGGCCAGTGTGACAGCCTTCTTTATCCCGAGCTCTTGCCCAGTGTCCTGGAAGAATCAGGTCACACGCAAGCTTGAGGATAAATGCAAGATTTTATTGAGTGGTGGAGGTGGCAGTGAGATGGATGGGGAGCTGGAAGAAGGGGATGGAATGGGAAGGTGATCTTCCTCTGGAGTTGGGCCACCCAGCAGCTGGACTCCTTTCTGACTGCCCCCAGCCAAACTTCTCTTGGCATTCAGATGTTCCTCCTCTTCTCTTTTTCTCTGCCACGTTGTTCCACCATCCATCATCTGGTCTGCTGGCTTGCTGGTCTGTCCCTGGAGCCTGGGATTCATGGCTTATATGGGTGCAGGACAGGAGGCATGGCGGGCCAAAAGGCAACTTTTGGGGCATAAAAACAGGAATGCCTATTCTCATTTAGGGCCCCAGGATCCAGGCTTGAGGCTGGGGCCTTTGCATGGAGATCATCCTCTTCTATCCAGTATTTCACTGTGTCCTGTCCATATCATTTTTTAGTAATGGAACCCTCACTCTGAATTTTAGCAGAGCACATAGCCCAAGGTAGAGACTAAATTTCCCACCCTACCCCTACAGCAAGGTATGGGCCTGTAAATTCGTTCTAGCCAATGGGATATGAGCAAAAGTGATTTGTGCAATTTCAAAGTCACTTCTTTTTTAAAGCAAAGTGTTCCTCTTTGCCCACACATCCTGAAACAGCATGTTTGACCCATTGCTGGAAACCACAAAGGAAAGATGGACAGAGTCAACCCCTCAGCCTGGGTTTCCGGACTCAGCACGCACAGCTACCTTTCTACCCTGGACTACTCACCTACCTCTGGACTGTTGTGTGATAAATCACTTTTATCATATTTAAGCTATTTTGTCTTGGGATCTCTGGGTTCCAGTACTTTAGGTACTACCCCAACTAATATACTGATCTTACTAGACTCTTTGTCTAATGTCTTGCCTTCAAGTAGGTTGCTTCAATTCAATGCAACCAACATTTTGTGAAAGCCTTCCATATGCTGAGGCAGCGAGTAGTTCTCCAGGTATGGTTCTCAGACAAGCAGCATCAGAGTCTCCTGGGAACTCATCAGATACGCATATCCGCAGACTCCACCCCACACCTACTGAATGAGAAGCTCCAGGAATAGGGCTCTGTAATCAATTTTAATAAACCCTTCAGGTGATCTAGATGTACAGATGTTTGAGAATCACTGTGCTGGGGTGAAGTGGGTCAGGAGCAGGAGGTGGTTGAGGGCAGAGCTAAAAATGAATAAAAACCACCTTCTATCCTGAAGGAGTTTACATTGGAGAGAGAAGTACAGAGAAATAATGTTATGAAAACAAAATTATTGTCTTGACTTTCTGCTATTTCCTGCTTCCCTTTTTCTTCAGATTAATTCACAACAATTTAGCCTAGATTGTTTTAGTTTTTATATGTGATTATTTATAAACAGCCTAAAATTTTAGGCCATCTGGGTCTATGCAAATCCTAAAAGGGGAAATAATTTAAGTTACATTGGTAGATAGGGTGAACAGAGATTAGTTCACCAATATTAGAATCTTAGAATCGATGAGGATTTACTGAAACCAAGAATGGGGTGTTATTTTTCACAGTGGGTAGTAAAATTACAGTACTTATTACCCTGTAAAGGGTTATATGGCCTAGAAATAAAAACAGTTGAGCATGGATTAGATTTATGAGTGAGAAAGTCATAAAATTCCAATAAGCATGAGTTAGGAATGTTCAAATTATTTCTGAAAATGTCTGACATCAATATCGTAGAAGGAAACTACCACCTTTGCTGTCACCACCTCTTATTATAATCTTCAGTGTTCAGAACACTAGTCTAGACCAGACCAGACCAATGTGGTATTCGTTGTGGGCTGGCAAGTAGACTGTGTGAGAATAAAGACTCTTGTACCTAATGTGTTTTGTATAAAACCTGTGCACACTTCAGATTAGATAGATAATAAAGGTAGAGAAGATAAGGGAGACAATGGATGCAACTCATAAAAGAAAATAATTATGATTTGAGATTAAAGACAGTTTGCCATTATTCTTACTAACAAGAGACAACCGAGATAATTGAAATCTGAAGATAATCTAAAACCTAAATAAAATATTATTATTACTATACACAGCAAACTAATCTAATGTCTTTGGCATAGGAGCCAAATACTTTGGACAGTGCTAACATGATGAAGAAGAATTAGCAAATTCAAAATCTAGCCAAACTTGGGACTTCAGTGAATCTATAATAGTTTCTTTGGCATAATGAAGACATGGCAGTTAGCATTGCCCTACTTCCCCCAAATTATGTGACTCTTTAAAAAAAGGGTTGAATTTCCCCACCTGCTGTTAGAAACACAAAAGTCTTTCTGCATAGCTGCTAAAAATTATTTTAGCTTTGGCCCATACATTTTTTTAAATCTTGCAGTGTCTTTACTGTCAGTTTGGTAAGATACAGCCACTTTATCTCTTTTTCTCCCTTCTTTTTTCTTTTAAGAATTCTTCATCCATCTTCTTTCCAAAATTACTGTGAGTCAGGATTTCTATTCCAAATAATTTGGAATCAAAAGTATTCAACAGTCTGGAGGCAAATTAGGTTTTTATTGCATTTTTATTAAGAGCAAATTGAACTGTGTGGGCAGGCTAGAGAGGGGCTCCTCTGTAAGGCTTCAGCATGCCCCACTGTTGCACCCAGCAAGGACTCATGTTACAAGAATTACATCTGTGATCTGCTTTTATTGACTGGCCGGGCCCAACAGGCCCCTGGACATTGTCAGACAAGTTAACTCCTTCTTGAGCCTCAGGAACCTTCCACAGGAGGGCTTATATGGCTCCCACAGGTCTCTCTGTCTTTC
Organism: Homo sapiens; assembly: GCF_000001405.40. Lineage (NCBI taxonomy): Eukaryota > Metazoa > Chordata > Mammalia > Primates > Hominidae > Homo > Homo sapiens. The sequence goes on along the minus strand of NC_000001.11, from coordinate 119,016,567 downwards.
TTCTTATAACTTACAAATATTTTCCTAATATGAAGTAGTGTTTGGTAAACTATAACGATATTTCATCTTCACAAACCCCTATAATACATAAGAATTACTGGCCGGGCGCGGTGGCTCACGCCTGTAATCCCAGCACTTTGGGAGGCCGAGACGGGCGGATCACGAGGTCAGGAGATCGAGACCATCCTGGCTAACACGGTGAAACCCCGTCTCTACTAAAAATACAAAAATTAGCCGGGCGTGGTGGCGCGCGCCTGTAGTCCCAGCTACACGGGAGGCTGAGGCAGGAGAATGGCGTGAACCCGGGAGGCGGAGCTTGCAGTGAGTCGAGATCGCGCCACTGCACTCCAGCCTGGGCGACAGAGCGAAACTCCGTCTCAAAAAAAAAAAAAAAAAAAAAAAAAAAAAAAGAATTACTGTCCCCATTTTAAAGACAAGTTTTCCCTGAGTACTTTGTTACCAACTTATATGTTTTTTTGCAGTTGAAATTTGTACCATAAATTACTATCCTTTTTAAAAACTCTTATGTGTTCCTATTTGTAAGTGTCTTGGAATACAAATTGTTGCAAAAAGATTGAGGGCTTTTATGTGTGTTTTTGTTTTTGCAAATTACTCCAATATGAATCACAACGCTGAGCACAGAGCAAATGCTAAATTAATGCTTACTGATGGAAAACAACCCTGATAAGAGAGAGGTTAGAGGTTGCAAATTCACATGGCTTCACGGAACAGGTAAGTATGTAAATCCATTAGATCATTTTACAAATATTTATTCAGTGCTTATTATATGCCATGCAATGTTCTAGTCACTGGGTGTACAGCAGTGAACAAAAAAGACAAAAATCCCTGCCCTCTTTGAATTGACATTGTAGTGGAGAGATACAGACCATAAACCAGCAAGGAAAGGCAGGTTGCCAGGTGATGAGTGCTATGTAGAAATAGAAAGAAAATGGAGAAGGAGCATTATGAACTGAATTGTGTTTTCCCCAAATTTACATGTTGAGATCCTAGTCCCCAGGATGTCAGAATGTGACTCTTTTGGAAGATGGGCCCCTTAAAGAGATGATTAAGTTAAAATGAGGCCATTAGGGCATATCCTAACCCAATTTGATTTATAAGCAGAGGGGATTAGGACACACAGGCGAACACCAGGAGAAAAGACCATGTGAGGACATGGCAAGAGGGTGGCCATCCACAAAGCCAAGAAAAGCGGCCTCAGAAGAAGTGAAACCTGCCAGACCTTAATCTCAGCATTCTAGCCTCCACGACTGTGAGAAAATAAATTTCTGTTTAAGCCACTAGTCTGTGGTATTTCGTTATGGCAGCCCTAGCAAACTAATACAGGGTGCTTGTTTTAATAGAGTTTCAAAGGATGGTTTCATTTAAGCAGAAGACTGAATGAAGTGAGAAAGAAAGCAATGTGATACGTGAGGGAAAACCAGTCCAGGCAGAGGGAACATCAAATGCAAAGGTCTTGAAGCAGAAGGATGCTTGACTTGTTTAAAGAGCAGCAAGGAGACCAATGTGGCTAGAGTCAGGTAAATGAGAGGGAAAGTGGTAGATGAGGTCAGAATGTTGATGGGGGTCAAGGCTTTACAGGCCATGGTAAGGATTTTGGCTTTTACTCTAGGGAAGTAGGACTGGGGAGCCATTGTAGGTTTAAGTTATAAAAGGTTCATGTTGGCTATTATGTTAAGAAATAGACTACAGGGGTCAGAGATGGATGTGGGAAGACCAATTAGGTGGCTATTTTGATTGACCATGCAAAAGGGAAGGCTTGGAGTAGAATAATGGAGATAGAAGTGGTAAGGCATGGTAAGATTTGGGATACCTTTTAAGGTAGAGCTGACAATATTTGCTGATAGATTGGTTGTGATATTTGAGAGAAAAAAAGAAGTCAATGATAATTTAAAGCTTTTTGACATGAGAAGTTAAAAGAATAGACTTTCCATTTACTGAGATGGGAAAGACTGTAGGAGCAACAGATATGGAAGGGTTAGGAGTTTGGTTTTGGGCATTTGGAGATGTTAATTGATCACTTGTCTACCTGAAAGTAGAAGTTGGCCAGGCATGGTGGCTCACATCTGTAATGCCAGCGCTTTGTGAAGCCAAGGAAGGAAAGTTTCTTGAACCCTGGAGTTTGAGACCAGCCTGAGCAACATAGTGAGACCCCCATCTCCACAAAAAATAAAATAAAAAAATAAAGTAGCCAGGCATGGTGGCACATGCCTGTAGGTCTAGCTACTCAGGCGGCCTAGGTGGGAGGATCAATTGAGCCTGGGAGGTTGAGGCTGCAGTGAGCCATGATTGTGCCTCTGCACTCCAGCCCGGGCAAGAGTGAGAGCCTGTCTTAAAATATAATAAGATAAATAAAAAATAAATAAAAGTAGAAGTCAGAGAGAGGTCCAGGCTAATTAATTAATGAATTTCAAAGTCATTAATATATAGATAGCATTTACAGTCAGGAGTCTTGATGAAATCTCTAAATGAGTGAGCATGGACAGGGAAAAGAGGATGTGCAAAGACTGATCCTGTTTAGAGGTAGAGAGAAATGAGAAACTATGCAGCAAAGAGCCTGAGAAAAGAAGCACAAGATGACAAAAGGAAAAGCAGGGTAGAGTTTTGATTGCCCTGAAAGCCAAGTAGAAAAGCTATCTTCAGGAAAAAGACTAGTCTATGTCAAGTACAGTGAGGACTGAAAAAGGATCACTGGATTTAGCAATGTGTGGGTCACTGTTGACCTTGATTAAAGCAGTTTGGGTGGATAGTGGGGTCAAAAGTCTACCTGAATATATTTAAAAAGGAATGGAAAGAGAAAAATTGGAGACAATGTTCTTGACAACCCTTTCAAGGACTATTGCTGAAAAAGGAAGCAGAAAAATGCAATAGTATGACAGTGATTTGGAATCAAAAGAGGGTTTTGTTACTGTCTTAGTCCATTTTTTGTTGCTATAACAGAATACCCAAGACAGGGTAATTAATAAATAAAATAGGTTTATGTAGCTCATAGTTCTAGAAGCTGGGAAGTTCATGATGGGGTAGCTGCATTTGGCAGCTTTTGGTGAGGGTCTCATTCATGTCATGTCAAAACATGGTGGAGAAATGGAAGAGGAAATGGGCTTGCGGAAAAAAGGACAAAGCAGTAGAGGTCACCTCACTTTATAACAACCCACTCTTCTCTCTCAGGAGCTAATCCATTCCTGCAAAAACTAATCCATTCCAAAAAAAAGAAAAGAAAAAAAAAACACTCTTGTCTTTCAAGAAAGACATTAATCTGCCTTAAATACTTAATCACGTCTTAAAGGCCCCAACTCCCAACACCATTACATTGGCAATTAAATTTCAACATGAGTTTAGGAGGGGAGAAACCACATCCAAACCATAGCAGTTACTTTTTAGAATGAGAAAAATAATTGCATATTTGGATGGGAGTGATCCAGTAGAGAGGGTGACTTTGATGATTGAGAAGTTAGAAAGGACAATTACTGGAGCAATGTCCTTGAGTAAGTATGAAGGAATGGGATCCAACCTGTTCACATGTAGACAGGATTTGGATGGGAGACCAGAGAAGAGAGAAGGAATATATAGACACAGAAGCAGATGGATTTTTACATGTGGTTAAAAAAAAAAAAAAAGCATGAAGAAGTTCTCTTGTTGCTTCAATTTTATCAGTGAAATAGGAATCAAGGTCCTCAGCAGAGGACTGGGATGAGGGAGGATGTGTTGGAAGTTTAAGGAGAGAGGAGTAGGAGGTGTGAAATAGTCATCTAGGGAAGAGGGAAATGTAGTAGAACTGCCAGGCAGCATTTAAGGGCTCTCTTGATGCTAAGGAACATGAATTTACAATGAGAGCAGTCAGCTCAGTTGATTGTTTTGTTCCAACCACATTCCATTGTGTGGGTGTAGGTGGAGACAGAATGTAGATAGAATTGGATTTAACCTAGAGCTGGGCTTCGCCAGGTGATTGAAACAACGGACAAAGAGGTAAACGACCTGAGTACATGTGCCAGATGCCAGGGTGTGAGTAAGGGTCATGGCATTCACCCAGGGCAAGGCGGGAAGTGAGGATGTGAGGAGTGTGGAGATGTTGAACGATGATAAAAATCAGTTGATTGAAGGTCCTGGTGGTGTCAACAAATTGAGGGAGTGAACTGGAAAGAGAGGCAATGTTGGTCAGAGCTTGAAATTAAGATTATGGGGGTTCAACTCTTGGTAATGACAAAGATCGAGATATGGCCCAAGGAATGACTGTTGATATAGAGTGGAAAACATAATCTCTGGAAGACAGAAGGTCAAGAGTCTACGGTATTATAAGATCATTTACTTCAACATGAAACCACAAAAACTATGCTGGGAGAAGCACTAGAGACAATGATAATGATCCAGGAATAAAATCTTCAAGAAATGAGGGAGAGTGGTCTTGGGAGTCTGTAGACTGATAGCATCATTTCCAAAACCTGGGGCAGCAGGGAAATTAGGGAGAAGAAAGGGATAACAACCTAGAAGTATCAATAAGGAGCAAAGAGGACAATTTCTCTACCTCCAGCTGCCAGTATTTTGTGTAGGCTGGAGCACAAGATTCCCCACAATTCCAGCACCAGCTAGGTAGCAGGCCTGAGCTGAGTCGTGAGTGCGGAGTTTTTCCGTGGTCAGCACTTTGGAAGATTATGTTGGGGGCATTCAGAAACCTGTGGTTGGCCATGTGGCTGTAATTTCTTAAACTACAAATGCTCTTTCATCATTTATGTCATCAGTAAACTTTCATAATTCCACTGTTTAGCCCTACTAGTCTGAATTCTAGTCAAACACATTCATTTTTGTTTTTTTTTGTTGTTGTTGTATTTGAGAGGGAAGATGAGTAAGGAAGGGACTTACAGCTAGTCTAATTCTTCTTGAAAACTTCCTTAGAATATCTCAGAAACTTCCAGATAGGGCTGCTGTCCTAGAACAAGCTCTCTCTCAAGTAAGGAAACCCGGAATATCTGGGGCTGCCCAGGTAGACACAATCCCTCTAGGAATCTGCTGTGATTTCCTTTGGCAGCTTTGTTCCCAAGGTCTGCAACCACTGGCCCACAGTTGCTTTAGGCCACCATTTTGCTTGCTGTGTGTTCCATCTCAGTAATACCACTAAAATGACACCATTTTTCTAGGCAAAGATACTATTCTGCTCTGGATACTCCCAGCTTTTAGAGTTAATTCCTCAGCATGAGCAGCTTTGATTTCCCAGAGCGCACCCACATTAGCCAGCAAGAAGAAAAGAGCATTGAAGTAAGTGATGATGCAGAATCCCTCAAGTCATTTCCAAAAGAGGCATTCCAGAAATGTTTTGAGCAATCATTTTTATAAGCTATAGAATCCCAGGGTAATTTCTTAGAGGAACAACTCTCATTTGTTATAAATTCCGGGGTTTTAAAAGATACATCAGCCCCATTACTCTCTACACAATTTCAATCCTTTAATTCTTTAAAATTTCTTACCTGATCAAAAGGAAGAGCCCTGCCTAGTTACAGTTGCTATTCACCATTATAGGTAGCGTGTATGGCTGAGATAGAAAATACTTCTGATTTTGTGGATTTTGGATCAAACCCAGCATTGTGTGCCTTCTAATTTAGTCAACATTCAATTCAGCTATAGGGGGTTTTTAACATGCTAAAGCAGAAATGTAGTAAATAATCAAAAGGTGAAATAGTCATTACTAAGAAGGCCAGCATTCCATATTATGCTTTACATCCTAGGTGCAAGGTGCTACTTAGATGGCAATTCAAGAACGCAGAAGTCATTCTAGTTGGAAAGCCATAACTTGATCTCCAGTGCCTATGTTTGTGATGGGGAAATTTTCAACGAAAAACACAAAAGAGGAGAAAATAGAATGCTCCTTGAAAACATATTCTATGTCTTATTACACAGTCTGGCACAGGCACATAAGCCTACATGATGCCTTGGCTCCTATGGGAAAATCCAATTGATTGGCATTCCTTTTCCAAAAAATATAACCTTCTGTGAAGATATATTAAGGTTGTCTCTTTCCTGATTCTCTCTGGCCAAGCAGAATACATTTATAGGAAAGGATGTCATGGATGTGCTTGGAATAAGGCCAAACTAGTGCCCCAGTGGATAGAACCTCTGTGATGATCTCATTAGTATCCACACGAACTGACTGCTAACCAGTCATCACAGCTTATGACAGTGCAGCTCAACTCATCCCCTTTTCTGTGCATTCATATCCTAATAAGGTAAGATCAGGAGGGAAAAGTGGTAGTTCTGGAGAGAATGTGGGCAGGAAGAGATATGACCCAATCAAAGGAGGAGTCTGAACAAAAATTTTCCTACCCCTGGACCACTATTACCCATCTACAGGGATACTTGGCACTATCCAAGGGGATACCTGCACATTAACTTCCACTTAACATGTTCCATCTTAAGCTGAATCTTCCCCTTCACCATACTCTAAGATGATTAATCAATGTACCCAGCAATATGCAAGATGTTGTATATAATGAAAGTATTAACATTGAGTCTCTGATCTCATGTTACAGTTCAGTGGGGGAGACAAAATTTAAACTGATTAAACATAGTGCCTCACGATTTAGCAGAAATGGTCTTGCTTTGTAGGACACACATTAGTGCAAGAAACTTGTCATTTTTTAACTAAATGGAGTTAAATTACCAATCCTGTTTGTGCTCCTTTGCTTTACATTTCTCAAACATTCAACCAACAATTATTTGTTGCATGCTGCCTGTTATAAGCAAGGCACTATACTGAACTCAAGAAAAACCATGATAAACATGTAATATTCCAAGGATATTAGTATTGATTAGTAACCCTCCCACACCAAATTCAGCGTGGCATTCTAAACAAATACTTTTTTAAAATATGATTTTAATCTTCTCTTTCCCCTTCTGGTGCGCATTTTCAATCCTAGTACAAAAGCACTGAAAGTATTTTGGTGGAGTGACATGCAAAAAAAACAAAAACAAAAACAAGTTTGTGGTGTAAAAGAATAAACGGTATTAGCACTCTCTTCTGCCCCTGGAAACATGAGGACTCTCTGACTGCTCTGGGGGTTCCCGTTCTTTTGGAAGCCCTCAGCTGGTCTTCAGCAGCAGTGATGACATTAAGGAAAATTGCATTCTGCTGCAGAATTCAGTCCCTTCATCTTTCTCCTTTCTCTAGAGCATGAAGCTAGGGGCCCATAAAGGATCCAATATCAAAAGGAAGAGGGTAATACCACTACATGGAGAAGAAAAAAATAATAATTACCAAATTTCCTGAATAGTAAACAGCTTTTAAAAAGAAGAAAAAGCTGAACCCTTTGATAGCTTGGCCCTTGGTCTGCCCGTGAATGCCTTAAGGATTATATCATCAGACTGACTCCAGCAGCCCGCGCTATTGTTTCAGAAAGAGGAAACTAGAAAGAAGGAAAAGAAGAAGAAAAGGGGATGGGTGGGAGCATGTCTGCCTTTTGGGGAGGAGAGCGTTTGATTTTTGGAAGTGCAGTTATCAAATGTAAGGCTAGAAAGACAAATTGAACAAATTCTCAGTGTCTGTGGGCAGGAGGTTTCTGGGGCCATTTTTTCCTTTTGGGGGGATTAACATAGCCTTTGGATTCAATAACTTTTCTATCACAGATGAAATTAGCTCCGAAGAGAAATAAGCGACCTGAGATTGCCCAGAAATGTTATTCCTGAAAACCATCACCTGGGGGCAGTCTTGGGACTGTTAATTTCCTCTACCTCACTGGTAGATAATTCACTACTTTTTTTCAACGATGTAGTGTTTCTTTATCTGTGGTTGAGGAGTGAGAAAAATGGGCAAGAGAAAAGGAGGCTTAGGCACTAGAACTTTCACTCTCCTCAACCAGCCAGGAAGCGACCCCATGTGAATGCGCAGGACGTTCTTGAAGTCGCAGAAGTTTTCCTTTGGAGCTCTGAAGCGGAGAGCCTCGAAAGCTGGAGGCGGAGGGGTGAGGCCGTACACACTAACTGGTCCACCGACCCTTAAGATCTCCGCGCCGGATGAGATCGAGAAGCCGGGATTCCCAGATCCCAGGAACTAAAGGAGACCTCACCTCCACCCCCACCCCGCACCACTGCACACACACGCCCGGGAGTTCCTGGCCCGCCGCGCCGGGCCAGCCCCTCTGTTCTGAGACCCTTGTCTCCCGCCCACTACCCCGCGGAGCCTTGTCAGCAAAGGAAGACAGGGCGTGGGCCCCGCTAGGGCCCATGTTTAATAGCTCACGAATTCCGGTCGAGGAAACGGAGGCTTCGGCGCTCAGGCCTCCCCTAGGTCTAGCTGCGGCCACAGTTATAAGCTCTGGTTCATAACCAAGAGCGCTTGGTGGTTCTCTCCCGGTGCGTTTCCCGGCCCGAATCTGGGCATCCCCGGGGACCTCACCTTGGGGTGAATCAGAGCTTACCCCCAGGCCACGGAAGCCGACCCAGGCGGCCTGCCTCCTCCTTGGGCCGGGCCGGGGCCGCCGGGCTGCTAGGCGCGTGGCAGCGAAGCTGGATACGGGCTCACTGTCCGCACCCTGCGCAGTCAGGGCCACCAGGCTACCTCAACCCTTCGTGGTGCTTCCCATTCCAAATTAGCATTGAGAGCCCGTGTGACCTTCGCGTGCCAGCGGATAGAATCTGCGAAAGGGAAGCAGACAGTGGCCTTTCCCGTTTCCTGGGCTGTGCGCGGGTGTGCTGGGCCCAAGCGCCCTCTGGGCGTCGGGGCTTCGCCTTGTCCCGTGTGCCTGCGCGGGGCCCGAGCAGCGGCCAGGGCCAGCAGTCAGGCGTGCGAGCCGGAGTACAGGCTCCCGAGAGCAGGGAGGCCGAACAAAGCCAGGTCCCGCTCCACAGAACAGCAGTGGAGGAACACTTCTCCTTCCTCCCCCACAGGGCCACCCCGTCAAAGAACAAGACACCCTCAAAAGTCGGGAAGGGACACTTCCTGAGGGACAAAACGTCAGGCAGAGAACTCAGAGTTCTTCGAAGGGCTTGGCCTCGGCGTTAACCACGACCCGGTCCCGGGAGCCTTGGGCCCAGTCCCCACGCCCAGTGGGCGCCGCACCAGCCGTGCGACAGGAGCCTGGATGCCCAGGAGGCGGCTCCAGGGAACTCACGCGCCGCCCGTTTCTCCGAAGGTTGTGCCTACGGGGCAGGCCTTCCTAGGAAAGAAGGGAAGGGCCGTCGATTTTCAGAATCTAAATATGTTGAATTCAAAACAGCATGGTTTTCCCCTTCTAGAAGACGGAAAAGAGGGTAATACCCGGGTTGGGGTAGACGGGGACACTCAGCCGCTCTTCATCTCCAAGCCCCTAGAAATAAGGCGAGGTTGCCTTTTTGCCACATCGCCGGCTGCCGAACCCACCCGCGAGTCCGGCTCACCTGGGGAGGTAACGCGGCCAGGTTACAGGGGACGATCCCCAGTTCAAAAACCTCGTCAAAGGTCCCCGCGCGTCCCGGAGCGCGTGAATTCACCGGCAGCGTCAGGTCCGAAGTGGCCCACGGACCGAGCGGCGCGTTTGGGCGCAGAGCGGGCTTTCTAGAGGACCTTGGCCAGGGATCTGCCCCGCGGCTCTCCCTCCCCGCAGCCCCACCTTGCTCCGAGCGGCGGCTGCCCGCCCGCCCCGACAAAGGCAGGCGCAGCAGCGGGTCTGCGTCTTAACATCGCAGAGTCGCTGGAGTGGCGCAAGACGCCCTCCTCTTCGTCAGGTGCGGACGGAGCTTCACACGGAGGCTCTACTCTCCTCCAAGACACGAAGAACGTGCAGAGCTGCGAGGTGTGTGTTGGCACCGCCCGCTTCCTGCGCTACAACGGCGGGCGGCTGTAGTCCCTTTCCCGCCTGGCTCCGGCGCGCCGACAGCCTCCCTGCCTCCCCACTGGCGGCAACACTGCGGGCCCGGCTGCTGAGCTCAAGCCTGGTGAAAAAGCTCGCGGCCAGGGCTTTCCCTGAGTCGTACGCAGCCGCCAGATTAGATAATTTAGAGATCCGACGCCACGGGGATATGCGCCTGTCTCTCCCGCACAGGTGCAGTGGAAACGATCATACGCGGTTAAGATTGAGGCTACGTTCCCAAAGACTAAATGGAAAAACAAGAGCGATGTTAGTAAAGGGAAAACCCGTTTGCTTCACCAGTTTAAGGTGAATGTGAAAATGTTTTCAACTTGATAGAGCTAGATGTTTTTTTCTGCTCTCTACTTCACTAGACAGAGCTAGGACGAATGGGCCATTAGGGAGGTAGTGTGCAGTTTTATAATGTCCTCTTCATCCTTAGAAGAAAAGTCTGCAGTTCGCAGTGCCCTCTCCTTGCTGCCTTAGCATTAAGAGAATTGTTATTTACTTCGGCCGCGGGTGCTGGGAGAGCTTGAACGCAGCGGCATCTGGATGAGTTCGGGTGGCATTCAACTGCGACCCCTTACCTTTGCCCCCAAGGCTTCTCGTGCCATTAATTTCCACTGCAGTCTATGGCTGGATTTTCTATTACTTAGGTTATTTTGCCTTCCTCTCCACTCCTTTGTTCTGTACTCACCAATTAGACCCCCAAAATACAGAATCCCAATATTGGTGTACCTCTCTTTTCTTGGCCTGGATTCAAAGTCGCCGTCCAGGAATGTGCTTGTACCTACAGATTCCTATGCTAAGGCTGCTGAGCGTCTTCCACTAGCTCCGCTAGGGAGAGAGTCTGAGCATTTCATACCGTGAAGTATGGATTGGATTTTACCGACTATTCCATGAAGCCACAGGCAACTGGGTCATTTGCTGCTACAAGGCTGGGATAGTGTCTGCTGGCCTGGTTACACGGATATAGCAGATAAGTTGGTAAGGGCACATGAAAATGACTGTTAAAAAGCTAAGTGACTGGTCAGTTAGGAAGAATAAGTTCAAGAGACCTATTGTATCACATGGTGACTGTTGTTAGCAATTTTCAAGAATGTATTGTTTTCATGAAAATTGCTAATAGATTTTAGATGTTCTCACCACACACACCAAAAAAAGTATGTGAGGTAATGCATGATAATTAGCTCAATTTAGCCATTCTACAACGTACACATATTTCAAAACAACATATACATGGTAAATATATATCATTTTTGTCAAATAAAATTTTTTAAACTAAGTGATATTTTGAGTCTACTTGTGGAGTTACTGAATTTCAAAAGTAAGGAAAACTAAATCCACCCTCCCCACTCCATCCTACTTTTTTTCTAGGTATGATTACATTCTATGTAAGTAAATTTGTATAGTCATGTGTATATTTGTGTATACATGTGCCTGTGTGTGTATATACTGTTGAAGTGTACACTTATGGAAATTGCCTTAAGTCAGTCTCTTCAATGCCATAGTCATTGAAAAGAAATCCATTGGTTGCCCGGTTATTTCCAAACTCCTTAGAATGATTCTGGAAGAGGAACAGACTTTAGGAATGGAAAGCATTATTTTAAAAGGATTTAACATATTTTGCTTCTCAGCATTATCCCCAAAGGTAGTAGGCTGGAAGTTGGAGCTCAAGGCTATTCCCCCTCCACTTCCACAACTGCACAAAAGGAAAAGTGTGAACTCCTAGGGCACCAGCAGACTTGTTGCCACCTCTGGCATTGACCCAAAGTGTGTGTGTATCCTGAAGTCTGAGTCCCATCACTCAGAGTTCTGAGTTGTGTCACAAACCCGCTATGAAGCCAAATTGGAGTTTGCTGGTTGAATGTGTACTCGGACACAACACACACACACAGACACAGACACAGACACAGACACAGACACACTCATACACATATTTACAAAAGAGAGCCTAGCAAAATGCCCTGTTTATGGTAGACATTCAATGATTATTTGCTGAGGGAATGCATGAACTTATGTGCATATCTACTTTGTTCAAGGCAAGGGTTTTCTTTTTAAACTAAATAAGTTTGTATGTGCATATGTAATACATATGTGACTAAGAATTGTGTGCATGGAATATAGGAAGATTTTTTTATTTGTTCCTTTTTGTCTTCTAGTTCTCCTGAGTAGCCCCCTCCCCCATGTCTCTGCCAGGGCCTTAGGTCTTTGAAACCGGTTGGTAAAATTATCCGACCCCCACCAAAGCCTGTCAGTCAGCCAGTAAAAGCAAATGCATCGCTTTAGTTACATCCTTGCTTTCCTCACAGATCACATTCATGTTTCTATAAAGGTTCTTGGGCTGATTTCATCCTGCACACCCGTACATTCCTTTGCAACTCTCTCTAGGGGGTATACTGATTGGGTTTCACAGGCCTGCAGACAGGCAGGTCGCCCCTGTTAGCCCACCTCAGCCTCAGTCAGCATTTTCACAGAGTGGCTGAACTTCTCAGAAAAGCTTAGAGTCTTAATTTGGGATGGGATTGCCAGCTCCAGAAAGGACAGAAGTCACTGTTCTCACTCTAGCTAAGACTAGTCTCATAGTCTATGTGTGTTTTACAAAATCATGCATTTAATCACAATAGTGTGACTTCAGAAACTACAAACCTGGCACCTCGGAGAGAAGAGTTCAGTGGCAGGACTTTGGAGCTTAGTGGGTCTCACTCTCGCCACCCAGAAGACCCCAGGTCTTCATCCCTCTGAGGGAGTTGGAGGGTCTTCTTCTAGACCCTAGCCAGGCCTGCTGCCACCTAGAGGATGCTGATACCCTCTTCTTTCCACCTTGCCCAGACCACACAACCCCCCTGCCCCCACCCCACCTTTTTTTTGTTTGTTTGTTTGAGAGGAAGTTTTGCTCTTGTTTCCCAGGCTGGAGTGCAATGGCGCAGTCTTGGCTCACTGCAACCTCCGCCTCCTGGGTTCAAGCGATTCTCATGCCTTAGCCTCCCAAGTAGCTAGGATTACAGGCTCTTGCCACCACGCTTAGCTAATTTTTGTCTTTTTAGTAGAGACGGCATTTCGCCATGTTGGCCAGGCCGGTCTCAAACTCCTGACCTCAGGTGATCCTCCCGCCTCGGCCTCTCAAAGTGCTAGGATTATAGGCGTGAGCCACCGCCCCAGGCCCAGACCCTTTTTGACCCTTTCTAAGGGATAGCAAGCTTGGAAGGAGCAGCTAGCAGTGCCCCAGTTGCTGCAGGGGAGAGAAGGAGCTAATTTCTCCCCATTAGAGCAGAATCAGTCTCCTGTATCCGGAAAACCCAAGCAAACAGAACAAATAAAGACTCTTCCCTTTCTCTTTCTCCTCTGTCTCCTTTTCCTTTCCTCCACCTCTCCTCTTATTCTCCTCCTTATACTTTGGGAGTACCAGAAGTCCATGAAGGGAGTCATCTCTAAAGGCTTTGGCCCCAGAACCACTGTCTGCTTAATCAGGAGGGTGATGGGGACAGAAAAGTATTTTAAAAGTTCCACTTAAAGCCCCACTTTGAAAAACAACAACAAAAACAAAAACTAGTAGCAGCTGTTGAGGCAACCTGGAATGTTTCAGATCTCATACCCAGCCCATCAGGAGAGACAATGTTCCTTTTTTAAATGAGATAGAACAATGATCAGGACTCAGCATGTGTAGGGGAGAGATGGGCAATGGAGAGGACTAACTTGTTTCTAACCCAAACAACTACAAAAAAGTCAAACTATGGTTGCCTCTGGAGCAGTTCTGCTGTGAGTACTTTCTCCTTTTCCCAGTACACTCCCTGTTGGCTCCCAGGAAAATATACCCCAGGATCCACACTGGAAACAGGAAACCCAGAGTGCAGCTCTCCTACTGAGACCTCTGATTGGAAGCAGGAAACCTTTGAGCCTCAGTTTTCTCACCTGCCTGCCCCACCCACATCAGAGGCTACGGCCCAGAAGGGCTTTGCTAGTTGCTAGCACTTTAATATTTATAAAGAACGAGAGTGGTGACAGCCCAAAGGCATCTTAGTGCAGGGACCTCCACAGCCTGTAGCCTGCTGCCTTCTTGAAGTTCTCCAGGGGCTACTTTCTGAGTCGCCTTTAAAAAAAGCAAAACCAAACCCCAACTCAACAGTGTTGAATCAGCTGCTCATTCTACCTGGTCCGCCCCATGTGATCTACAGCCACAATTGCTAACGGTCACCCAGGGACAAATTAAGGAATTGAAAATGCTGAGCTTGAGAAGTCGAATTCCTTACACTATTTGGGGTCGTTAATCACCCAGCAGAAACAGCAAGCAGGGAAAGTAGCCGGAGGGACAGAAAGACAGTGTAGGTCTGTGCGCTGGTGTTAGCGGGGCTCAGGTGGTCGGATTCAAATACAGATGTGCACACGTGTCAGATGTACTCTAAGTGGGCACCCAAGCACATAGTGGACCATTCCCAGGAAACTTTAGGCTGCCCCAATCACCCCAGTTGGACAAAATAGGAATGTGGTTTCTGTAATTAAGAGACTTGTGCAAGATTAGGTGGTGAGTCAGTGTTCCAGTGAGTCCTCTGGTCCACACCCACATCCGGGTGTTTCCTGAGAGGAGGTAGCCGGTTTCTCACCCAAGGCTGTGAGAAAAATAAGAGATTCCCTGACCCTCTCGGGAATCTACCCACAAGCGCGCCGGGTGAGGTTAAGGGTGCTCTGTGTGTGTGTGTGTGTGTGTGTGTGTGTGTGTGTGTGTGTGTGAGAGAGAGAGAGAGACACACAGAGAGAGAGAGAGAGAGAGAGAGAGAGACTGACTGACTTCTGTGCAGACCAGGAAGGGTGAAGCTTCACCACCACGAGCCACCTTCTAGAGTGGGGAATCCTGACAAATTCAACCTCTCCTTGCAAGGCCAGGAAACCTGGCGCTGGGGTTGGGTACCCTGGTAAGGGTGTTCCAAGACAGACGCGCTTTCTATAAGCGCCCACCGATGCTTGATTCTGCTCCCTTGCCCATTCGGAACCCATGAGTTTAGGCCTGGATCCCCCTGCTCCTGGGGCGTCCACACCGCTTGCTCGGCTTCCCGACCACGACGCAGGGCGGCACTAAGGCGCCGCGCTCTTCTCTCCTCAGTGGTTCTGACAGTGGGCGGGGGGGGGGGGGCTTCCGGTCACACTTTATGGCAGGCAGGCTCCGGGGCACAGGGCCACACTAGAACCTGCCCTGATCCGCTCTTCGCAGCTCTAAAGTTTTAGGGACAATTTGTTCAGTGAAGCTTCTCAGACAATAGAAAGTTCTGAGGTTTCCTGGACGTTGCGTTCGGGAGGCGGGGCCGGGACCCGCTGACGGCAGTTTCCCAGCCCTGTTCCCCCTCCCCTGCCCCCTCAGCCTGCGGGCAGCAGAAGGCGGCGGCCAGCCTCCTCCTGCCCCTCGGCCGGACGAACCGCGGCTGCCGCGCCTGTCACCTCTGCACCTGCCCGGCTGAGGTGAGATGCCTGGCGCGCAAGGTGAGGGCGGTGCGCGCAGGCCCGCACAGAACTGTTGGGGCTGCCCCGGGGTCGATGACTTCAAATGACGGGTGGGAGAAGGGCCTGCGAGGCTAACAGAATCACCCTCGGGGGAGTGGAAAGAACAAAAATTTTTAGGTGACCTAGGTAATAGTCCTAGATTTGAGGCTCAGGAACCTGGGACCATTTAACGTCAAGTTGTAGGGACGTTGGTTTCCTTATCGGGAAACGAGAATAACATTGTTGCCCCACCCTCCCAAGGTGAGGATAGCTCCCAGATTGGAGATGCAGTCTGGTGGGCGGCTAGAGAGATGTAGAACCCAGGGCGGGAAAGAGCAGGCGCGCTCTCAGCTGTTTTAACCCATCCTTTTTTAGTAGAAAAATCTGAAATTTGAAACAGAAATGGCCACATAAGGACAACTCAGATGAAGTGCAGGCGGGCTGACATCGCGCACTTGGGTCTTTCCGGGAAAGACAGCCGCGCTCTGGGAGAAGCCTAGTCCTCCGGCTTGTCCCCGGACCCGCCCCAAAGGCCGCTGGGAGCTCGGTGAGGACGTGGCGGTCCCCTTGCTCATCTGACTCCGGAGGCAGGTTCCGCAGAAAGAGCTCTCAATCTCGGCCGCTGGGCTCCAAGATAATCTCCTGGCGAAAGCTAAGAGGCGGCCATCCCTTCCCGGGGACTCAGCCCCTAGATTCAGCTTCTTCCGCCGCAAAAAACTCCCAAGCCCTGCGAACTCGCAACTTGCCTCTCCAGGCTTCCGGCGTGGGCGTCCCAGCTACACTTTCGAGCACTTTGCTTGGCCGGCATCTACCCGCTCTTCGATTAAGGAAAGCGCAGTGGGGACAGAGGCAACTCCTGCCTCCTGTACCAGGCCTACGTAGTCGCCCAGGTGGCCGGGTCACAAATAAACAATTCCACCATCAAGAAACCCGCTAACCTCTGTACCCCGCTAACCTCTGAAAACCTAATACTGATCCAGGTCTCCCAAATAATCTGAATCTCCCCCAGTCCTTCCGGTGGAACAGCTAGCCTGAGCGCAGGGAAAATTGACAAGGAGCCTTCAGCTAGCCTTCTAGCTTTGAGCTTGAGTAGGGGCATGGCTACTTGGTGGCTTCTTTGCGGTTTATTGGTGTATTTGGTGACTCTACAGATCCAGATCAGCCCCCACCCCACTCTTCCTCACCACGCCTCCCCACCCCCACCCCACCACCGCAAGTTGGTGTCTCTAGAAGAGCCTCAGGGTTCTGAGTCCCGTGGGGGCGCTCAGAGATGGTCAAAGCAAGGTTTCTCCACAAGCTCTGAACTCTGAAGCTACACGCTTCTCCGCTGCGCACCCTGCCAAACTGGTGGGGAAGAGATGTTAAAATACAATGGCAAAATGCACTGTTGAGAACCCTTTGAAGTTGGGCAACCACGGCTGCGCCACTCTCCCCCTCTCTTTCCTCCCCATCTCCCCACTCCTCCAGATGCACCAGAAATCGGCACTTTGATCTTGCAAAGCAGCAATTTATATTTATTTAATTTTTTTTTCCTGTAAAACGATGATTGGGCCGGGGAGAAAATAATGTAATTTCACGGGCGCAGGGCTGAGCAGCGGTTGTCTAGGCCATGCCGGGGCTGGGTGAGGGCACCATGCACATCTGTTCACCCGGGTTTGCAGCGCATTCCTCTTCGCCAGCGTTCTCGTTCGTTCTCACTCTCTCTCTCTCTCTTCCCCTCCACCGGAGAACCGGTCAACCCAGGCAGGAGGCTAGGCTTTATTTGTCTTTGACGAAGAGATGCTGGGGGCGATGGTGGGGGCTTGGGGAGTGCAGGAGGAAAAGTCAAGGCTGAGGCTCCAGTCCGGGAAAGTGAATTAAAGAGAGGGGAGGAGACGCTCAGAGAGAAAACCACCTCCTGCCTTGGAGAGGGAAACTCAAAGCCGTTCACCTTCTTCTCTAATAGTGGAGGGGTGGGGGCAGCTGCGGACTCAGTGGGTGGAGGGCCAATGTATATATCTTTCCCCACATCCAGAGCACGGAGATTTACTGGAATAACTCTGATGTGCAACCTTTCTCGGCACTTTGCCTAATAACCTCAAATTGGATTAACATTTGGGAAAATATTAACTACTTAAAGCGACAAACACCACGGCTTCCCACTAATTTCTCCCACCTTCACGCTGAACCCAAGGTCCCTCCGTCCTCTGCCCGAGTCAATCTGGCCAAACTCCCACTGCTCTGGGTCTTCCACTCCCTAGGGCCCTCAGTCTCTTAGCCCTTTCTCCCAATAACCACGTTTTCTTTCTGTACTCTGAGATCTCTTGTCTTTGCTCTCTGGCTGCCCAGAGCATGCTGTATCCAACACATCAGTGTTTGAGAAAGGAGTTCAGGAGACCCACCCCTACCTGGCCTTCAATCTGCACGGCTGATTCCTCCAGGCCCTTGACCCTCCCACCCGGCCCCCTGATGCTTTGTGCTAGGAACCCTTTGCTGAGGCCTTCAAGCCCCAGGCAGTGGGCCACCCTGGCTCTACTATACATGACGTGATTGGCTTGCTCAGAAGACATGTTCTAGGACCCCTAGTCCTCTGCCAGTACCTCAAATTCTGATAGGCTCAAGCTGCTTGGGGAAACCAGGCCAGTGGGGGGGGGCACTGATACATGCCCCAGACAGAGGTGCAGCCAAGGTCTCAGTAACTGAGAAGCAGTGCTCACCACTTCCCTTCTATTTTTCTTTCCCTTTGTTTCCTTTTTCCATTCCTTTTCTTTTTTCCATTCCTCTCTTCTTTCTTTCTTAAATTCTGTCTTCTCCTTCCATTCCCTTCTCATGTTTCCCTAGCTTTCATTAGCCTCTCTCGGTTCTAAATGGCTGCAATCCACATTCCTCAGGACCACAGAGGCTGCTAGTACACTTGTCCACTGGCATCTCCAGCCCTAGATAGAGCCCACAGGGCGTGCTCTGGGAAACTGGGAGCAAAACAGGAGCAGCTAGTGTTAGAGCCCTCAGGGGCCTCCCAGGGCCCAAGGCCCAGGTGAGGGACTCAGTGGCTCCTCCTTGCACATATCTTTTCTTTGAGCATCTAATGCTTCCACTTGCTCACCTCCCTCCCCACAGTCTTCCTCAGGAAATAGGTGCTAGCTGGGCTTCCAGCCACAGGTTAAAAAAATCAGGAAAAATAGATGGAAAGAAGACAAACGGTGGTGGTCTCTGGATGATACAAGAGTCTGCCACAGTCAGTTGGCTGGGTGAAAAAAAGCATCTGTAGCACTGAAGGAAGCTCCCCCAGGGGGGCGGACATGGTTGAGAGTTACTAGGGAGGACAGGAGGGAGATCCAGGAGCAGCACAGAGCAAACGCCTGGGCAACACCTGCACCAAGGAAACCTGGGCAACACCACCTCACCTCAACAAGAGTTTTAATGCAGCATTTGCACAGAGCAAGACGGCCAGTGAGACTGGATTTGCCATCAAGGGAGAGAAAAAGTAGCCTGAGAAAAGAGGCTGCCAACATTCCACTGAGAAGTCCAAAATGGGGAAAAGGCAAAAATAAAGAGGGGAGGTCTTCTTGCATTTCACCCTCTTCCCTTCCCTTTCTGGATCCCACAGGAAGCGGTGGTTTGGGGCCTGGTCCAGGTCATCCCAGGGACTGGCTTCGTCCCCTCCATCCCTAAAAGCTTCCTTTACTCTGGCAGCCCAGGCCCTCCTGGCCAGCCTTTGCTGGGGGCAGGTGGGAGGGGGTGGGAGTTGGGTGGGGTGGGAAAGAGCTAGGCCTGTGGTCTCTGCCAGGGGAGGAGGCTGCAGCCACCTGGGCGCCAAAACAAGACCAAACTCACTCCCAGAACTGGAACTCCTCTAAGCCCAGAAGTCGAGAGGGGCTTTGCAGCATCGCTGCCAAGGTTCGTCTTTGAGGGGTGGGGACTTTGATGGCGAGGCTGTCTCTCCTTTCCAGCCGCTTTTCCTAAGGCTAGTCTGCAGCTTGACAGGAGCCCTTCAAATTAAGCCAACAGCTTTTTCTCCCGAGCTGAGGTTTTTCCTCTGAACTCTGGAGTTCTGCTCCCTTCCATTGGGCTCCAAGGACCTGTGAGGTTTCTCTGTCTGTCCCCTTTCTCACAAGGAATCTGATTTCCAAAGTCCTCAGCTACTCTGATAAATAACTGACACCAATAAGTGCTCGGAACCTTAAGACCATTTCTTAATTGCATTTCAAGTGGATCTGAGCTGTAGGGATGCCAATTAAAATAAACAGAGGACCCCTGAGTTGAGCCCTGTGAGTGTATGTATGTGTGTGTGTTTGGGGGTGAGCGAGAGGGGAACTCAGTTTGAAAATATTTGAGGGCCCACCATAGGCAGCTTTATTTCACTAGTGGCCATGATAGAGTGATGGAGATAGCTCCCATGCTGGGTTAACACACCCTGTCCTCAAGAATCTCCCAATTGGCAGGCAGAGATGGTCTGCTTGGCACTTGCTACAGACCACCACTGCGAGGACAAATTCTACTTAAGACGTAATTGCTGTTACCAGCCTACAAGTGGGTGGGGTTGAAAGTCCAGAAGCCTTCAGAGAACAAGTGGCTCTGGGGTTGAGCCAATAAAGGGTCAAAGCCATCTAAAGCAGATGCTTTTGAGGTGAAGCCACCAAAGCTGACTGGCACCCAGAGAGAAGGCTGACCAAGGGCTGGTCTGAGGCGGGCAATGGGGATCCTGATGAGCAGAATAAGAGCTTAGCAGCATGATCCCAGTTGATTGCCCATAGCCCTAGGTGACTGCCTCCAGGTTGCCTTCCTGGAAGCAACCACTGTGGCTCCTGCAGTGATACATGTTCTGTTAGGCATCTGGCTGAGCCGTACCTTGAGTAATGTCACAGTGGGAGACCCTGCCCCATTATCCTTTTGCTGGCAAGGATGCTTTGAAGCCTCTCATGTATATTTTAGATCTGGGCAGGCAAGACTTTTTGGCCTGTGTAAGACAGTTCCATCAGTGCCCCATCTTTCCCTACTAAGTTACTTGAGTCAGTTGCAACCGGAGAGAACTTAGGTGTGCACAGAGAAGGGCTGAGGGCATAGGAGCAAATAATTCCAGCTCTAGAATTCTTTTTAGAATTTTACCTGCACTAAAAGCTGTGAGACCTTTGCCAAGCCGCCTAACTCCTTTGTACCTCAGTTTTCTCATGTGTAAAATGGGGCCGGTAATACTAGTTCTTGGCTTGCAGAGCTTGAAGCAGGTGACATAAATCCATGCAAAGCACTTAGCACAGGGTGCTAAAGTCTGGAGTAACAAGCTCAGTAAATATTAGCTCTTCTTAATTTGTGCAGACCAGAAAGAGAGGAGATACAGAATGAAACTTGATGGCAAGAGAGGAAGGCCGTGGAAATAAACACTTATCTTGTTCTCTTTGTCTTTCCTGGAAGGAGAGGCCTCTTGATAGCAAACACCTTCTGCTGTTTTCTGAGCTGACTCAGAAGTTCTCATATCCTGTGGGAAAGGCAACCAAGGATAGTAATATTGGGTGTTGGTGAAGCTTCCATCCACCATAGTGCCACTGACCCTTGCCCCTCAGAGTCATCATGCCTCAAAGGCCCCTAATGCCACAGACACCATTGATAATTAGGAGAAAATGGATTCATGAATGGTTCCATTTTGGAAATTCCTTCATTCGCCTAGATTTGTAGGCTGTCTTACAAAGTCCTTGTGAAAGTATGTGAGTTCAGTATTTTTCTTGGTTTCAGATGGACCACTTTTCTCCCTGCTGGCTTTCCGGGGTACTTGGCAATGGGCCAGAGTGCAATGCCTCTTGTGGATGTTTGAGTAGGACCAGCAGTTGGGACTGTTCTGCCCCCAACTCTTCCCCAGCAGCAGCTCAAGGGACTCTGGCAATGTTTGACTCTCAGCAGACACCCACATATGTGTCTCTGGTCTGAAAGTACAGGCAGGTTATAAAACAACATTTAAAAATTACATATATCAATCTATATCTACTGATTTACTTCAACCATTTGGAGGGCTCATTTGTGCAGGGACAACTGTGCACCTGATCTTGGTAATCTCCTTACCCTGACTAATTTCAGTGTCACAGGATGCTATGCATACCACCCATGAGTTCTGGATTCCTTCCTATCCCCTTAGATTTGGTTTCAGGTAGAAGAGGTAGCCCATGAGTTATGGGCCAAAGTCACATAAAAGCCTCCCATGGACTAGCTCACACACCGCCAGCTCCCCCAACCTCACCTGAGGCTGTGGGCAGAGGCAAGAACAATTCCAGCTGCCCCAGCTACCCTAGCTACCCTGACCTCGGCAGCCTGGAGGATCTAATGCCCCAGCGCCACCAGGGAGCTGCCCAGTTGTTCCGGTGTGGAGAGTTGTTTTCCACTCTCCTTGAATAATGGAGAATAGCTATTGAATAATGAAGAATAGCCACCCCACTCTCCTTGAATAACTATTTCCACTGGTGGAGAGGGGAGACTGAGCGTAAGGAGGCTGTAAAAATCCACATATGGGACTTTTTGGGCGATGGCTCAGGGCTGGGTAAGCTCTTGAATTTCCACCTTGGACATTTTGTGGCCATTTATTAGCAACAAATGAAATTCAACCACTTCTGGAAAAAATAAAGTCATCATCAAATTAAATCCCTAATGCCTAAATTCAGCTGCCTTTAGCTGCTGGTCCTTGTGCCCCAACAGATTTCAGTGCTAGAGGCCCCTCTCCCCTCCCTCCTTTCTGCCAACCTCAGCCTCCCCACCACCACCCGGCAGAAACCTCAGGTACCCCCTTTATGTTCCAGGGTTGCTACAGAGATAGACTGCAGGGCCCGGTGCTTCTTCCCTCATAAGCTTTAGATAATTCTTCCTCTCAGTGGAAAAAATAAAGGGAGAACTCTACTTAGCCAAGCACCTGCAAACCCAGCATGAAGCGGGAGATAGAGTCACATTTAGAGGGTGAACCTGGTAAAACTGGGGTTCCTGAGACCAGAAAGAACAGGAAAGAATTCTCTGTGTAGGACTCATCTGGCTCCCAAGATTTAGCTTTTTGGCCTGAGGCCTGCGGACTAAAGGGCCAAGGGAGTGCACATGAAAGCAAGACAAAGCCCTGCTGCTCCCACTTGGCCCCACCATTTCTCACTGTCCTGTCTGTCAGTCCCTGCTGAGGATCTTGGGGCTTTGGAAAAAAGTCCTAGTCACCGCCAAGAACTGGGTGGCTCTCCGGAGTAGCGAGGGCTGGAAGCTGGATACTCCTCATGTTTCATTTCTTTTGTTGCTTCAGAGACCTTGACCATTCAGGCAATCCCTTGCAGATAAAGGAGAGGAGGCTACCGGACAGCCACATGGATTAAGCTTCAAGAAGCCAGGGAGATCCCGGGAGAGTTATGGATTGGGGACAAGAGATGCAGCAGGAAGGATGCGTGTTGATTTCTGCAGACCTTGGGGGCAATTGAGTGGGGCCAGGATGTTTCCTCACATGCCTGTGTGTGACGCTGTGTACCCACGTATGTGTTGTTTCCACATTCTTGTTTGATTCTAGAAAGGTACATGGATACAACGCGTGTGGGTGTACGAAGTGTATGCATGCTTATGTGTGCTGCCGGATAAACATATGGCTTTGTGTAGTCACACATGATACGTGCATGACGCTTGTACTTAGCTTCCTATAAAAAGTATATGGTAGTTGCTGATGTACCCGTATTTTTTTCGGGGTGCACGTTGGGGCCTCAAAACTCGCCGACTTTGGATTGGGTTTTATGGTGCTGCTAAGCAATCCCGAACTCCTGAGAGTGCAGAATGTTACCTTCCAGCATTGCGGAAGCAAGGCAAAGGAGAGGGGCTGGAGGGCTTCCCAGGAAGCCCCTTCACCTCGCACCCAAGGCCTGTCTTTCCGCCTTGGTAACCTGAGGCAGGCTCCTCCCTCATGCTCAGTGGGCTCAGCTCAGGCTCGAAGTTACGCATCCTGCATCCTGCGAAGGCAGGCAGGACCGGAGCTGGCGCCTGGAACGGCGGGCGCACCCTGCAGTCGAAGGTCGGGCTGCGGCGTTGCACGAAACGCCGTGGGGAAAGAGAAGCTGGGCCTGGGGGAACAGGATTTCCTCACCTCTTGGGCGCGGCCGCTCCGGCCTGGCCACACAAGGCTCCCTTTGTGGAGGGGCCCTGCTCCTGCGCAGACCGAAGTCAGCGAACAATCGCGCAATTTTGCGGCCCGCCGGCCCCGGCTCTGCCGGCCACACCGCGGCGGCCGAAGGCGAGGAAACCGGGTGGCGCTTTTTTATAGTCACAAATATAAAATCGGGGCTTCCCCCCCCTTTTCGCTCTCCTCTTGCCCCAATGCCGATAGAACGCAGATAAATTTATGAAGGGCAAGCTAAGAGAATAATTACAGGGTGAAGGCCGTTAAATTTTATTTCCAGTCCCAAAGGCAAAACCTGCGATTTTATTGCAAACATCTGGAAGGACCAAGGGATGGGCACGCTGCTGGTTTAAAATAAAAATAAAAGATTTTATTTCGTGAAAACAAAAAAACATCATTAAAGACCTTTCACCCCCATGGACTTTTATTTTTAAAAAGTGTGAGGGGGTGCTTGAATAGTTAACGACTTATGCGGGTCCCGCAGCTCTCTGCGACTTAAAGGAGCGACTGGAGGTGCGGCCCGCAAGAGTGGACCCACGCTACCTCCGCGGCGCTGGCCTTGGGCGGGCGTTTCCAGAAATCCACTCCCTCTCCCCATCTCACCACGCCCGAGGGTTCCAGATCAGTTATGCTGTCCCATTTCATGCTCCTGTGTTTTTTGTTTTGTTTTGTATTGTTTTGCTTTGTTTTGCTTTGGGGGCACCAATTTGGGAAAACATGTGAAAAGTGGAATCGTTGACCTCACATTCCCAGAAGATTCGATCACAGCAATAATAAAATCTCAGATCTGTCCAGCCCCACGGTCGATGACCTTGCCTGCTTTGCTTAGTTGTAAAGTTTTAAGAACCCTTTCACTCTGAGGATAAGGAAACTGAGGCATGGGCCATTAATCGACTTGCCGAAGGTCACACAGTTTGGAGGTGAACCAGACCTGGTCACTAGGCTCCAGCTCGCCTTGCAGTCTAGATGGTTTCTTCCCACCCCATAGACGCCTCATAATGTTTTATACCTACCTTGATGGGCGAATTCATTGTAATTCTCTCACCCCCACAGGGTGCCTTACCCACGTGTTTAAGGGCAGCCTAATATGTCCGGCTGGCCAACTATTTTTAACTTTGTTTTCAATTACTCACTCAAAACTCTGAAATCAAAGCCGGCTGGTGGTTCACCTTGGTATTGAGGCATTAGCAGTGGTGTTATTTAAGGTGCTATTCAGTGTGGGGTAATGGGAGGAAAAGACAGGTATGTGGAGGATGTGGGCGCTCCGTTTCTTGGAATGCCTATTTGTGTTTATGACTCTGATCTGTTGTCGCATGACTCTGCTCTTCCTTTGAAAAATCAAAATATCTGGACCTGGTCAGTTGTAGGTGAACAGTTACTGTATTGCCTTTCTCTTTCTAATTTTTCCCCTTCCAAGACTAGGCCTGGACCTCCACCCCTCTGTAAGCCCCTGCAGGTAGCCTGTGAAACCCCAGGGCTCCTCAGACTTCCCAGGTATCCAATAACCTTCGCTTCCTTTTGGGGGACCTGCAGGGGGTAAGTGGGAGGCAGACATCTTGCTTGGTCTTTGTCAATCAGTTTCAGGCCAAAAACAGCCCTGAAATGGAGTCATTTCAGGGTGGATCGCCTGTAGGATGCACTCAGGGCGAAAAGTTGAAGCCTGTAGCAGGGAAACCTAGGTAGTGCCTAGGGAATTAGCCTCATAAACTGCGGACCCCACCCTTACCCATAAAGGTTAAAAGAGAGATAAGCTGGGGTAATGAGGAGAGACTTTTAAAGCCCGTTGATGTAATCAGTAGAAGGAAAATTTGTATCACACTTGCAGATTCTTACATGTAATCTCCCAAAGCCTCCCTCAACTGCACACGAGTGTACACCTAAGCACACATATTAAGCCATCCTGCTTACTCTTTCTCCAGATTTTCCTTCCCATCAGCAGTCACCCACCAAGGAGTGCATGCTTCTGGGAAAAACCTTACATTAACTCCTATAGAGTCACGGGAGTTTTCACTGCTCCTCCCATTTACTTAGAGGAAACCCCTTATTTTCAAGACTGTTAAAAACCATCCTGCTTTCATTTGGGTTCGGTTGGTTTTAGTGGCCTAACCTACAATTCCAGGATATGTGTGTCTGTGGAATGGGGGTGGGAGCAGCCTATGTGCAATCTGAAGGAGGGGTGTGGAAACTCTTCTGGCTGACTCCTGACTCTGCGGAGTGCAAGCTTCGGAGAGGATGCAGATGCATGCTGTTGAAACCATTGCTCATTCCTCTATGTATGCCTCTCAGATGCTGCGTCTTTGGACACACAGGAACAATCGGGCCTCTGGACTTGCAATTATGTTCCTAGATAACCAAAAAGTCCTCCTTTTTTTTTTTTTTTTCCTTTTTTTCTATTTTTGAGAAGACAGGTTCTCACTCTGTCACCGAGTCTGGAGTGTAGTGGTGCAATCTCGGCTCACTTCAGCCTGGACCTCCTGGGCTCAGGTGATCCTCCCCTGTCAGCCTCCTGAGTAGCTGGGACTACAGGCCCACACCACCACACCTGGCTAATTTTTGTATTTTTTGTAGAAATGGGGTTTCTCCATGTTGCCCAGGCTAAGTCCTCCTTTTTGAGAAAATTCCATGGTCTCAGAGAGGGTGAGGCATATGGTGTACCCGCTTCTCAGTCCAAACCAGGCCTGTGAGAAACTGTGAAAGGCAAAAGGCTGCCAGAGAGAGATGGGAGATACCGGCTATGGGGATGAGAAAAGAGCTGGGAAAGTCTAGAGGCCGGCCCCATTGCTACCCCACCAAGCTTGGTAGGGGCAGGCTCCAGCCGCAGGCGGAAAACGCCGGGCGACACCAGAGTTGGGAGGTGAGAGAGAGGCCCCAGCCGCTGGGGAAGGAAATTGCGGGTTCCCGTCTGCCTTGTCTCCAGCTTCTCTGCTGAAGCCCGGTAGCAGTGAATGCGCGCTGACTTTCAGCGACGACTCCTGGAAGCAACGCCAAATGCTGACTGAAGTGGGAGATCCTGCGCCTCTCCATCCGGGCTCCCCAAGTCCTCTGGGCAGAGCTGCAGGAGGCGGGGACCAGTACCCTGCTTCCAGCTCCCCAGAGTTCATGTTCGTGCTCCCTGGGGACCTCCAAGCCTGAGACACAGGCTCCGGGGAGGTCAGGCTTGGCTGAATCACACTCATCCGGTGGCTTTTCCATTGTTCTTTTTGCATTCGCCTGGGATGCTAGCTTCCTGACATCCTGGTTGGATCCTAATTTGGGGCGGGGGTGAAGGAAGGGGGCAAAAGTAGCCTCTTGTCCAAAGAGGCCCAAGGTGAATTCACAACACTGTGGTTGCCTTCAGCACCAGAACACTTCCAACTGTAATAATAAAGACTAGATTTCCCTGGGCCCCTCCGCAGTCCGGCAGAGAATTCGGCGTTTCAGAGGCCTGACAAGTCATCTTTTCTTGCCGCAAGGTGGGAGAGCTGATTCTCCCGGGCCTCGCGAAAACAACAACAAGAAATCTTAACAGGCTGTGGGCCCCCTAACCTAAACTTTCAGGTTTGGAGACTTCTAAGGGCCTGGCTGTCGTCACGACTGGCCTGCTTGGCCTCTCAGTCTGTCCCCCGCCCCCGGGACCCAGCTCTTTCCGGCTTCTTTGCAAAAGGATAGAACCGTCTCGACCAGGGCACTAGGACTGGAAGATCGGGCTGTGTCTAGGCCGCTGTCCGCGAAATCCGAGACGTTTTTTCAGCTTGGCTAGGACCGACTTCGCTGCCGGTTTGAGCTTTCTCTGCACTCGGGGGTCTCCTGCCGTCCTCGACCGGTGGCGTAACTTGGGAAGAGGTGTGGGAATTAAGAATGGCCAGGAGCGTTGGATTTTTTAATTCCTTAGAAATCCATGTTGAATGCAGTCCTTAGAGATCGCAAAAGGCAGGGGGCGGCCAGGGGGGAGATCAGCTGGCCGGGAAAGCCATGGTCTTGAGGTAACGGGATTTGCAGGGAATTTTGAAAAAGCTCCTTCTCTTCTGTTAAAGTTCCTAGCTGTTCTTGCCTGTCACCTCTCCATAGGTTCTCTGCAACAAGAGCCCGGAACAGGCGAAGCGCAGCCCAGCGTTCGGGCCGTAGGGAAAGAGAGTATTTGCGGCGTGAGGGGGCCCAGCTGGAATACGCCTGAGGAGCTCGCCCTAAACCCCGCGCTCCGCCGCCCGCCCCTTGCTCTCAAGGCGCCTGTGTCTCCTTCTCCACCAGGTAGAGCTGGAAGGAGGAAGCGGTCTTTGAATTTTCAGTTACAAGACCCTGGTTAGTAACAGGGCTTTCTGTTTGCTTGTTTGTTTGTTTCCTTTTGCCTTACCCAGATTTGCTTAGAAAACGTTCAGTAGGAACATTAAAACCTGTGTGGCGAAATCCAGGAGGAACCAGAATATTCTAAAGCACCTAGGGGCTGACGCGAAATTATCAGAATCGTTTTCTGGCATTTTGGACAGGTTAACATTTTGTCAGAGCCCCAAAATTCCAGATCTGCAACTAAAGTGACTCTGGACTTGCAGCGTCTATGAGACCAGCAGATCTGGAAGAAAAACGTATGGATTTGGGATTTGCAGGAGTTTGTAAAGGCGCAGATCAGACCTCAACTTTCAACTGTCCTACCTCCCTCTTGGAGTAACCCATGGGGAAACCGGGAAGCCAGGGGTTAAAGTCGGCCCAGGAGCATCCAGGGGACGACTGGCGCTGCGCTTTGGCCCGGGCCTCAGTCTCTCCCTTCCTCTCATTGGTTCGCGCTCTCGGAGTTTCTCTTGTTCCCTCCTCGCTATTGGTTGGGGGCTGGCTTTTTTCCCCCTCAGTCTTTTTCTTCCTCCCCCTCCCTCTCCCTCACCCCTCGGACAGGAGCGCACCGCCTGCCCCCTGTTCCTCGGGAAGGGAGGAATTTAGCGGAAAAAAAAGTTTCCCAGAAGTTTGGATCACAGGGAGGACGGGAAGGCAGAGAGGAAGAGAGAGAGAGGGGGAGGAGAGAAAAAGAGAGGGAGGGGAGAGAGAGAGAGAGAGAGAGAGGAGAGAGAATAATAATAATAACAAAAACAAGATGAAGTTCAGTGGACACAGTCTGTGAGCGCCTGCCCCGGTGGGTGGGAAGCAGGACTCGGGCGCTCATGCAGCGAGCGGGCGGCGCTCGGGGCGCTAGTTCCTAGCAGCTGGGCCAGCGTAGGGGCGCAGGTCGGATCCGGCAGAGGAGGGCGGAGGAGGACGCAGGGGGAGGGTGGAGAGACCCGCGAGCCGCAGTCTCAGCCTCGTCCGACGCGCCTCCGCCTCTCCCGGGCCGGGCCCGGTGGGCGCTCAGAGCTTGAGGGCGCCGGCTGCTCCCTCGGTAGCGGGGGCAAGCGGAGGCAGGGGTGTGGGCGGCTAAAATGAGTGAAAGGAGAAGATCTGCAGTCGCCCTGAGCTCGCGAGCACATGCCTTCTCCGTTGAAGCCTTGATCGGCTCAAATAAAAAACGGAAACTGCGAGACTGGGAGGAGAAGGGGCTGGACCTGTCTATGGAGGCGCTGAGCCCCGCGGGCCCACTCGGAGACACGGAGGACGCGGCGGCACACGGCCTGGAGCCTCACCCGGGTGAGTGCGTCGCAGCCGACCGCGGGAGGCGGGCGGAGAGGGGACGCCGAAGGGCCAGTCGCCGGTCGCGGGTGAGGAGCTAGGCCCTGCCATTGACGCCCTGCCTTGCCCCAACATAGGTTTCTGTTTCTTCGCGCAAATGCCCTGAGCCTCCCTAAATTCACCGGAACCAATTTTTGGGGCTGGACTGAGCCTTGCATTTTCGTCGCCAGCCTAAGCAAGGAGTCCTGTTTGTTTGCATTTCTTTTTCTTTTGGGTGGAGAGCGCAGCTTTCTGGGTGTCCGTGGATGAAGGGCTGCCGGTCCCTGGGATTGGGAGGGGCGCGGGCCGAAGGCAACGGCGGGAGCCGAGATCTAGGACTCGCTTCTGAGAACTCGGGAGGACTGGCGCGGCGTTCTCCAATCCAATACCTCAGTCTTCGGGGAATGACCAGTTGTCTCATTTAGCCTTCAACCTCGTCCTTGCCTTTCTCCCACCAACTTTTCGATGGTGGAACATAATTATATTTCTACTCCTTTGGCGTTTACGGAAACAAGAATGGATGTTAGACCCCTTACTCCTTGGGTCACTCTTCAGGGCCCACATCTCTGTGTATTTAGGGTGTGGGTACGATTGATTTGTGTCTCAGATCCTACAGTAACCCATGTATATTATGTGCACGGAACATGTAAAAAGCAGGGGGGATGTCATGTCTGTATTTTAACAGAACCCTAGGAGGGGAGAAGCCAACTTTAACGTTTTGTGTTAAGTGCCAAGATTTCAACTGTGCAAAAACAGCCCGGGGGAACAGCTGTTGTCGGAAGAATCTTGAGTGTGCGCGCGCGCACATACAACGCTCGCAACTTGGTTTAGCGGTTTCAGAAGCTTTCCAGCCCGGACTTCTAAAACCATGCTGGAAGGTGCTCCTGCTGAACAGCCAGAGCTGGGGAGTAGACCCCGCTTCACACGCTGACAAGCCCGGGGAGGGGGCAGCGGCCTGCACTGGGATAGAGACGGTCTGGGGCTCAGGAGCTTGGGGATCTCAGCCACAAAGCTGTCCAACTCAGAGGAGGGACAGCTGTCGCTTACATTTTCTCTTTAGGCAGTGACAGTTCAATTTCCATGCTCCCGAGGCTAATAATAATGCGATTAGCGGGTGACCTGCAGAGATAGAGTTTTATGAATTCTCCGTGTTTTTGTGGCCCGTTACGGTATTTGAGTTTAGTGCTGGGGAATTATTTTTATTAGTCGATGAAAAGAAAATTAAAAGGAGATTTATTTCGACCGTCCAAGCCTTTTCCTGTATTTGAATGCAAGTGCTTGTCCACGCGGACCCCTGCGTGGGCATTCCAGAAAGGCACCCAGGGCTACTGTGTGTTTCCCTTCGCTGGCCAGACCCTATTTCCTCAGCTCATTTATCTATTGTCAAAATCTCGCGTGGGCCTTCATACAGTTAGAAGTTCTTGCAGGGGTTATGACGCCTTAGAATTTGTAAGGTTCTTTTATTTTCCCCACGGCGGAAAAAACAGAAGTTGTTTAGCTGCGCGTGGCAGACGTCCTGTCCCGGGGAAGTTTTCTCTTGGGAGGCCCCAGATCGCACGGAGCCCGTCTAGGGCCTTATGTTCAAATGGGTAATACATGGGGTCATAATTAGAGATTCAGATCAGAGTTTGCTCTTTCTGCCGTTCTCCTTAGCCTGAGCTCCATTCAGGAGGCAGAAGAGAGAAAACTTAGGGAATGAGGCAAAAAGAAACCATTCCAGAGCGTGAACCTGGGGAGCTAAGCTCATGAATTCTATTTACTCGCTCCCGCGGGATGGGGGTGGGGTGGAAGATCTAACAGAACTAACTTTATGTAACAGAGTTCGGTTGGTCATTTCCCATTACGTTATCATTTTTTAAAAAAGAAAAAGATGGGTATTTGGATTAGAGAAAACGAAATATATTTGTGGGGCAAGTGTCTAGGAGGAAGAAGCTGAAAGCCCAGCACCCTCTGGCTTTCTGCGGAGCTGGGCTACAGGCCGGGCCTAGCCTTTTAGTGGGCCGGGGGAATCCTTAAGTTGGAGCCCCCGCAATGGCTAAGCCTTTCTTAACGATTTGCTGATAGGATGAGAAAAGATCTTTTAGTAAAAAGGGCGCCGTGGCGTGGAGACGCGGCGGTCCAGGGAGCAGAAGAGGTGGAGCTGTCGGCTCCAGACTCAGGCGGTAGCGAAAGGCGCGACCAGGGCTGGGGGTGTTTTTAGGCCTTTCTTTTTCTGTAATACAGCACCCTAACGAACACACACAGGGACACATTTAAAGATGTGTGTATGGAGGAGTAATGCAGGCGACCCTATTGTGCCCAGGGCAGCGTCTCTTCCCGGGTGAGCCTCATTGTTTTAACTCTTTTGTCCTTAGGGCCCAGAAGCCGCTGCGTGGTTCTCCCGCCCTAGGCCGATAACAAACCGGGAATAGGAAAAAAACAAAAAATTGTTTTGCGGGAAGAATGAAACACACACACACACACAAACACACACGCACACGTTCATGCCTAGAGTATTCTCACCATCTCTCATAGCACCGTTTTTTAGTCCGCTCTGCCGGAGCTTCAAAATTCCGCGATCTTTAGACAACTCTAGGGTCAGATTTTAATGTTTAACTTTCATTCAAAGACGAGGCCTTTTGCTTTTTCACAGCCCATTTTTCTTTCCGCGTCTGGACAGAGCTGGCTTTAGTTGGCGCCCGAGCACCCGCAGCTTGGGGCACCAACCTGCAGCAACGGGGGATCAGTCCGGCCTGCGCGTTGTAGGCACTCACTCCACAGAGGAAACTATGTATTTCGAAAGCGTTTCAAAAATTCCACCGAGCCTGGTGGCCCCGAAAAACCCCAAGGCCCGCCAGACTTTGGAGAAGGGTCTGTGAGGTACCCTCACTGTCATACCTACGCCGGCACTCTCAGTCTTTTGGAGAAGCTACTAGAGAAGTGCCTCAAGACCAGCCTCGGAGGAGCCTGGCTCTCGAGCCTGCTCTCCCCCGCCCTCTCCCAGAGCAACAGAGGAACTTTCGAGCTAGGATCGGCTGGAACAGCTGCTCCGGCTGCGGCCTTGCAAGTATATTGCTGCGGCCTTGCAAGTATATTTCAGGCGCTCGGCGGCGCCATCTGCGCTCGGACCTCAGCCCCTGCTCCACCCGGAGTCCTCAGCTAGGGCTTGGGCCTTTCCCGCCAAAATCTTCTGCTAAGTGCTGCCGAAGCCGGGTCTCCCGCGGAGCGAAATAATGTAAACCTTCTGTGGAGGGATTTCCTCCTCCAGAAACTTCGGGCCGGGCCACACAGCAGCTGCGTTCCAGAGGCCTGGGGATGTGGTGGCGCGCGCGGGTGGGCACCTAGACAGGCACATCCAAGGACACGCAGGCAGATCGACACTCCGCGTACACGTGTACACGTGGCAGGTCTCGCATTCTCGCACGCACCCGTCAGCTCAACTGCTAGTGAAATGAGATAGGAAAAGCCCTTGCAGAAAGCGCGGCCGCCCCAGGGCACTTTCTTCTTTGGAGTTATCTAGATCAAGTGGTCACATGAATTAATCTGCCAGTTTATGGTTTGTTTGCTCAAAATAAAACTCAGAGATTTTAATTCTGACATCACCTCTCTACCAACCTCCAACCCCCAATAGGGTAACAGGGTGAACACGGAGGAAGTGACTCTTTACTGACGTTTAAGTAACGAATAAAAAGTGATGAGTTCAAGCCAGCGGGGGAGAATGTGTTTGTGTTTGCGCGGGGCAAGCGCCAGCCAGGGCACAGGCCGGAGCTCAGACCGCAGGGACAGGGTGTTCGGCGAACGCGTAGAGTGAGATGCCGGAGGGTCTGCTGGGGTTGAGTCCAGGGACAAGGAACCTTGGTTTGTCTCTGCCGTGCACGCCCCTGCACTGGTGCTGGCCTGGAGGTGCCTGGCTCCGAGGAGTCAAGGGTGAGGCCTGGTGGACTTACGCAAGGTACTCGCTTGTCAGGTTAAAACGGTCTTCCACGGAGGTCACCCTTTTGGTAAGTGACCTTGTGTGAAGGGAAGCGAGAGGGATCTAAGGCCCGAGTTTGTCATGGGCCAGTGAGGATTATTGTTCGCTGAGGGGATGACCGCCAAGGGCCTTTTTCTGCGCACTGATCGGATCTTACTAAATTAGACGCCCTTTGGGTGCGCGGGGCTGGGTTCCCGGGCAGCGGGGATGGTTATGAAGACATTCTATGTAAAACTCCGGCCCCGGCGCGGTGGCACAATAGAAACCAGTAGGCAAAGGGAAGTAATTGTAACCTGTTCCCACCCAAAGAAATGACCACAGCAAACTGCACTAGGGCAATGGGAAGTTCAGAGAATGGGAAAACCCAGATGTAGAGTTTGGACTGTGATAGGGAGGAAGGTAAAATGTGCTATGGTTTGCATCTCCAAAGGTCCCTTCCCACCCTAGGTTCCCGCGCTTCAGAAGCCAGTAATGATAGACCCAGGGATCACAAGGGGGTGTGCGGGTCTCTCCTTTTGCTGCCACGAAGTGCAGGGCGACCCCTCACCCGCCTCTGGCGTCCACCTCTGCACCTCAGAGACCCGCTGGGGAAGCACAAACCTCATGGGCAGCGAAGGCTTTCCTAGGCAACTTCACACACAGTCTACCGCCGCTGCAATTCTAAATTCAGATCTACTCCCAACTCAACGTTATTTCTTGCTGAGCACTATATTTGGGCTCTGAGCTTGCCACTTTGGGTATCTTGATTTGTATAGGTGAAACTCCCAGAAGGAAGATTTCATGGGGGCAACCTTCATGCAGGGAGGAAGGGAGAATTAAATTTCTTAAACAGGAGTTCAGACTGAAATGATGCTGACACAAATCGTCTGCCATTTTTCTGACACCTCCCATACCAATGACTTCAAATGGTTAAAAATCTTTTAATTATGAAAGAAAATTTGTTTAAAATCTTTTAATATAGACAGCATGTGAGGAGTGAAGAATGGCATGCAATGCCTAAACTGGGGACCAAAACTAAAAATACTGGGTATTGTGTTTTGTGTTCCCCATTTATCTGTATAATGTGCTTCATGAGTGTAAACATGGAAACGAGTTCCTCGTCATTAACCCTCATATTAGGCCACAAGGAGAAAGGGACAACTACATTTTGGCTTAGAAGGCCTAAACATTGTGTTCATCCAGTCCTCTCTTAGGGCATGCAATGCTATTATTGAGTGAAATATTTCCGGTCCATCACAATCGTTCTATTGCCAAAAAAATTATAAGATGAGAGGATCGCTTTGAGATCCTGATTATAGACTCTGGTAGAACTTTATTTCTCACACCCGGGAGAAAAACAATTACCTCTTAAATCTGTGAATTCCTTCTCAGGGTGGCTATAATTTTTTCTTTGTTTTTTGTTTTTTAAAGCAAGGCCGAACTGTACAAATTCCACAGGGATAAAGGGCAGATTGGCATGCTATATACCTTTCTCCTTTCTGGAAACAGGACTCCATTCGATTATTATTCTGGGAGTGCAGCTGGTTATTGCTTTCTTACTCTCAAAAGATAAAGTTGTTCAATAGGAGAAAATACTTAAATGATTTTCCCATCTGAGCTTTATGTTTTGACCTTTTGAGATACTTTTCACAAAAGGGAAAACTAAGGAACTGGTGGAATGTGGAATCTCTTTTCCTTACTCTTTCTCATCCGTGTAGTTTATTTTTGCTTTGCTTTTCCTGGTTTCTAGTAAGTCTGGAATTTTATATGTGCATGACTGACATACTCAGGGGTCTGCACTGGGAACAGCAATTAGCAAATTTATAAATTAGGGTCCTGTTTACACTTCTTTGGGGGAAGGATAATCATTAGTTAATTTAAGTGAGGCCCTTGCTCTAAGTGTCAGAGGTGGAAAATATGATTTAGTAGGGAGGACCCGCTGTGAAATGGGAAAAGGGGAATTCAAGAAACTGGTGAGGACCAATCAACATTTCTTCAGTGCCACTAATGGCTTCACTTTTAGGCAGGATATCTTGCTGACTGCAAAACTGATGATGAGCTTTTGATACCAGAAGTGAAAACAGGCCTTGCAAATGACTACTTTTCATTTTATACTTTTAATATTAGCTAGTGTTTTATTTATTTTATAGATAAGTGTATAAAACATATGTTCACAAATGTATGTGCTTATACACAAACTTATGTGTGAACACCATAATATCACCAGAACACTATATCTACATCAAAATATCAGTTCTGAATTGGATGTAGACAAAATTTGGGACAAGAAACTGCCATTGTGTGTGTGTGTGTGTGTGTGTGTGTGTGTGTGTGTAGCTAGTTTAACAAATTGGGAATGTATAAAATTTGGGAGGCCAAAAGTTTTGTCACCCCTAGGTATCATGGGACGATTCTAAAGCATCCCAGTTTTGAAACTTCCAGGTAATGGGCATTTTCATTTAACTTGTAAATAAACTGATGACTGTGACCAAAGTCAGAAGTACCAGTCAAGGCCAGGCTCATGCCTGTAACCCCAGCACTTTGGGAGGCCGAGGCGGGGGGCGGGGATCACGAGGTCAGGAGTTCAAGACCAGCCTGGCCAAGATGGTGAAACCCCATCTCTACTAAAAATACAAATTTTAGCCAGGTGTGGTGGTGCGGGCCTGTAATCCCAGCTACTTGGGAGGCTGAGGCAGGAGAATCGCTTGAACCAGGGAGGCGGAGGTTGCAATGAGCCGAGATAGTGCCACTGCACTCCAACCTGGGTGACAGAGCAAGACTCCGTCTCAAAAAAGAAGGAAAAAAAAAAGCACCAGTCAAAATACCAGAAATTGAGACTGTACAGATGCTATTTAAAAGAACAGGAGGAGTGGAAACTTTTCCAACTAAATTTGGCATTTAATTTTGTAATTTGTATTAATTTTGGATGGGCAGAATGCTACTTTTTATTCTAAAAAGTGGTTTCATGTTCTTCCATGTAGAAAGTAAACGGAATAACTAAGATAAATCTTAATAATAAAAATGGCTTATAGAAATAACTAGAGAAACATCGTGATTTGGGGAAATTAATTTAAGAACGTAAGAAATGCATGTAAAAACGTCCTCTTATTTGTCTTCTTACATTTTCTACAATATAGTTGCCAAGGCTCAAATGAGCTGACAGTTTCCAAAATGTTGCCATACACTTTAGAGGATTAAAAAACAAAAACACAAACCACCCACTACAGATGACGAGTAGAGTTCCCTTGGAAAGGGAACATTAGAGAGGTCATTATTATAGACCTAGCCCGGAGCCTTGGAGTTTTTTTAGCTTTTAGTTGTCAACTGGATGAACCGATTTTCCGAATCCCCTCACCGCTGCGTTCTCTTTACTATCCCACAGCTGGGAGCGTGTAGTTTAAACTCCGGATAGGGTCCGGGAAGCAGTTAACCCCCTTACTTGCCACTCACTTCCCCTCCCCCAATTTTCCTCCACGCACGATGAAAACGTCCAATTCTTCCCCCTCTCCAAGAATTTCAGATCCCGTTTCGCCGCAGAAGGAACTGGGATTGCATCTCTTCTCTTCAACCCATCTCTGGAAAAACAGCGCAGTTTCGGTGACCTTCAGAAGTCAGAATTAGGCCGTGGCCGCGTCTGCCCGCCCTCGGCCCCTCGGCCCCTCGGCCCGGCCTTGGAGGCGCCGCGGGGCCGGAACGGCGAACGGGTCAGGCGCGGCTTGGCTGCGAGGCCTCGGTGTGCCAGCCCGAGTTCCTGTTCTCGCGCCTGGGGCTCCGCGCTGGCCCCACCGCCTCGCCTCGCCTCGCCGCATCGCGCCGCGTGCGCCCGGGGTTATCGCGGGGCCTTGGAAACCCGGGACCCTGGAAACCCGGGACCCGGAACCCTGAGGGATGGCGGCTGTTCTTAGCTCTAATTACATCCTGGAGAAATGTGGGGACCCTGGGCTAACCGGGAAGGCCCTGGTGAAAGACACCCCCCAAAAAACAGAACAGACCAAAACAAAACAAAAACAAATCAGGAACCCGCCAACGACAAACCAGAAATGCAAATGGAACCCAAGGGTCTCACACCTCGCGCCCTGAGGGGAGTTCGAGCTTTTGCTTTCATCAGGCAGAACAAATTTCCGAGGAATCAAACTGACTTCAAACATTAGCAATTAGAAACCAAGAATCCGCTGGCTTGAAGAACTTTTAATCCCTAACCATTTCCAAATGGGTAAATCTAGGGTCAGTATATATCGTAGCTAGTCTGTTAAAAAGGAAAGTCATCCTGTGGGATCGTGACGTGGAGGATCCCTGGGTGCCTAAGAGGCAGGGACGCTGACGCCCAGAAAGCGGGCATTGCCCACCGAGACAAAGAAAAGCAAATGATTGTCCTTCCCGCTGCTCTTGGGGATTAAAAAACAATGAACGAATTCTTTTATTAAAAAAAAAGAAAGAAAAAGAAACCAACCAAGTGTAAAAGCAGAGTGAGAAGTGACTACTAGTAGCTGAAATAACTGCGTTCTTTTAAGAACCCGGCGGGAATGGCTTCCCTTTGGAGGGAAGTCCTGTCCCGATGCATCCTTGCTCCAAAGCTTTAATCTCTCCAGGATACAGGGCTCCGAATTGTAAACCTAGGGGCTAGGTGCCTCGGGTGGTTTAGTTCTTCCACTCTTGCTCCTGAAAAATAAATAACTGATTTTCACAGTGGGGAGGGGCAAACATTTGAGCCAACAAGAGATTGTGAACACAGCAGTGCCTTCCCTGGGTTCAGAAATGTTTTCTCAATTTAGAAGGTTAATTAATAATTTGATATTTTTTGGCATCAAAGGGTGGGAGGGGCTATACGTACTATTTAGAAAGAAGGATTTAGTTAAAAAATTAAAGGTATAAACAAACTTGCAAAGGAATACTGAATTGTAAAATATATCAGAAACTTTACTTACTTATGTGGATATATATGTCTTCACTCTCCTGCAAAGCTTTCAACACAGACCTTCATGTTCTGTATTATATCCATATTTTTATGGTAGAAAGAGGGCTGAAGGAGCTTAAGTTAGGAGTCCTAGATTCTAGTGCTAGCTTTGAAATTGATGTTGGAACCAGGGATATTTGTTTTAAAACCAGACATATTAATGTTGAAAAAAAGTTTCAAAATTGTTTTATAGCCACTGATGAGGCCTCAGTGCCTCATTTGTGAAGTGAGGGAGACAAGGCTCAAATGACTTCTGAGGCCCCTTTAGCTACGAGATTCTGTGATCCTAACTTTGGTTTTGCTTTTTGAAATATTAACATTTTCTCCTAAAGTACTTTGGTCATCACTTGACCCATCCTTACTTTGTTGGAACGAAGGAATTTTACTGCAGTTGTAGAAATTAACAGCAATAGCAACACAAGACCAAAAAATAAAAATAAAAGAGAGAGATTTTTAGAGCTAGAATTAAAAGCTTTGGTAAAGTTCTTGAAAAAGTTTTTATATTAATATCACGTGTTCAACAGTCCTGGATCAGTGATTTCCAGTCCTTGTGTATGATGTAACCTATTGTTGCTTGCGTGAACGCTGTTGAAAGGGTTCTACGGCATTAGCGAATTTAAAGGAAATGTAAGTTATTTATGCTTTGAACATTTTCTGTGCCATTCCCAGAAATAACTGGAAAAACTCTGGATTTGAAAAATGAGGGTTGAAAAAAGCAACTTCATCACTGGTGAGTTGAATTGGTGGGCTAATAAAAATCAGTTGCCCCCTCATTACTATTTGAGTCTGATGGAAAGCACTAGTAACTATTTTCCATGTCTAGTCTGCTTAAGCCGAGATCTTGATCTGGCAGAGATGTGAGAATGCTAAAAGGATGACTTAGTAACAGGCAAAACGCTTGTCAACAAGATAGATCAGAAGACAGCTTAGCATTCAAGGCCTCTATTCATAGCTGCTGAACTTGAGGGCAGGGTCAGATGCAAAACTGTGCCCAGCATACACCTAGGAGGGTTTCTAGTGTTTCTATCTGTAGGACTTTATTTCCTTACAGAGTTCTGCAGGTGGGTTCAAACTCCAGTGATGGCTCCCCACCGTCATCTGATGTCCACATTCTGCACAGCCCCTGTGCAGACTTCTGCAATCATGGAACCTGTGGATTTACTAGTTGTCCTCTGTCGCTACTACCCTATAAACTACTGTAGGCCAATGACCTTGTCCTCATTGTTTTTGTATCTCCAGAACCTAGGACAAGTGGCTGTTACATAGGAAGCACTTAATAAATAACAAAACTATAATAATGATAACACGATAAGAACAACGATAAGAAACAGCAACATTTATTAAATAGGCACTCTGTGCCAGCCCCTGTGCTATATATATATATGTGCATATATATGTGTATATAACAATTATATGTATATCAAAACACTCACAAAATACTCTATCTTATTATCATTTCTATTTGGTGCAATGAATGAATGAATTATACAGTGTAGTGGTTAAGAGCTCAGATTCTTGGGGTCAGACTTCATGTGTCTGAGCCCTGGTTTTAACACTTGCTAGTTGTATGACCTTGGGCAAGTTAGTTAATCACCCTCAACCCTAGTTTCTGCATCTATGAAATTGGAATAATAAATGTGTTCACTAAAGGATTACTTGAGAATTACATGAGATAGTTCACATACAGGAACAAAAGATTTAGCACAAAGCCTATTATTCCTGTCAATTGAATTGACAGCGATTACTCACCTTAGTGAGCAGCTTGGATAAGAAATTGTTTGCAAATTATAATCTATAGCAGCCATTGCCCCTCTCCCCCATTCTTTTGCTTTAAATGGAATGTGTGGGACTTGAAGTGGAATCCCCACTTTGTTTATAGCCCGCAGTTAGAAACAGTACAGAATTTGAGTACCTGTGGCTAATAAAGACGAAAGGAATTTTGACAGCTCTTGCTATTGAATGTTCCACTGAGGCAAAATGCCAACCTGAGTGAGCATCTGGGGAAGGGGTGGGGAGTAGCTGGCTGGCATACAGTAGGAAGAGGGGGTGAGCAGAAGCCGGGCTGAGGAGACTCAGCCTTACCAACTTCCCCAGGAGCTCAGCTCTGAGAAGACAGGAGGGCCTTTCTGAATGCAGGGAAGTGGAATAATGCAAGCATGTTTCTCTTTGGTTAGTTTTTGATATTTCTTCCCGGAGCTCAGAAATCCCCAAAAAACCAGACTTTACCGGATAGGAAATAGAAGGATTCATTCTTTGTCTGTAAAGCCATATTCCAATGTACCCCCAGGATTCTGGGAAAAATCAGCCAGTTGCCCCAGTTAGTTGAAGCTGCAGTAGAGGATTAGTGGGTGTTGCATGGCTGAATTAAAACAACAACAACAACAAGAATAAAAGAAGAAAGAGACTAAATTAAAAGAAAACCTATAACTGAGCTGAATGTCGGGGAGGAGGAATCTGGGAAGTTTTTTTTTAGAGGAACAACAGAAACCCCAGCTCTGTTTTGCCATGTTTACGGCTGGACAACCCACATTTGGCAGCCCTGGTTTGCCCAGTTTTCTTCCTTCTGTAAAACAGAAGCCTGGATTTGATCATTTACTACTTTTTTAAAATTTTTGTTTCACCCTAGACTTTGTTTATATTATTTCCTGGCAACAGAGGGAGAAGGTGGCTTCCCTAGGAAAGAGGAACAGAGAAGAGATCCTTTCCTCAGCCTCCTTCAAGAAGCCCAGGGCCCTTAAGAAGAAGTGCTGAGGTCCTGACCATCCAGAGGAAAAGGGAGCTGCACTTTCCTTCTGGAAGCCAGGTCTCAGTGTTCAAATTAGACTCTGCCCTATGTTTTATCTCCAAGACAGATGTTACTATACTTCTCCAATTTTCCAAGCATTGTCTTTGCTCAGTGTCCACAACTCTAACCAGCAGTAGCTTTCATGGATTGAGAGCACACTCTGTACCAGGTACTGTGTGGATGGTTTTATTCACATTCTCTCATTGCATCTACCCAATAGGCCTTGAGGAAGGTAATTCTTTCCCCATTTTACCAATGAGGAAATTGAGGCTTAACAGATTAAATAGCTCACCCACAGTTGCACAGTTCCAGTATACTTTAAGTGACCCAGCCAGAATTTAAACTCAGCCCTGCGTGGCACCAGAATAATATCCTTAACCACTAGATTATATTGCCTGCCCTGTAGATGATGCTTAAGAGCTCTAGGGAGAATGTTGAACCTTTGTAGGTGGAAATTTATGTTTGCTGCTCACGTTGTCACCAAAACAGAAATTGTTAAATTGTGAATGAGAGAGAGGTTATTTATAGTTTCCAGGTCTTTTCCTTCCTTGCTTGTCATTCTTAGTTCCTCTGCTCCTAAGGTGACTTTTCCATACCTGCTAGTAAAGGTCTTTTTGTGGCAGTGATATAGGGTTGTTTTCTAAGCCATGGTCTTTGGAATGGCACACGTGCAGCCTTCCCGACATGACCTGCGTTTCTTTGACTTTAATGCACAAAAATCTCAGTGTCTGAAGTGTAGTGACTACATATTGAATTTTATCTAAAACCTCTGCATCCTAAATCTCCTCATGCAGTGAAATTCGGGGGAAAACTTTAACTGTTCTGTTTTACCCATTCCCTTCTCCATTCACAATGGGATGGATGGAATCTCATTGGTAATTGATTCAAAATGGAACAGCTTAGAAACATATCAGTTGCAATGACGGGCAATTCGTGCATTTCTAAGTACTGTTGACTTTTTTCAAACTCAGTAATCACAGCTGAAATCCCTTTGCCATGGATTGAATTTACAAAGGAAGAGATTCTGATTTCCACAGTGGCTTCTTTTTAATGCCCTAGGATTAGGAAACTGCCTTGAGGACCCACGGCAAGTACACCCGCTGTTAGGGTAGAGGTTTTAACTTTAACCTCTGAGTGACTGCTCTGATTCATTTATTTTGTAACAACTCTATTTAGAGTAGCCTTGTTTGGTATGGTAGCAGTTATTTGCAGAAGTCTCTCTTCTCAATGAACACTTACACCCTGTGCTCCATTACTCTTCTAATGCTGTAAGTGGATGAGATGCCAGCAGTGAGTTTCAGAGAACTTAACAGCAGGTTTCATGCTTTTCTGGCACACCTGTTCACTGTCTTTCCATTACTTTTTCTCCACTCCAAGTAACCTTCCTCTCTTAGGAAGTCTGATGTCTCCAACAGGGATTTGAAGAAAATCCAGCCCCCTGCCCCTGTTTTGGTGCGTGGATTTTAGCATTAATGTGTTTCTTGGCTGTTTAGTTGTACAGTCTGTCATATTCCTGTCTGTTGTGCCCAGTGATTAAAAAAATGGCTTTCAGAAGCAAAAAAGAGAAAGATGTAAAATCCATCTCTGTTTTAAAGCTTTGCTTTCTCCTGTTGCCAGCACCACTCTATGCAGGCAACTGATTGATGGGATTTGATACGCTCTTGCAGCAATAGAAGCATATGAATCTCTGGGTCCATTTCCTTTCCTAAGGAACCCATAGAGAGCCAAACTCTTGAAATATAGAATGTGGCAGAGGATGAGATGAACACTGCAATCTTGGGTGATTTACTGGATCTCATCCATCAGATCTATCACATTAGAAATGTAGATTCTGCAAGGTATGCAACCAGCCAGGCCTTGGTCATTTCATTTTCCCTGCAGTGTTCAGAGCACTAGTTGCATGACCAACATTAATCCTGGGAACATTAGATCCCATCTGGTACAACTGTGCGTTACCCAGATTAGACTGTGACAACACAGAGATTTAAGGCATCTCTGTGATATTCTGACTGGGTGGTAGGTACTGTAGGAGGTGCTTCCTGAAGACACAGGCCAATTTGATGGCTCTAGGGGTGAGCAGAGAGTAAACCAAGCCTCAGCCAGTGTGTGTGCGTGTGTGTGTGTGTATGTGTGTAGGGGAGTGTTGGGGGCGGTGCTGAGGGGTGTTATGGAGAACTGGGTGTAACAGTTCCCTAGCCTGCGTGGGTGAATTGGTTCCGGATGTTAACATTTTTTTCTTTGGGGCTTGACTACATTCTTCTTTTTCTTTGCCAGTCTATTTTCCTGCCCAAATTCTTAGGCTTCCACAGCTGTGTGGCTCATTGCTGGCCAGTGCTGAGAATGAAAAATCTGCTTTATTATAAGGGCAGTTTTTGGGCATGTGTATAGGTTTAGACTTTTGAGAGGTTTTTATTCAGCGCCTTTTCTGAATTCTGAGGGCTTTTTTTTTTTGCCCATAATCTTGTCAGCTGAGTACTAACCCTGTAGTGTATTGGATGGCCTCTGTTGGGAGATGAGCATGAGTGTGAGTATGAAAGCATGAAAGCAGACAGCCTTCATATACTAGAAGCAGAGAAAGCTGGTTGGTATGGGAAACTAAGACAGTAGATAGAGGCCAAAGAAGTAGCACTGAACTGCAGGGAGGAGTCAGGGAGACCTGATTTGAGCAACTCTTCTGGCTGTGACTTTGAACACATGACCTGGGCACACTGTACCTCAGCTGTGTACATGTCAAATGAGGGCAATAATATTGCTGCAGAGTTGTTGTGAGAATTAAGTGAGATAACAAATCTAAGGTGCTTGGCATAGTACCTGGTACATACATCATGTCAATTAACGTTTATATCAAATTACCCTTTTCCATCTTAGAATATTCCTGTCATATTTGGTGCAAAATTAGGGAGTGCTCAATATTATCATCTGTCTACCTTGCTCATAATTATACTTTTCATACATTGAGACCACTCAGACACTCTTTAGTGTTTTTATGAGAAACCATTTGGCCGGGCATGGTG
The DNA here is from genome assembly GCF_000001405.40 of Homo sapiens. Classification (NCBI taxonomy): domain Eukaryota; kingdom Metazoa; phylum Chordata; class Mammalia; order Primates; family Hominidae; genus Homo; species Homo sapiens. The sequence continues at coordinate 118,972,885 of NC_000001.11, read as the reverse complement.
GCTCAGGCCTGTAATCCCAGCACTTTGGGAGGCCGAGGCAGGTGGATCATCTGAAGTCAGGAGTTCAAGACCAACCTGGCCAACATGGTGAAATCTCATCTCTACTAAAAATACAAAAATTAGCTGGGTGTGGTGGTGGGCACCCGTAATCCCAGCTACTTGGGAGGCTGAGGGCAGGAGAATCACTTGAACCCGGGAGGCAGAGGTTGCAATGAGCTGAGATTGCGCCGCTACACTCCAGCCTGGATGAAAAGAGTGAGACTCCATCTAAAAAAAAAGAAAAGAAAGGAAAAGAAACCATTTGGAGAGTGTTGGCACAAGATGGTCCCAAACTACCAAACTACCCTCCTCGCCTACTTTTCACTGCTGCCCTATTCACAGCTCCTCTCCACACAGGCTTTTTCTCCTCTTCCATGCCATTATTGCTGCTGTCTGGAGCACCGTTCCTCCTGCTTTTTCCCATAAAATTCTTTCTAAAGAAAGTTTATTCTACTTTCAAGATCTATCTTGAGCACCAAATATGACAGGATCATTTTAAGAAGGAAAAGGGCAATTTGATATAAATGTTAATTGACATGATGTGTAAATCCAAACATATAATGGCTTCAGAACATTACATGTGTCCATGCAGAGCTCATATGTTTGGGTATACTGTAATGGAGGAAAATTCTTGGATGCACCAATTTTACCTTTAACTTGGAGTTGGCTAAAGGGAGCTCTTCTTTTAGGGATGTCTTTTTGGTTTCCTCTCAAAATGGCACCAGGGTGTTTCTGTGGTTTTGTGGTCACAAAAGAGCCCCAGTTAAGTATTCTGCAACTCTCAAAGGTGTAGCCAAGATTGTACAAATACAAGGGTCCCCCTTTGGCCATCATTATCAGCTCCTCTTGGAAGGAGGTCTTCACCAAGTAACCTGACTTGACCATTAATCAAGGCTCCTGTCCTGCCTTTATCATTTATAGAATAACTGCCGGCTTTACACTATCAACAGGACAGTAATCTGGTTTTAACCTGTTATTTTCTTGGCAGGATGCACACCTATTCTATTCCTTTTGCCCTATTAGATTGACATTAACTGTTAGACTTTTGGGCAATTGATGCCTATACCCAAGGGGTTGTTGGCTTTGGCTGTCCCTCTTATTCTGTGGCCATCTTTGTGCACATGTAAACATATATGCACACTCACACAATTGTTTTGGTTGATCTTTTCTACATTTTAGAATTGGTCGTAGATGAATGGATAAGTTAGAAGCCTTTAAAAATTAATATTTTGTACCTTTCTTATGACATCCAACATATTTTTCCTTGAATTATAACTTTTTGGAAGAAATATTTATTTTACAAGCCCCAACTAGACTGCAAAACCCTGGAGAGCACTGTGTCTTACTCATCTTTGAATTCCTGTTGGCACTCAGTTAACATTTGTAAAACTGAATTGGTGGTTGTCAAACTTTAGTGATGGGTTTTGTGACCACTACAGCCACTTTACAGATGACTTGGCTTCAAGATGATCCTGGAGCCCAGCATGAGGTGCCTGCCAGTCACCTGTAGGTGTGACCTGGAATGTGTCTGTTGATCTCTCTATATTCTGGAATCTCTATAATAGGAATAAGACCTCTGGACTTAGAGAAGAAAGAAAGAAAGGACATTTAACATTTTTGTAGATAGAAATTGTTGAATGCTCATGGAGTCTTTTTTGGAGCTTTTGCCTGATGAGGTGTTAGCATTTAGAAGCATAATTAGATTGTGGGAACCTCTCTGCCTCCTCTTTTCCTATTTGTTTCAGGATTGTGACCACGGCAGCCTCTGTTTTCTGCCCAGCAAGGGAGAAAAAGAAATAGAATAAAAAGCAATCTGAAACTATCTAGTGTTCTTAAACAGAAGTGCAAAAAAGTTTCTAAGTGAAAGACAGATAGTGTGTGTTTTCCTGAGAGAGCAGAATTGGGTTAACTTGAAGCAGAATGACAGAAATTTTTTCTGGCTTTTCCTTCCCAAGAGCAGTGGGGAATATGTGCATGAACTGACAGGAGATCCCAGCTTAGGGCTCAGCCACATGGTACCAGGGAAGGTAGATTGTCAGGAGAAGGAAGGAGAAAAACCCCTCAAACACAGGGTAATCACTGAGCAAATGGAGGGGTGAGAAATATGAGGCAGCTCTGTGAGAATGCATTAAAAAACTGCACAGTCAAGAGTCAGCCGCAGAGATCCACAGAGTGCCAGGTGCTTTTTGGTCCTGTCAAATTACATGTAAAATCCTCAGTACTGTTTTGGTTCTGACACAGATGGTCAAGGAGAAAAACAGCCTCACTTTGCTATTTCCTTTCTTCTTTTATGCCTTATGACCTGCCTTCCTGCTGCTGCTTGGAAAGAGATGTTCTGACTACTATGCCAGTTGCTTTTCATGACTTGCAAGACGGTTTCTCTTTAACCCAGATCTTGTTAACAATCCATTGGTTTAGAAGATAAAGGTCTCCTTGATTCAGTGTGAACTCTCAGCTAGTATGCCCACAGTGGCAGTGGACTGCTAGGGCTGACCCAGTGTCATTGTGGGTTCTGCAGGGGTGGTGGTTTCCAAGCCATTGTTATATTCTAAATCCCGCAAAGTGGAGACAGGTGTGGAGGGCCAAACTTACACAAGGAGGCTGTACTAGTCCATTCTCACACTGCTATAAAGAACTACCTGAGACTGGGTAATTTATGAAGAAAAGATGTTTAATTGACTCACAGTTCCACAGGCTGTACAGTAGGCATGGCTGGGGAAGCCTCAGGAAACTTACAATCATGGCAGAGGTGAAGGGGAAGCCAGCATGTCTTCACATGGCAGCAGGAGACAGAGAACACGCAGGGGGAAGTGCTACACACTTTTAAACAACAAGATATTGTGAGAACTCACTATCACAAGAACAGCAAGGGGGAAACCCCATGATCCAATCACCTCCCATCAGGTCCCTCTCCCAACACTGAGGATTACAAAACAACATGACATTTGGGTGGGAACATAGAGCCAAAGTATATCAAAGGCCAACAGACTGGAGGTGAATGGATGCCTTGAGCTCCAAGCATGGGAAAAGAGAGTTTCTCTGCACTTAATATGTAAATGATCAGAATAACCTAGTCTATCTTTCTCTAGTTGAGAATCCCTGATCCTGAATCTTGGAGGATACTTCTTCAAGATACATTTGTGGGTTTCTAAATGTTAATAGCCAACAGACTCTAGGAATTGTTGAATGACCTAGTGTCTTCTGGGAGAACGCCACTCCAACATGGTTCTTATTCTGTATCCTCTTTAGAAAGGGAGTCTGACCCAGGACTCAACCCAGGAAGGGTTGTACAAGATGACTCACCAAGATCTGATTATAGGTCATGAAGGACCCAATTTGATGCCTCTGAAGAACAAGAAGTCTCTTCAGATGCTGAACTGCTTTCTGAGGATATATATTGTCCATAAAGATTTGAAAGTTCATTATTCATTCATCTGTATGCTGATCCTTAAGGCTTACAGAATTCTCTTATAGGCTTCCCTTCAGGTCTTTCATGGTCCAGAGGCCAGAATCAACAACTCCAGAGAATAACCCCAGAAGGTCACTGCCTTGACACCCCTATAATAATCACACAGTTTGAGCTCTCCTATTTTCTGTTTCACAGTGAAATGGGTCCTATTCAGTGATGGAGAAGATGGGATGAACCTGAACCATAGGCTACTGGGAGAGGTCTATCCTTTGAGCTCAGTAGGTACAGGGAATGAGTCCATTTGTCCACGATGCTAAGGAACATGGTGCAGATAATCTGGGGCAAGAGATCTGACTGCTGTGCCAGTTGCTTTTTATGACTTGCAAGAAGGTTTTTCTAACCCAGATCTTGTTAACAATCCATGCTAGGTGATGTATTGATTATGCCATTTGGGCTGTTCTATCTTAGGAAAACCCCAAAACCTACTTTCTAATCCCAACCATATTAATACTTTTCAAAGAAGCTGAAGTGCCTGGTATTCACGATGGAGATAGAGGCCTGGTGTCTTTATCTCCCTCCTCCCTCCTCAAAAAGAGGGTCTAGGTAAACAGGGAAGCTCCCTGTGCCTGGCTCTGGGGCTCACTGTAGACTGTAATCCAAGTTTCACATCATATGGTTCTCTTTAGATGGGAAGTGGGGCACCAACACCCTCTTTTGGAAGCCCAAATCAGAACAAACCCTCAAACTAGTTTCCATGCTGAGAACTTCTGGGTCTTTCCTTCTTCACCCAACAGCATTGGCAAAACAGGCTGTTTACTCACAAATGCAATATGCATATATTCGCAATATATATGTGTATGTGTGTATATATACACACCATTGAGAGAAAGCATTTAAGTTTGTTTTTCAGAAAATTCCTCAGACGATGTTAGGCTGGGCGTAGTGGTTCACACCTGTAATCCCAGCACTTTGGGAGGCCGAGGTGGGCAGATCACTTGAGGTCAGGAGTTTGAGACCAGCTTGGCCAACATAGTGAAACCCCATCTCTACTAAAAATACAAAAATTAGTGTGATGCATGCCTGTAATCCCAGCTACTCTGGAGACTGAGGCAGGAGACTCACTTGAACCTGGGAGATGGAGGTTGCAGTGAGCCAAGATCACGCCACTGCACTCCAGCCTGGGTGACAGAGGGAGACCCTGTCTCAAAATAGAAAAAAAAGAAAAAGTCCTCCGATGATTTTGATGGACAGCCAGGTTTGGAAAACACTGTTCTGTACCACTCTTTTTCTTAGGAATTCCCAGGAGAAAAAGACTGACAAGTGTACATTTGGCAAAAATGGTCACAGTGCTCCGGAAACTGTATTTGTAATGCTATTGTAATAGTTCTACCAGTATACAAACAAATGTCATAACTGAGAATATTCATTACTGTAGCTAAGTCAGAAAATTACTTTTTGTTTTAATAGGAGGGACTATGGCTATTGAAATAACGTGAGAGGAGTAAGTAATGTCTGATTACAGGCTCCCTAAGCAAATGAGGCCTGGGATGTTTTTCTGGCTGTGGCAAATACAGCTTGTTATTTTATAGAGGTCATGGAAAATGAAACTCCTTCAGGGTTTTAACACTGACAACAGAATACCATTCTGGAAATGAATTAAATTAGAATTAAATTTAATTTTATGCAGGTTAACTCTGGGAGCTATGCTCAACATTTGCAACTCTTAGGATGATATTTAGACCTGAATGAAACACCAAATCGAATAAAACACAAGTTTAAAAGTGAAACATTTGGGTAACCTCTTCTTGTGTCTACATGGCTTTAAATAACTGCTTTGACTATTTTATCTTCTACTTGTCCCTTTCCTTCACTTAACTGATGGATTTGATTTGTTGAGTTGGCAGATGAGGTGCTGTTTGTACGGAATATAGCTATCTTTGTCAGGCATACAGAGAACATAAAATCTTAGCTCAGTGGTGGCAAACACATCATTTTAAATCATTTTGTTTGAAATATTGCCTAATTATGCTGCTACTTATAGGTCATTTTTATGATTTTTATATAGCATTTCTACCACTGTGAAATCTTGACAATTTTAGTCCTTCATTTTTGAAATTATTCACTTAGATGCTTGACTAAGTGAAAACAATACAAAGCAATAAATAAAAAATAAAGATTTGGTGAATCTGCACGTGAAGGTCAATAATGTAGGTGTCTCGAGGTCAACCCTTTTCTTTTTCTCTTGTGGTACTTTGCTTATACCTCTAACAGAATACCACAGTGATGGTATTGGAGTACAATTATTTGTTTACGTCTGTCTTCTTCACTAGATCTGGTATTTCCTATAGGTCAGGAGTCTGTCTTTATCTCTGTATGTCTAGTTTTCACACCATCCCTGGCTTGCAATAAGTGCCCTATTAATTAACATGTGTGGCAATTAATGAATAATCATAGTTTTGGCTTTTGTCTGTGCTGAGCTATCAGATTAACTGTTTTGACTGAACCAGCTGGCTGGAAAATTTAGTCAAATCACTGGCTTTTCTCCAAAAAGATCACTTGCATAATACTGCTAATATTTTATATTTGTATATTAGTTTATTTTCTCAAAGTACTGTCTGTCCCAGGACAGAAAATCATGTTGACAATTTTATTTTATTCTCTCAAAAACATAGAAGATGAAACCACTAGTCTTATCTTAGAAGCAGGAAAGCAAATGAAGACAGCTTAAGCAAGATCACAGCCAGGTATGAGCAGAGCTGTTGGGATAGACCTGTTGCTTTCCTGCTAAAATGCCCAGCCTCAATATACCTTCCTTTCCTCAGTATACTCTCCTCCTTTCCGTACCTCATTTCCTTACCCTGGGCAGTGTGGATGGAAGTTTAGAGGATGTGCTGGAGGCAGGCCGAATACCATTTTACATTCTAAGGGCCTCTGAATGTGCAATGAGTTTTCTTCTAGTTCTCCTAGGAATTGGGTTGAGGGCCAGGCCTAGAGGCACACAGTAGTGATATAGAGGGTTTCCTTCACTTTTTTTTGAGGAGCCAGTGTTTCTAAGCCCAGAATGTCTACTTTTGTGTTTCTTCAGCTGCTGCCCAGCAGGCCCAGGAGAACCTGCTCTGCACGATTTGTGAAATCGCTGCTGGGTGACAGCCCATTAGGTATCTTCTTCTGTTCATGGGCCTCCAGTTTTCCCTGAAAGACTGAATCAAAACCTCAAAGTCACAAGATTGGTTCTATTCTTCTTTTCATCTTAAAGTGCCAGGTGCACCTCTGTGCCTGAGAAGATTGTGTTGGCCCCAGTTTCTATTCTCTAATAGGCTGTGATATTTTTTACTTATTCTTCTTTTTTACTTATAAATTTTAAAAAACTCAGATAATTTGTATACTTTTAAAAAATCCAAACAGCCCAAAATGAACAGTGAGAAGCATAAAGAGCAATCTCCCATCCCTAGTTTCCGAGCTTATCCCAGGATAACCACTCTTACCAGTTTCCTTTTGCATCATTCCACATACATGTATGATATATTATATGAGTCCTTATATACACATACACACATATGTATATATACAAACCTTTAAAATGAAAAGAGAGATTGTGGCATAATATATATAGTACTTTAGACTTTATAATTTTAGTTTTGAGCTGTTATGTTGGAGACTGTCAAATAGTCATTCTTGCAAGTTCTCCACTTCCCCCTCTTTTAAAAGTCTCATAGAATTCCATCGTGTGGATCTTTCATAATGTTTATTGAACCTATTTTGACGAGCCTTCAGGTTGTTTCCAGTCATTTCCTTCTTTAAATAAGACTCCATGATTATTTTTGGGCATTCTTGTGATAGCACTTATAGAATAAATTCTAGAAGTAGAGTAGAGTTGTACAGTTGAAGTCATGGCATTTAAAATTTTGATGGTTATTCCAGATTACCCTCCCGAAAGGTTGTTCAATTTACACTTCCACCCACAGTGTATGACAGCCCATTTTCCTATCCATTTGCCAACAATATATTAGAAAATATTTTTGTCTTTGCTACCTAATACCCTTGTATTTGAAGGGTATAATGCTTGCAAATTGATTTCATCATAAATTCTCTTCTGTTCTCCCTCCAACTTCTCCATTTTTTCCAGATACAGAGCTTAAGTTTATAGATTTGTAGAGTAATTCCTTCTTCTCTTTAAACAGGCATAGGGTTTTGTTTGATATCTCAGGCTTCCCTGTTCCTCCATTTATTACCAATCATTACTTTAACTCATTCTTTTAGGATCCTGGGGTGCAAGTCTTCAGTGCCGGAGGCTTTCAAGGTGTTGAGTAAATAAGAAATGGCAGCAAACATTTCTTGTTAGTGAGGGAGAGAATAAAAGGCATGTCAGTCAGGGTTTCTGGGTGCAACTTTGGTTCAATTATCTTCAGATGTTTAAAATAAAGGCTGTTTCCAAACCATTTCAAAGAACGGCAGGGCAACCTGCTGAGACCTGTGTGAAATGAACACCCTGTTACAACTAATTAGTGTTACTGTTTTCCTTGCAGTTGGGGGTGAGAGGAAATATATGAAGGGTGTTTATCTCTTCCTGTAGTAGGAAAGAATTGGAACCACTGGAAAAGCCTGGAGGGGGACCCAAACCATGACTCCAGCTGGCTATTCCCACCTTTCTCCAAAGAGTGGCTGCAAGCAGCTATAAGCCATGTGGCTGATTTGACCCAGTGCATATGCCTTCTTTCACCATGCACAGCCTTCAGGTTGTTTTTACAAGATGCCTGAGACAAATAGCCCATTCAGTGAAATTTGACAACTATTTATTGAACACTTACAATATGTAGATGAGTAAGGAATAGTCCCTGCCCTAAAAACTTTACAATCTAGGCAGAAAGGATAATTGAGTAGATGTTTGGAGCCCCTGGAAGTTTTCAAGGAGGATAGTGGTTATGAGCTTAGGCTGGGTTTGAATTGTGACTCTAATCCTTATTAGCTCTGAAAACATGGGTAAGTTGCTTAATTTCTCTTGACTTCCATTTACTTATCTATAAAGGTTTTGTCATAAGAATTAAAGTCACCAACAATTAGTGATCTATTAATGTCAGTAACTATTACATAACCAGGGCTATGCCTTAGGAAGATTCATGTCACAGTAGTAAATAGGATGCTAAAGCATGGAATGGGGAAAGATAAGAAATGGGGAGATATGAGTTTAGTCAGGATAGGTTCAGCCCCATGGCAAGACAAACAAACCCTGAAGTCTTAGTGGCTTAATATATACAAGTTTATTTCTTGCTCACTGTTTCAGTTATCAGTTTCTGTGCTTAGTGCCTTAAAACCCTTAGTGGCACCATTTCATTTGCTCCTGATTCTGTGGGTCAGGTATTCAGGGCACAGCATGATACATGGGGCCTCAGCTGGGGTGGCTTAAATGGCTGGCTGAGATGACCTAATATGGGATGTATGTCTGTAGTCTCCATTTTGGCTGTCAGATGGTCTCCACCGTTCTTCTCCATATGGCTTCTCTATGTTGCTAGCTTGGGCGTCCTCACTGCATGTCAGCTGGGCTCCAAAAGCATGTGTTCTAAGAGGACAGGCTCCAGTGTGCAAACATGTATCAACTCTTGCATCATGCTTACAAAAGTCCACTTGGCTAAAGCAAGTCATGTTACTAAACTCAGGGTCAGTGTGGGAGGAGACTGTACAACGGTACAAATACTGAGAAGAAGAGTTCATTAATTGAGACCCACTGATGTAATAGTCTGTAATACTGTGAGAAATCTGGACATCTTCCAGCATGGCTCTCTTCTGAGTGGTGACTCAGGGACCCAGTCTGCTTTCATTTTATAGTTCCACCATCTCAACACATGGCTTCCAATATTGCCATGGCTAGGGAAGAGAGTTACACTGGGGCCTTAGCCTGTAAGTTAAATATGTCACAGTTCAAAACTAATCATAGCCCTGTCTAAGAACAGAGGGCCTTAGCTATGTATTCTGATGCTCAGGAGAGGGAAACAAGTAAGAATGAAACTAGAAATATTTTGTACTATCACTAGGGAAGGTGCCTGTGGTGGTCCAGGTAAGCAGTAATGCAGGTCTGAAACAAAGTGTTTAGGAAGACATTGTAAAGGAGAGGATTGATTCAATGAAAGAGCCGTTCAAATACCTGGTTAGTAATAGTTCAGATAAAACAGTGTCCTAAATCAACTTTTTGCTATATTTTTTAACCTCATAAAAACACACGTTTTCTTCATTTCTGTGAGTTAATATTATGGCTGGGTTTTGCTCTAAGGATGTGAGGTCTGTCATGGATTATTTTATTTACTTAGATGTATATTCTCTACTTTTCTTTTTCAACAAGAATGTTAGGCTTTACAGCATAAAGGTTAGAAAGACTTTCAGAGACTAGACAATGTAATGATAAGCCTGAATGAAAAACTTTCAAAAGTGACTTGTTTCTTATCTCCATTTTCCAAATATGCCATCTTCCTTAAAAGTTTCATTCTTCCCTTTTCTAGAAAGTTTTAGTTTTAATGGAACTGAGGGGTTGTCATAAACTATTTCTGCTTTTGAGATCTCTCCTACCAACTTGTAATTTAATTATGTAATAACCATTTCTAAATTAATTCAGTTACCTAAATGGTCAGTGTTCACTGATATTTTTCCAAAGATCATCATTGTCACCAATTTTCTAGATTCCCACTGAAGGCTTTATTGTGTAGCTAAGTAAACCGATACAGTGAGGAAACTGTAAAGGGGTAGAGAGAGTCCCTTAAATCCTAGAGGTTACACTTTATGGGGACATGAAAACTTCAGTTTAGCACTTGGTTTGGCCATTTTTGAGAGCACTTTGATATGATACACTAGTATTTCATAATTGATTAGAGGTAGTGAGGTGGTTCACTGAAGTTCATGAAGCCTTATCAGTTTTCCACTTGTCCATCTAGGATATTTTGAGGCTTTGGAACGAGCATCATTGTCATTTAAATACAGAAGGGGGTGTTGTTGGTTGCTTTTGGCCACAGAGACAAGAGTAAGTAGCCTGCTTTACTTTTGGGAGAAGTGATGATAGTTACCCTTATCATCAGCTGAATTGTCATTACGCATTGAGGAAATGTAGGCACGATTTGAGGTTATGTAGGCAACCAGAAGTTGAAGGCTGTCTTTAGGGTTTACCTAAAAAAGCGATAGTCAATTTTTTATTTATCTGATATTGGAACAAATTGTAAGCTCACATAGCCAAAATGTTATCAGTGCTGGTCTGTAGTAATGGACCCTTACACAGTTTTCCTTAGAGTTCTACAAAAAATGAATGTGCCTTTTGTGTAACACTGTCCTCATAGAAAAAAGAAATTTTGTTGGCTAGGATTTGGGCTTAATGTACTAGAACTTTTGAAAAATTGGCATATCCTCATGATATAAATGTTAATCCTGGCTTCTTGTAGTTCTTCTGGAAAAGTAGAAGTTGACTGTAACTTAAAAAGTTCTTCAGTAAACATCCATATATTGGGTTGTAGGAAGACCAAAGCCATTGTCATTTGCTTCGGCATGGGTACCAATAGGTACCATAGCCTGTCTTGATTATAGGAGAGGGTCTTATCTCAGCACTTGGACTGTACATACCTTGAAGACAGGGATAGTGCCTTAATCATCTTTGCATTCCCCTCAGAGCTCACCAGAGAGTCCCCCAGGTAGCAGGTACCAAGGAGATGCTCATGGAAGTGACTCAGCTTGTAGTGGGAAAGAATGGGGTTAGACACATGATACTCCCAGCTCTGCTAGTACTAGATAGGAAATTTTGAGCAAATCACTTTTCTTCCCTAGGCCTCAGGATTCACACTTAAATATGGGGATCTAGTGAGATGAAACTTCTTATCCTTTTTTGGCCTCCATCATCAAGCTTCTGCTTCAGAGAGTCAGAGGAAGGCTCTAGGAACCTGAATTTTACATAGTAAATGGGGCATTCTTCTGACATCTCCCTTCCCCTCATGCACTTTGAGTAATGCTCCTTCTCCCCAAGGAAGATGGCTGCCTGATTCCTAGCAGTACTTTGCAAACATCGAGACTGTAGAAGAGTACATGCTCAATTTCAGTGGAGAGAATGAATCACACTCTCATCATAGCAATAGTTGATTCACTTATTCAACAAATATGGTATTAGGTGCTGGGAGGTATAAAGATGAATAAACACCATTCTCTGCTCTTAAGAAGACAGATATGTAATCAGACAAGTGAAACACAGGGGGATGGGTGTCTCGACAGAATATGAACAGAGTATGGGGCACAGAGCCTGAGTTAGGAAGGGGGAACCAGGAAATCATTTTTAGTCTCTTGATTCCCATCAGGTTTCCTATAGCAGGGCCTGGATGAAGAGGACCTTGCATGAATTCCCAGTCCTTGGGGGCCACCACTCTCCTGCAGTTCCTATAGCCCAGCACAACTGCCACTCACTTCTTTTGCTCCCCAGCCTTTCCTGCTACTGCTGCTGCCTGCAGATCTCTGTCCATGGCCGCCCAGTGTCGATGACAGCAGCAATAACAAATTGCTCCTCCCTCACACCAAGAGGATGGGTTGGGCCAAGTCCAGGATGATTAAATTGCACTTTGAGCCACTGCTGTGTTGACCAGACCTCGACTCTGCCCTCCCTCCTCCCTTCAAAGCAACAAGTAGCAAACACTGGGGATGATTGAGTCAGAGTGGCCGCTTGTCCCTATTTCCTCACACCAGCCTGGACTTTGGAACACGAAGCCCTGATCCTGAGGGAGACTCTGCCGGCTCACTCAGTAGCCTGCCTGGGAGGCTGTGTCATCTCCTATAAATTAAACCTTGTGCTTTCTACCCTGGCAGGCCTTCCCTGCAGCCATTCCTCTCATTGTCCAGTTTGGCCTCCTGGTCGCTCAATTGTGTTGTATAAACTTTGGTACTTTTTAGGACTGGCCTCCTCTTCTGGGTCCTGGGAAGCTTGCAGCTGTGGATCTCAAAGCTTGGAGAAGCTCAGTCACTGAGTCTGGCCACCCAAGCCATTCGCTTCAAAGGTTAGATGGAGGTGCAAGGGCAGTGAAGAGCTGCAGGTGTTCTCTAGGTCTGATTTGCATCCAGTTGTTTCCATTCAGCTGCAAAAATGCATGGGGCTCTCGAAACTAGAGCTTCCTGGTGTGAATCAGATGAAACCTGAACTGGGCGGAAGGTGGCAAGTTTTCCAGTGCAAGCCTAGCGGATGTACTTAGTTGGAAAGTCACGTCAGGCCCATAAACACAGCAAGATGGAGAGGCCGCCAAAAACAGAGGCAGAAATAGCCAGGGGGTCCCCCATCCCGCCTCACTCAAACCACAGGCTCCTGCCAGACATTCTTCTCCCTTGCTCTGACTTCCCTTTTCTCTTCTTTTTTTTTTTTTTTCTCTTTCTCTTCAAGTTTTGCTTTGCTCCAGTGATTCTTCAGCTAGCCCTGCAGCTGTCTTGACAATTTCTAAGTTGCTGCTGGGCCTTTTCTTGGAGTGCAGGAGAGATTCAGAGAAGATGGTTTCAGTCTAGGGCTTTTCTCTGGGAAGCCGCAGGTGAAACATGCCTCTCTACTCCACCCCAAGGTACTATATTCCAGGTGTCTGTACAAGGAGGAGAAATTGGCTCCTAACTCTGGTTGTAATCAGAGCATCTTTGGATGTACTGAATTTATTGCAGACATTTGTGCCTATTCTGATTTCGAAGTCAGATTTCATCTCTTTCTCATTTGGTCTATATGTAGCTCCCCTCGCTCACTGAACTGAGTTCATTCACTATTTAACAATGATGAATTAGGGGGCTGGAGTAGGACTGACACTGTTCTGGAGAACAAAGCTCTATATTTTGCTAGTGCTCAGAGTGTTCAGGTGGTTTTAGGGAAAACACAACAGCAGTGAAACAGGTGCTGCAGTGGCAGTAACTCCAGGGAAGGCTCAGTTCAGCTTGGCAGGGCTGATGTGTTTTTTTCCAGCTACAGAATCTGGAGCCTCTACAGTGCTGACAGAGGTTAGGTACTGGAAATATCAAGGACCATCATCTCTCAGGCCTGAAACACCTTGTACATTTCATGTTCAGCTGCAGAAGCCTTGAACACCTGGCAGAACACAGCTGTCTGCCTTCCAAAGGAGAGCTGATGGTCTCTCTTGCAGATGTCTATAAATACATATTCTTATTCGCCTGAAGGCTTTCTGGCATGGATCAGGGTGTATCCTCCACAGCCCAGCATTCATAGTTGGGAGGATTCACTGAGGTAATGTGGGAGGTATCTAGCACAGTTCCTGGTGCAGAAGAGGCCTTAATTGTTGACATTTCCCACTCTATTCCACATTCCCCTTTTTCCTTTGTTCTTAGTTTCTACCCTCTCCCTCAAGGAATGTTACCAGAGTATATGTTTAACTTCACACACACATACTCTCTCTCTCTCTCTCTCTCTCTCTCTCTGATATTATACCTTCTGATGACCACTAAGGCCTTTTCTTCCCAAATTAGAGAGCCTCCCTATTAATTAGTATTTATAATACTGGAACAATAAGCACGGTCTTCTACCCATCTTTTACCAATCTTCCTTCTCATTTACTATTCCAGCCTCTGTTTTTGCTCCTTCTAGGGTGAAACAGCTGTTTAATATTTTTCTTCTTTTGAACCAGGCCATCAGAAAGCAGAGGAGGTAGTGGCCGGGTAGAGTTGGTAGGAATTGGTGAGCATCTCAACATGCCTAATAAGATAAGACATTGGTGAAATGCAGTCCCAGGAACCATGAGGTTTAGCTACTTCTCTGGGAGGTGGGAGGTGGGGCTGGTGGGAATATGGAAGGATATTGTGGTGGGAATGGAGTCATAGACTGTGTTTGTTAGGGTAGGACCAGGACCATGCGGAGGCAAAAATTATATCACTGATCAAGATAAATAATATTTAGTGCAGTATTTTAAAAATTCAGAATTAATGTAAAAAAATCTATGTTGAACTAAACATCAAAATATTGGCGTGATATTGGAACCTGAAGCAAAAGAAAAAATCACGAATACTGATCCTGTCTGTTTTAGTCTGCTCAGGTTGCTATAACAAAATACCATAGACTGGGAGCCTTAAACAACAGAAATTTATTTCTCACTGCTCTGAAGGCTAAAAGTCCCAGGTCAAGGTACAGCAGGGCTGGGCTCTGGTGAGAGCTCTCTTCCTGATTTACAGATGGCCATCCACATGGTAGAGAGAGAGAACAAACTCTCTGCTGCCTCTTCTTATAGGGGCACTAATCCCACTGGACCAACCCCTACCCTTATGACTTCATCTAATCCTAATTACCTCTTCAAAGTCTCGTCTCCAAAAACTGCCACATTGGAGGTTAGGGTTTTGACATAAGAATTTTGTGGGGACACAAACATTCAGTCTATAGCACTATCTTTATTTTATTAAATATTTTGATAACTTCATTCATGGCAAATTTTTGCATTAATTTTAATTTTTAAAAATATTGCATTGAGAATAGTGCCGCAATAAACATACGTGTGCATGTGTCTTTATAGCAGCATGATTTATGTTTATTGCGGCACTATTCACAACAGCAAAGACTTGTAACCAACCCAAATGTCCAACAATGATAGACTGCATTAAGAAAATGTGGCACATATACACCATGGAATACTATGCAGCCATAAAAAAGGATGAGTTCATGTCCTTTGTAGGGACATGGATGAAGCTGGAAACCATCATTCTCAGCAAACTATCGCGAGGACAAAAAACCAAACACTGCATGTTTTCACTCATAGGTGGCAATGGAACAATGAGAACACATAGACACAGGAAGGGGAACATCACACACCGCGGCCTGTTGTGGGGTTGGGGGAGGAGGGAGAGATAGCTTTAGGAGATGTACCTAATGTTAAATGACGAGTTAATGGGTGCAGCACACCAACATGGCACATGTATACATATGTAACTAACCTGCACGTTGTGCACATGTACCCTAAAACTTAAAGTATAATTAAAAAAATAAAATATTGCATTGAAATATTATTTATCTTGATTGCTGAAATTTTTGGTGTCCCTCAAATTTTTCACTCCAGGCCAGTGCATTGCCCACCTCACTCCAGTCCTGGTCCTGCCCTAGAGAAACCCAGCTCCTGGATCTGGGGTAGAGCAGTGGGCCAAGGCATTACTCTAAGTCAAAGGGGCAAGGTCTGACCCTCACTGGATTGGTCCGACTCTGACCAAATTCTTCATTTCCTTTTTCTTCCTTGATTATTGTCAAGTGCATGGTTGTGTTTTCAATGCTCAATTTTTTTCATTGTTCAACAATAGTTTGAATTTTACCCAACATTACAATAATTAGTTAAATATAACATTCAGTAGCCAAGTATAATTTTCTAAATTTCTCACAGGAATGGAGGTAGGCAGGAACTAGAGAACCCATTCGGAATCTTCAGCTTTGTTAGGCTGAATGTTCTTTTGTTGTGACTTCTGTAATCTTGAAGTGTTAGTGGATTTAATCTATTTTTTTTTTTTTGAGATGGAGTCTCGCTCTGTTGCCCAGGCTGGAGTGCAGTGGTGCGATGTCGGCTCACTGCAAACTCCGCCTCCCGGGTTCATGCCATTCTCCTGCATCAGCCTCCTGAGTAGCTGGGACTACAGGCGCCCACCACCATGCCTGGCTAATTTCCGGCTAATTTTTTTTTTTTTTAGTAGAAACGGGGTTTCACCGTGTTAGCCAGGATGGTCTCGATCTCCTGACCTCGTGATCTTCCCACTTCGGCCTCCCAAAGTGCTGGGATTACAGGCATGAGCCACTGCGCCCGGCCAGATTTAATCTATTTTTAAAAGACTATGAATATCTTTCAGCTCTCTGATGATGTGGTTATTTTTTCAAAATTGTTGGGATGATTTTCCAAAATGATTAAACATTCTTGAACTTTTAATTCTGATGTAATTTTAAGTTTACAGAAAATTTACAGCAACTATTAGAAGGAACTCCTTCATGTATACCCTTTACACAGTTTCACAAATTGTTTATATTTTGCTCCATTTGCCATCTCTGTGTGTGTTTTTGTATAAACATTTATATATAAATACCTAACTTTTTTCTGAACTATTTGTTAGTAAACTGGAGACGCATGCATTGATACGATCTGTTATTTAACCCAGTTGGTATTTACATTTTACCATTTGTCCTAATATCCAGTACTAGTATTTTTTTTTCCTAATCTAAGATCTAATTCAAGATTATTGTCTTAGTCTGCTCAGACTGCTAGAAAAAAATACCATGAACTGAGTAGCTTATAAACAGAAATTTATTTCTAACAGTTCTGAAGGCTGGGAAGTCCAAGATCAAGGTGGTGGAAGATTTGGGGTTTGGTGTCTGGTGAGGGCCTGCTTCCTGATTCATAGATAGCACCTTCTAGCTGTGTCCCCATGTGGTAGAAGGGGCGAGGTCACTTTCTGGGGCCTCTTTTATAAGGGGCACTAATCCTATTAATTAGAGATCTTCAAGGAGATTATGGATGGAGAAGCCAGGCATGACCCACAGCTCATAACCGTTAGGATGAGAGGTCTTTGAAGACCTAGGATAAACTCTGTGCTCATTTACCTTGCCTGGAAGGATAACTATTTGGTAGACGATCTTTTATACCTGAACTATAAATCTCCATGAGGCACACATAGGGAAGAGTGGGCTGTTGTAACTAATCCTTGGGTCTTACTAAATTTCCATATACAAGCATTCCATAAACTCTAGAATAGGGTCAGGGAATTGAAACAGAAGAGGATGACCTTATGTGATTCCCTGCCTTTTTTCACTTTCTAATGGCCCTAGAGCAGGGAGTTCTTACTCTTTGTAAAATGACTCTGAGAGTTCTTTTTCTAGACTCTAGCGGAAAATGTCTTGACTCGCAGAAAAGCAGACCAAGGTTTTCTTCTGGCTGAATAGTTTTGTATTTCCACACTGTCTACACACTAGATTGTAAAAGCCTTGGGAGCAGGGCCCTGAATTATTCTTATTAGCATCCCCCATTATTCATTGATTGATTGGTTTTCTGAAACAACACCAAATGCTTTGGGATATGTGAGATGGGAGATATAGTGAGATGCTGACTTGTGTATAAGTATAAAGTTTTTCTGTGTTAGTTTAATCTTATAACCTTGGGTGGTTCTGGAGTTTCCCTTGTATGAGCAAAATCACTATAGCAGTTCCAGACTTCACTTTTCCTAAACATCCATTTTTTTTTTTAATCACATTGTTCATATTTAAAGGGCAGATGGCATTTTAAAAGAAGGGAGCTTCTACATATTTAAAAGCCCCTTTTAGATAAAAATAAACCTGTGGGCTAACTGATCTTCCATGGTGAGGTATAGGCAAACTTAGGGCAGGGGAGGCCTTCTTGGCAAGCCTAAAGTGATGCCATGTAGGTGACTCCTATGCCACCCATGAAGAGGGATTCTGGAAAGGTGGCTTACATTCTTCACACTCCCTTTGTGGGTCTCACTCTTGGGCCTGATGAAGCCTGAAGCTTGACATATTGTAATTCTGCTAGCCAAGGAGGTGCTTGGGACTCTTCCCTCTTTATGGTGGGGATAGGCTCTGAAGGAACTTGAGGGGTATGCTCAACAAGGGCCTATAAAATCATGCAGTGCTTCCAGCTGAGATGCCTGTGTGCATCAGTTGTGGATACCAACATTTGGATTAGGGAAATCCCCCAACCTGGAATGAATATCGGGTTGAGTTATTAATCCCAGAAATATTTCCTGTCTTTGAGATTGGCTGGCAGGCCATTCTTGCCTTAATTTAAAGGGTCAGATTTTCCCGAAAGCAGTTGAGCTCCCTTGCTATTTTGGGTAATCATCTCTCCACACACATATGGTTAATCAGGAGTTGGAGCATAGTGAACTTTATTGACTTTGTCCTGTGCCTGAATCAGGATCTCTTCCTTGGCCAAGTGAATGCTCTTGATGAGTTTGCCTCCTTCTGTGATCCTGTTGTAGGGCTTTTGATTAGACATTGCTGTATGTAATCCACTCTCAAGTTGACAAGCATTCCTCCACGTAAAGATAAGATCTGGCTCATGATAGATGATGACTCTTTTCCTGAGATCTCCTGGGGATAGGCTGGTGCTTTTAGAACTGCCTTGTGCCTTGATCTTAATTTATCTGTTGTATTCAATATCATTGGAAGCCAGGAAAAGGCCAAATACCTGACCTCTGGTCCAGGGCTGTGATATGCCACCCACTCCAAGCTTCCTTTGATCCTTGCTTTGCCCAGCCAAGCAGGGAAACTCCTTAGCTTTCCTTGGTCTCCAGAGGTCCATCTGACTGTTGATTTGCGATATTTAGTCTTCCTATTACAGTTTGATTTGATTATGTGTTGGGGAAGAAGAAAGCTTTGACAGCCCCTGGAAAGTAGCTATTTAGAATGGTGCTCTTCCAAGTGTCCATGTGAAGATTAGTGTTTCTCCCATGACCACCTGGCTGTCATGTGACAAATCTTGAGGGATAGAACCTTGGCTTTATTTGGTCTGGCCTGGTTATAAGAACTTAGAAGGGTAGGCAAAGGACACTATAGGTAGCTCACAATATTCTCGTTAAGTTCACTGCCTCCTCAAATAAAGACAACTCCTTGACTGTTCATTTCAGACTGTTCATTAAAACTAATTCAGATCTGCTGAAATAATGTCTACCTTTGTAGGGGGCAAAAGAACATTCATCAAAAAATTTCACATAGTGAAGAGAATTGTTCACTTTCTTGAGAGTGAAAACCAATAAACTTAAAAAAAGAAAAAACTTGGAACAATCCTGTGTATAAAGTGTTGGTACTGGGTTAGGAAGACATGGGTTTCAGATAATTCCCATATGTGTAACATCAAACATATTATAGGCACATGGCCCTTCTCATCTCACTTCCATTCCCATCTGAAATATTATTTTGTAAGCTGTGGAATAATGAAATTTCACTTTAAAATGTGTTTTATAATTGGAATTTTGAGTGTCATTCTTACCTTTCTTTCTAATTGGAGTGAGGCTCTGAGGATCCCAAGGCCCAGAGTGGGAGGTTGGGAATGAGTGAAACAGTGGAGACCCCATGTTTCTCTTGGGGATGTGGAGCAGTTGGAATTCGCCAAGATTCTATTTAATCTCTTCTTATTTGTACATTCTATTTTGTATTTATTCTATGTCTTGTATTTTACGTTTGGTTGGCTAAGTCAGGTGTTATAAGGGTTAAAATAAAAAGTAGCATTTAGAATGAATTAAATTCCAGTGACTCATTTATGAGGGTTAGGTTCAGAGGACAACCTAAGAAATCACTAGTGTGAAAAAATACCAGTGGCCTTAATTAATTTAGTCACAAAAGCAAATCTTAAAGAGAATACTGTTAGTTGGCCACAGGTGTATTTTTTTTTTTTCAGAAACTATTCCTTGGCAACATGGAAAAATGTCAGTATTGGGTTTATACATTTAAAAAACATGAAGTGCCTCTCTTTCCTCCAGCCATCTTTTCCTATTTCTATTCTGCTTTAAGAAGCCTGAGCTGTGGGTGGATCTAAATATGAGATGCACCATTCCTTCAAGTGCTAAAGGCACTTGGCTGACAACAGTTTTTCCTGGTGGTTTCCTGTACTTCATTTTCTGAGATAGCAGAATTTCAAGTAAAATAAATACTTGATTTCTGTCTCTTGTGGCTCCTAGTGTAGTTTCTTGGCCAAGGAAAAAGTCCTTATTAGCTTTCTGAGTCAAAGAGTTACTATTATTTATTGGTCAAAACTACTATGGCTAGCCCCCTTGGGAAGTTTAGCCATACTTTATGCAGGTGCCTAGTCTGGGCCTCTGTAGGTATTTAGAGCTATGTTAGGGCAGACTGCCCAGGAGAAGGAGGGATTAGACATCGGGAACTGATGGTTGGCCCAGGATTGTAAAATGTCTTATAAAAAAAGAGGGCATAAGACTGTTGACACTCAGTGAGGGCACTGAGTGAGATGAGAACCCACACTTAAAATAATTGAGAATTTAGAGTCTTGGTTTGAATCTAAAGACATGGTTGGTTTTAAGGACAGAAAATTATTTTTTTTCTAAATTTTTCTTTCTGTATTATTGACCCTTGAAAAATGTGAGGGTTGTGGTGCTGACTCCCTATGTAGCCAAAAATCTCGATATAACTTCCGATTTTCCCAAAACTTAACTGCTATAGCCTATTGTTGACTGGAAGCCTTACCAGTAACATAAATAGCTGGTTAATACATATTTTGTACATGTATTATATACTATATTCTTACAATAAGGTAAGCTAGAGAGAAGAAAATGTTAAGAAAACCTCATGGAAGAGAAAATATATTTACTGTTCATTAAGTGGCCGTGGATTATCACAGGCCTTCATCCTTATTGTTTTCACATTGAGTAGCTGAAGAGGAGGAGGAAGAGGAGGGGTTGGTTTTGCTGTCTCAGGGGTGACAAAGGCAAAAGAAGATCTACATATAAGTGGACCTGCACAGTTCAAATCCTTGGTGTTCTAGGGTCAAGTGTACTTATATCAACTTCAACTGCAGCCCTACATTCCTGCCAGCTGAAGGCATGGATAGAGAGTCACATTCAGATTTTGAACACTGGCAGGAGCAGGGCCCTCCCACCCTTGCCCAGGGATGGCACAGGGAAGAGACATAACCTTGTTGGGGCTGTAGCTGTGGAGAAGCAGTGAGGCCCAGATAGGGCTGGGACACTAACATCAAGTTGGTGACCTTTTGAGTGTGTGGTGCAAATTGGCAGATATAGGAGCAGGAAGCAATTCTGGCCCAGGTTAATGGTGACCTTTAGGTTTTGCCACTTGGAATCAGGAACAATAAGATGTTGCAACTGAGGGCATGAGGCAAAGTAGAAAAAGGCACCTGTGGTTGCAGCAGGTGACCTTTAAAAATTGCCAAGAAGAGCTAAGGAACCATTTGGAGACCTTGCCAACAAGAGAGGAAGGACCAGGGTTCTGGGTCTCCACATATCTCCTGCCTCTCCTGCCCTGGGCTCAGAGCCAATGACTATTATTGTTACTCAAAACCCCTCCACTGGACTTTCTCCAGCTGCGAGAAGTAGGGGTGGCATAGGTTATCTCTATTTCTTAGGAGAGAGTTGTCGTTGCTTCTTATTCTGGGAATTGCATGTTAGCTGCTACCTTGTGTATCCCAAGAATTTAGAATGCTGAGCCAATTAGGGGAAATGTCTTCTACATTGGGAGGTAAACTCCTTTCTCATGATTTTGTTATCCTTTTGACAGTTGGAGTTTGAACATTTCTGGTCTCTGGATAAAAGGAATCTTTTTTCTCCTGTCAAGGAAATTTATTTCAAGCCAGGTATTTTATGACATTGAAGATGTAGTCATAGTTTGTAGTTTGTTTTCTGTAATATCCTATTCTTTTTATAGATAGCTACATGGCATCTGAATTGTGTAATGATTCTATCTTTTCTTAAAACTTTAAATTTGTTGCAGTATGAAAATTGTTCTTCTGCATTGCTCTTTTGGGGGCAGTAGATGCCAGTGTCTTTTCGGAGTGCACAGTGGCATGTTGGACTTTTTTCTTTTAGCACCACTGCCTCATTTGGTAAGGAACCAAGATGACATGGTGATGTTTGGACTGACCCAGCTGATCCTTCGATGAGAACTGTGAGGCATATTGTGCTTTTATACTGGCAAGCTTGAGAACTGAAGCTGGTTTTTTTCTTCCTTTTTTGTGATGGTCTTTGAAACATAGCTGACATTCTGAGTTAAGCTTTCCTATTAGAGAATAATAAAGGCCCATACTTGACAAGGTATGAATATCAGATGTTCATTTAAGAAACAGAACAGCAACAACAAAACCACATGAGAGGTCAGGCAGCTCAGTCCACTACCACTTCAACAGGCTTTTCTGGGAAGGCCGCAGCCTGGCCCTGTACTTGGAGTTTGCTCTCAGGGAAGGTGCTTGTATATTTTCAGCTGCTATTGGGAGATACTTTAATGGTCCAACATGGCTCTTGTCCTCATTTAAACTATGTTTAAGGCCAAAGATGAGACCACATCAAGTGGCCTCTGCCCCAAGGATGCATGAAGAAAGAGCTCCTCTTTATGTCAGTGAGTCTTGGCTCAGCATGAGCTGGCTTCATCTTGGATTCTGCATCCTCAATCCTGTCTTTGTCTCTTCTCAGTGAAGCACAAGTCAGACAAGAGCCTGTCCCAATGAAGCCAGAGGCCTCAAAGCAGCAGAGAAGTCTCTCCTCCAGAAGCCACATATGCCTAAACCCTAAGAGTATATGACTATTACCATGAAGAGGGGGTTCCTTCTGCCACTGAAGAGCAGTCTTTTACAATTTCTTCCTTCATCCTCCCTATTTGCTTCTCTGAGCTGTGTCATGTAGCCAGAATTTTATCAAGTTAAAAGCAAGGTATTTATTGTGTGCCCATGCTAGGAGCTGGTTTTTCAAGCCAGATAGTAGGAGATTATTTTAAATGCAAATGTATCTCAGGGACCACAGAAGGGAAATAAGTACTGTCTTGGAGAATCTGGATTGGATGATGGCTACAACTATGGATCACATAAAAGAAGTTTAAAACTATTCTTTCTTTAAGGTTGTTTTGAGATTTTTGTGAAACTCACTGAGAGATCCAGAGACAACCTGAATAGTGGGTCATGGGTTCAAATTGTTTGTATTTTTCTCCCATTTTCTCCCAGTTCTCGGGGTCCTAGCAATCTGGACCATCTTAAGCCATTGAACCAGTGCTGATGGAAAGGCAGGAAAAGTAGCAGCTCTTTCTCTTATCCTCAGACTCAAGGGCCTCAGCTAAGAGGCCTCACGGCCAGGTCCCTGCCAAGGACATTGGGTTTCTTGAGTGACTTGATCACACGCTGATGTTTCAAGGCTGGGTGCTCCCCAGCTGGAGCCCTGAAAATGCTTGTGTGACATCCTTGGAGAAGGAAACAAACTTGAAAGAAACTCCCACAAAGTAAATCACCAGGACTGGATGGTTTTCATCCAAGAGTTGGGGAGGAAATGAAGTGTGAAATAGCACAGATACTGATGAAGACATTAGTTCTCCATTAAAACCACAACTGTGTCAGAGCAGAGGAAGTTTGCTAACATGATGACCTTATTTCTAGAGGGGAGAGATTAGTGGCCTCTCAGATGCCTCTGGAAAATCTGGGCCACTTGGAAAGAATAACATAAAATATGAACAATGACACAATAGCTTTTATTTCCTGAAAGCATGTAAGAGGGATATTGTGACAATTCATGCACAGCAGCATTCCAGTAGAAGCCTTAGAAATAATATGATAATAAATATGTAATGCATATGCTGCTATTCCTGACTCCTGTGTCCATGAAACACATCACTAATCAATCTGGTACTCTTCCCTATGAGCTTGGATTGGGCCTCATGCTTCTGAATTTCAAGCTCTCAAATGCCACATTCAAATGGCTAGAGCTGACATGCATGTTGAAACTCATTTGCTCTCCCTTCCTAAGAGGATATATTTTATCCTGGTCCACACTGACTCATAATTAAATTGTAAATAATGGCAAGAAAGAGGTCTTTCACAGGCAGTTTAGGAGCATGATAAGAAACATGTTGCGTTTTTTCTTCTAAGGACCAAGTTAGCAGAATATTTATCTCTAATTTAGTAATATTTATCTTGTGCAAACTGAATTCAGATGTGTAATCACAACTCAAACCATGGTAGGGTCTTTCTGGAGGGAAGAAAAGTCACTTTCTCTGAGGCAACAAGCAGCATGTTTCACAAGATCATTTTGAGAAATGAGAATCAATAGCAAGATCTTTTACTAGGTGTTTCTTTGTGAAGTTGAAAAACAGTTGCAAACATTGAGTCCTGCCACAACAGTGACTCTGTGGGGTAAAGGCAAAGTGAGGTATGCTTTGAGAGAAGAATTGCACTGAGGCCCAGAGGGGAAAAGAGCCAGGCAGGTTGGACCCTAGAGAAGTTGAGCAACTTTATGTAAAACCTGAGGTTTCTTTGGGACTAGCTTTTGTTTTAGGAGGGAGCAGAAGGCCAGCTCTGCTGGTGGTCTCAGAATCCCACAGGACCAGTCCCTGGAACATTTTGCCATTGGATTGAGCAAAGCCTTCTTTTGCTGAAAATAATTAGAGCAATTTGGCCATACTAATTATCCTGCAGCCTAGTGGCCTCTGTGTAAGAGGATATGTGATAGAGCCAATCTCTCGGTGTGGACTGTAAACTGACCTTTTAAAGATGTTATCTGTCTGCCCCCATTATAAAATGGGTTATTTTGCTTGATCAGTGAAAAGTTGCTACGTATGTCTCTTAACAGAGAATCAGAATATAGGAAAAGGCACTTAGCATAATAGAGACCCTGACTGTACTGTGACTCTTCACTGAGTCACCACTGGGGAGATGGTCAGATGCTATGCTTCAGAAACCAAAAGAACAAATGGGGTCCATTGGTCAGCACACTTGGCTGCTAGTTCCCTACCACCACAAGATAACTCATGACCTTGCTCGCATTTTGCAGAATCACAGATCATGGAACAAGATGCTGGGTAGGTCATTTTGTCTAGATCTTTGTCTCATAGGAGCAAGCAGTTAACGTCTCCATTTTAAAAATGAGGCAATAGTTGCTCAGCAAGAGTAAATGAAGTACTGCTGCTGGGGGAGGCATGGACCAGTTTGAGGAGAGAACCCAGGCTCTCAGCAAGCAGGTCTTCTCACTTCACCA